>NC_000023.11:20319306-20622336 GCF_000001405.40 Homo sapiens
GTCTCACTGTGCTCTCCACTTGGAGTGCTCTTTCTGCTCTTCTGCTCCTTTCCAAACCCAGTCCCTGCTCAAAGGCCTCACTCAACTTCCACCTCCTCCCTAAAGCCCTGAAATTCCATTTCGTCTTCCCTTTGCCGCTACTACTCATTTGGTCTTCAGCATTTGCTGCTTATCATGATTTCTGTCTATTTATGTGTTTGTGTCCTCTCTTCTAAAGTAGAAATGAACTACTTAAAGAAAAAATTATGCCTATTTCTCTCTTCAATCTCTACAGCATTTTAGCATAGTGCTGGAGACATGATTACTGAAGATAGATGGATGAATATGGATATAACAATTGAACTTGTTAAATATCACAAATGCAAAGTCTTGTGCAGACATCCTTTTTTTTTTTTTTTTTTTTTTTTTTTTTTCCTGAGACAGGGTCTCACTCTGTCACCCAGTCTGGGGTGCTGTGGTGTGATCATAGCTCACTGCAACCTCGAACTCCCGGGCTCAAGCAATCCTCCCACCTCAGTCTCCCAAGTAGCTGGGAATTCAGGTGCTCACTGTTACACCTGGCTAATTAAAAAAATTTTTAGTAGTGATGTGGTCTCTCTGTGTTGCCCAGGATGGTCTCGAACTCCTGGACTCAAGTGATACTCCTGCCTCAGCCTCTCAAAGCAGTGGGATTACTTTCAGTGGGTATAAGCCACCACACTTGGCCCAGACATGATTAAAAAAAACACTTTCATTCAGAAATAATTTTAAACTTACAGAGAAGTTGCAAGAATAAAAATGGTACAAATATCATCTACATATGTTTTACCTAGATTCACTTACTGTACACATTTTACCTCATTTACTTTAGATCTGCCTGTATATCTTCTCTACACACACACACACACACACACACACACACACACACACACACAAACACACACAATGCTTTTCTGATGCATTTGAGAGTAAGTTACATACATTATGGGTCTTTAATACTTCAGTGAGTATTTCCTAAGAATAATCTGTTACCTAATCACAATAGAGTTATCAACTTCCATTTGATTAATATTGATACAACACATTTATTTAATCTTTTGTTCTCATTCCAATTTTGTCAATTGACCCAATAATGTCCTTTATGGCATCTTTTCCCTCCAACATAAGATCCGGTAGGGTCAGGTGTTACATTTGGTTGTCATGTCTCTTTAGCCTCCTTTAATCTGGAACATTTCGACAGCCTTTCTTTGTCTTTTACGATATTATTTTTCCAAGTTAACTGTCATCCTCCTGCTTTTTAAAAGAATGTCAGAATTTAAAAAATCTCCTAGGTTTGGCAGCCTATTTTATTTACATATGTACATACGGACGGATGTGGAGTCTCTGAGTAGTGTCATAATCATTCCCAGTGCAAGACTCCAAACATGAACCTCCTTTTATTCTCATCCTGAACTTGTAATCAATAGCAATATTTTGTATGCAGTTGTACACGAACCTTTGTTTCATTTTATTTACAGTACCTTTCTTCTTCGTTAAGTAGAGTTGGGGTAAGAGGAAATCACAAATCTCTTTCTCTTCCAGCTTCTGCTGGGTTGCAGGCTGCATGAGAGGAAAAGTCAATAGAGGAAGTGAGAGAGTAAACTGAGAAGTTGAAATCAAAGTGGTGGGCTGCTGAGCCGCGGCTGTGGTGTATCTCTCTCTGAAGTCAAAGCATTTTTACAGACAGCATTCAACCGTAGTTAAATAAAATCCCTATGCTGTAGAAAGGGAAGGCATTAGTAATTTCCGTTGTCTATGAGTGAAAACAGAGACGCTGAGAGGCTCAATGGCTTTTCTGCTTTGAGTTTGAGAGGCAATGAGGAATCACGGAAAAAGAACTAATAAAGGAGTGAATCCATTCTGGAGATTTGAATCTATTTATTACCATTGCTGCCAAGGCATTATGTAGCTCAGCAAGTCACATCATCCCTGAACCTTGGTATCATTATCTGTAAAATTAGGCTTTGGAGTGGACTCAATTCACTTTAAGTTTCCTTCATATTCTAAAATGCAGTGGTGATCAATTCCAGCATACATTTCATGAACATTTATGGAGTGCCTACTAAGTGTTGACCACTGGGCTAGGTGCTGCACCTATAAAGATAGGTAGGACCTGGTCTTTGTTCTCAAGGATCTCCCAGTATGGTAGGCAGGAGGAGCAGGCATGTAAGCCAAGATTTGTGGTTCAAGGTGATAAGGGGCAAGTTCAAGGTACAATGTTGTTGCAAAGGAGACGGCAAGGAACTTTCCCTGGGGGATGGAATAAAAGAAGTGACAGTAGTTGTTGAACAGAGCCCTGAAATGGGGACAGGGCATTCTAGGCAGAAGGTACATGGCTGTTGGTGGACTGCATATACTTTGGGTTTGCTGGAACACAATGTGCCAGAGGTAAAGTGAGGGTAATGAGGCTGGCACAGTAGCTAGGCAGGGGCCAAATCTAAGAGGGTCACTTGGTCAGGCAGAGAGGAATTTGAGCCTGGGAGGGAGGGATGGGGCTGAGACTCATGGCAAGGAAATCAATGGGGACTCTATTGCCAATGATAAAGGACTGAGAGACACTGGGAGCGGAAGCAGAAGAACGATTGGAGACATGTTTAGGAGAAAGGCTTGAGAAGGCTCACTGATTGGCTGTGGGGTCGAAGAGGAAATGTCACAGGACTTCCATGTTTCTGATTTGCCCAGTGGACTAGATTATGGTGCTACTAACTAGGTAGGCCCTAGGTAGATGTCAGCAATTGGAAGACCTCAAGGAGGAGCTGGCTTGGGGGATGTATAATGAATTCAGGTTAGGATATGTTGGCCTTGAGATGTGTATGGGACACTTAAGAGGAGATTTCCACTAGGCAGTTGTACAAATAGATCTGGGACTCAGGAAAGAAGTCTAGGTTGGAGACAGATTTAATGGTTAACATGTTAGGTGTGAGCAATGTCACCCAGGGAGATTGTAACTTTAGGAAAAGACTGTGACAGAGGGAAGAACATGAGCTCTCTTGTCTTATTAGAGCTGGCTTCTTTGCTGAGATCTTTTGAGCCGTATGATATTGGGCAAGTAACTCTGAATCTGTTTCTTTATTTTTAACGATGACCCCAATTTATAGACTTGTGAGAGTTTGAGATTTAAAAAGATAGGTCCAATCAATGGAAATTATCAGGGGAGCAGGAAGGGCACCCTGGGAGACACCATTAAGCTAGAGTTTTATTCATCTGCTTCCTAAAGGTGTCAAGAGGAGCTGTCTGCTATGTTCCCTGCCCCCTTACTGTCTTTCTTGCCATACTAATTTATTACCAGTTGCTTCATTTCTCCAAGCCATGGCTTCTTCCTCTGTAAAACGAAGATGATAACAACTCTCTGATTATCTCAGAGAGTTCTTTTGAAAATCAGTGAGACAAGGTTTGTGTGAACACTGCAAACTGCAAAGTACGATGTGAATACTAGTTATTATCAATATGAGTAAACAAACAGTTGTGCCCAGTTTGTCAGCATTTTCTATGCTGTTACCACTCTGGAGTGTCTGTCAGCATGAACGCTAAAGAATGTTGTAACAAGTCAGTGGCGGAACTGAAATAAAACCAATGGTCTCTCACTCTAGGCCGTAGTTATGCTGATCACTGTATGAGGCTTGAACAGACCCGGGATTTACCTTCCGACAGATTAGTTCATTGTGGGCCAGGGGTAAGAATAGGTGAGCAGGAGGAAGGAGAGCTGTGGATTGGAGAACGTGTGAGATCACCAGGGGCTTGGGGTCTCCTGTGATCACTACTTGTCGACTCTGCTGTCCTCACAATGGGGAAGTGTAAAGACAGCTCTGCCCTTAATGGTGTGATCTCAACTTCTCATAGAACTTCAAATTATCATCTCCAGGTGGGGAAAGATAACCTCCACATAACACATAAAACCTGCTGGCACCCAGTAGGCCCATAGGTAGATGTCAGTTCCAGATTTTCAGAATGGAAGAAGATAGCAGAATTCACTGGGTGAGGCAGCCCCAGTGCCAAACTAGACCGTGATTACAGAGAGATTAGGCTAGATTCTGGCTTGAGGGCAAAGATGAGCCAGATTGACGACTTGAGCTCAAGTTTAGGTTGCTTTTACTTCTGTTTTCTCCCAAAGCAGCAAACAAGGCATGCAGATGTATAGAAAAGAACACAGGGATGTAGAGGCTACTCCTCATCACTTGTCTGGCTTTTCTTGGTGATCTTGGCAGCCTGAAAAGAGTGAGATGTCCTCTAGGCTAGAGGAGCCCAGAGTCCGTGGGCCCATTGCCTTTTCTTGCCCCCTTTTTTCTTTTTATTTCTTTCTTTTTTTTTTTTTTTTGAGATAGGTTCTCACTGTTGTTCAGGCTGGAGTGAAGTGGCACAATTATAGCTCACTATAACCTCAAACTTCTGGACTCAAGTGATCCTCCCATTTTAGCCTCCTGAGTAGCTGAGACTACAGGCATGTGTCACCATACCTGGCTAACTTTTAAAAGTCTTGTAAAGATAGGGTCTCCTAATTTGCCCAGGCTGGTCTTGAACTCCTGGCTTCAAGCATTGCTCCCACCTCAGCCTCCCAAGTAATTGTGATTACAGGTGTGAGCCACCACACCCACCTCCCATTGCCTTTTAAACTCCAGCATGTCACCATCCAGAAACAACTCGTACAGCCAAATAAGGCAGTGGTCTGGTACTCAACACACCTCCTCACTCAGGCCTAAAGCTCACATTTGATCCTTGGAATTCTTGCTGCGGCACCACGGGGCAATTGCCTCTGATCTGTGTTTGCCTGGTGGGTCCTAGGAGTTTTCCGTTTATATTTACTTACAGGTTTTCCAAAGCAGGTCTGGCCATAACCTACAGCACATGACCTGCACACATGTCCTTCTTTCTCCCCCTTCCTCCCTCCCTCCTTCTCTTCTCTCTCTTTTTAAATAGCCGTTATCTTTTAGAACAGTTTCATATTTACAGAAAAATTGAGCTGATAGTACAGATAGTTCCCATATACTTCCTGCCCCCCATCCAGCACATAGGTTCCCCTATTATTAATACTAATATTTTTTATTAGTGTAAAATTAGTATTAGTATATTTTTCACAATTAATAAACCAATTGTGATACATATTATTAACTAAAGCCCATATAGCTCATTCAGCTTTTCTTAGTTTCTCTAAAGTCCTTTTTCTGTTTCTGGATCCCATCCCGGATGCCACGTTACATTTAGTTGTCACATCTCCTTAGGCTCGTCTTAGCTGTGACCGTTTTTCAGATTTTTCTTGGTTCTGATGACCTTGTCAGGTTTGAGGAGCACCAGTCAGGTATTTGGTAGGTGGCCGTTCTGTTGGAATTTGTCAGGTGTTTTTCTCATGATTGGGCTGGGGTTTGTGAGTTTTTGGAAGGAAGGCCACAGAGGTAAAGTGTCATTTTCATCACATCATATCAAGGGTCCATACCATGAAGATGATTTATGACTTGATGTTTTTCTTCATCATTTTTCTGAAATACTGTTTGTCTGTTTTTTTTTCCACTGTAAAGTTACTCTTTTATTCCTCCTTTCCATTCTGTACACTTTGCTGGGAAGTCATTATGTGGAGCCCATGTTTAAGGAACGGGGAATTTTTCTTTACTTCGTTTAGGGTGGAGTATCTACAAAATTTATTTGAAATTCTTCTGCATGGGAGATTTGTTTCTTCTCCCCCATGTATTAATTTGTTCAATCATTTGCTTATATCAGTACGGACTCATGAATATTTTATACTTTGGATTATAATCTAATATTACTTTCTTTTTTTTTGTTCAAACTGTTCCAGCTTTGGCCATTGAAAGCTCTTTTAGTTGGCTCATGTTTCACTCTGACATATCCTCATTAATTTGTGCGTGTGTGTGTGTGTGTGTGTGTGTGTTGGGAGAGTTGGGCACTTCTCTACTTTCTGGCACTACAGGTCTGTTTTAAAAAATTGTTATTTATTTACTCAACCAAAATGCAGTATGAATTCACTGTATATCAGGCAGAGAGGATTCAAGAATGAACAGCACCTGGCACCTGCCTTCAAGGAACTCTCAGCAGGTGTAGCAGAAGAGAGGAGAAACAAGCAAGAAAAGAGATCAGGACAAGATAGCATATGGTGAGAACTTTGGCAGAGGGCAGAAGCTCAGGATGCCTGATTCAGTTCCACGTACTCTTCTTCCCTTCCTCTCCTGAGCATTTCTTACTGGTTCTCTTAGGAGAAGCTTCAGCTTCATACCCTGGGCTAGTTTCTCTTCCTTCCCTTGGTGTCTGTTATCAATCGTTGTGCTTTTCAAGCAGGGCAGTATTGTAGAAAGGGCATGGCACTCAGAACAGATAAGCAAGCATTCCTGAGAATCTACATTGATACTGAACATACACAAGATGGCTCCTAACTGTAGCAAAGGATGATGGCAGCCTTTTATCAGCCCTTTGCAGCTCCTGTGGGTATGGGGTAGGTGCCGGTTACGGAGAACAGGAAGGGAGAAGGAGTGAGGATGGCAATGGCAGGAATTTGATTTTATTTCCTCCCAAATTTCAGCCTCATTGAAGCTTGGGGTCCTAGGAACCTGCACTCTCAGCCCCTTGCCTCACATTTCCAAAGCCCAGCTCATGGCCAACCCTTGGTTAATCGACATCTGAGCAGTAATTATTTTTAGATTGCCCACTATATGTTCTGCTACTCAGTGTTATGCGATCATGTAATGAAATCCATGCCCTAGTGCATTAACTAACCTTTTGAAAAACCCTTTCAATAGCATCTCCCTCTTCCTCCCCCTTCACAAAGAGCTGGCAAAAAGCTCCCGGACTTGAGTGCTAAATGTCGAACCATTAAGAACCCTGGTGAAAGCTATGAAGTCATCAAGTATTGACCTGAGAGAACATTTAGCACCATCTGATTTCTCCATCCCGACATCAACATGAAACGAACCTTACATGCCAGTGAATCACTTTCCCTATTTAAGTTCACAGAGTTTGTCTAAAATAGCTCCCCAGGTACAAAATGAAAATTCAGCCCAGGGATCATAATGGTGAGTGGTAGACTCAAGTTTTATGCTTTCATCATAAGAAAAAGAGGGTTTACTAAAATTAGGGATTTTTTTTTTTGGTTGGGGAGGGATGATAGAGTGAAGGTGCCTTCTTATTCACAGAAGCCTTAGGAAATTAGGAATCCAATCCCACTTGTACTACATATTCTTAACACCCTATGTTCTCCAGCTGTAGTGTGAAGAGTTTGTTCAAAATGCAGATTCCAGCCCCATGTTCAGGCATGGTGATTTGGTTGGTATAGCAGATGACTTTGCCCGCCCCCCCATATTTCTTCAGCCCTTACTATTTCAGTGTACCCCAGCCTGATCCCCAACTCCCAGCACCTGCATCTTTTTCCAGAGGGCTGTGATTTTGCAGGCCAGAAGTGTCAGGGAATTAATGCGACCAAAGTGCAGCCTTGACCAATTATTGAAGGACTTGGTGTCCAATCGCCTCAACTCCCCCTCCTCTTCATAATTTTGAGATGCATGTACTATATTGTTTCCAAAGTTCCCAGTGGAATTAAGTTCCAGTCGCCCACAGTAGTAGCTGGCTTGAGAGTGCACCATTAATTGGCTGCCTTCTTTTCCCCGTCTCATTTCCCCACTCCCCTACCAATGTTTTCTGGGACCACCTCCCAAATCAACTTTCTGCAATAGAATCCTTGTCTTCTTCTCAGAGAACCCAAACTAAAAGAGTAGGTCTGGGGTGGAGTAATAATCTGCATTTTTTTTTTTTGCAAGCAGCCCACAGTGATTCAATGCACATGGCATGACATAGAACATTTTGGGAAGCTCTGCTCTGAGACTTTTATGATAGTTAAATGTAAGGTTATTAGCATTCTTTTTATTGGTCTATTTTCTAGAGCCTTGGCATTTCCCTCAAGTCTTATGACTATTTCCTCCAGGGTCCAAACTGAGGTGGGGTGGAAAGCTGGATCTTGCTCAGTTAAGTTTCCCCAGAAAGTCAGAGTGTACAAAGAGGACTTAGAGATGAATTGAAATGAACCATCCCTGAAAGAGCTGTTCCAAGGGAGCACCATGGTGGAGAAAGACAAGTGCAGGAATGAAACAGGACTGAAAAGTGTTGGAGCAGTAGGGTTATTGGGTCATAAACTGGAAGTGCTGAGCTAAAACAAAGTCAAAGAGGTAAAGGAACAGGCTGAGAGAGTAAGGAGAGGGGGTAATGAGATTGAAGACCCATTCGGGATTAATTGCATGGATGCCAGTGGTTCACTCTGTATGTCCTTGACGTTCTTTGCTGGGCTGGGGACAGACCAGTATAGATGACTCCTAAAACAACAGACTAAGCATGAGATCATGGTACACACAGACACTATAGAGTATATACATGCATGTGTGCATGCACACACACTCACACAAACATACACACACATAAAGTTAAAGGAGTGGGATATTGAGAGACAACTTTGAAGAAGACATTATGGGAAAAAGGAGAGATACTTTGGACTTCCTTATATTTATTTTCTGGTTTAGTGTTGTTTGTATTCTATATTACATGTCTTTTCAGGGTCTAGAGCTGCCTCTAATGGTCTTAAACTGGCCGTGGAGCACACCCGCACACGCCAGCAGGCAGCAGTCACATATCCAAATGACCCTTTGTCCTGAATCCAATCTGGAGTGTCTATTCTAGCCTATGTATTGATTTTTGTTTCTGCTACCAAAGTTCCCAAATGAGCACCAACTCATTTGACTAAGATCCTACCCCTGCTAAGCCTTCACCAGGCCTCCTTACTGGAAGGAGTTGGACTCTGATCCTTGTACCCCCAGCTATTGCCTGGGATTGGATGCCTCCTAGATCCCACTGTAATCAAGATGCTGCCATTCTTACTGATCTTGCCCACTAGATTATCAGATAACCGTGACTGTTGGGGCCAGCTGGACATGCCCCAGAACATTGCCATATAGATTGCTGGTCATGTTCCTTGGGACTAGCCTTATGGGCCACTCATAATATTTAGTTAAGCCCCACTGAACCCTGCTATGTTGCTCCAACACCCCAGCATGCTTTGCAGCTGAGGCTGCGTGGTTAATTGAAAACAAACAAAAAAAAGCTTTAGAGAGTAACAGTTACAAATGTAAACTCCACCAATGGATCTCTGTTTTTTCACTAGTGTTTCACAAGCCCTTTGAAGAGTGCCTGGCACAGTAGGCATTCAATCAAACTTTGTTGCATAGATGAATGATATGGTGTTGACAAGGAAGAAAAGGAATATGGCATGTCACATAGGGAGCTTTTCAATTAACTCAGATATCTATGTATTGTAAATGGAAGGGTGACTAGAAATAATTTTTTAGTGAAGAGTCTCAACTCAGTGGGGATAGAAACATGAAAGTGTTTTATTTAAACCGTGCTCTGTCTTATTGCCCTTCCCATTTCCTTAATAACATCTTGGGCAAATTCTATAACTTTCTGGTCATTTTTTATATTAGAAGTCCAGTCCCATTTTAAAATCTCAATCTCAATCTCATTTCCTCTCCTTGCCTGAGCCCAAATTGAGCTGGGTTGGAGTGGCCTCGTTTAGCTCCAAAATATCCCCAACCCCACTTCCAAGGCCTAGCTCGCCAAGCAAGTTGGCTGTGGCCAGGTGAGAGAAGAAAAGGGACAAAGGTCTTTTTACTTAATGGGCTACTGTCATTCTCTCTGTTGCTTGGTGTGTCTTCTTTGGTGCACACTGCCAGGCCTCTGTGCCCTCTGGTGGCAGGCTTCCAAACGCTGGCTTTCTTGGGGGGCACACGGTGAATTCCTTAGGGCTGTGGTTCTCAGAGACCTTTTCTTTGGTCTGTTAGATCATAACTATTTTCATGTGGATACTAAGATGTCATTTGTCTTTTTAACTGTGTTGGCATTGACAATGATGGTGCAAAAGCAGTGATGGATAAGACCGCCAGTGCCTTAGCAGGAATTAAGGCAGCAGCACCAAACTGTACCAGTAATTGTGGTATTCTTCATTGTTGTGTACTCCTGGTGACAAACCAAACCAAACCAAAACAGACTCCAGTTGCAATTAAGAATGTCCTTGATTAAACAGTAAAAATTACTAATTGTATCGAAGTTTGATGTTTGAGTACATGTCTTTTTACTATTCCGTGTAAGAAAATGCATAAAGAAGTAATGCATACAGCACTTATGTCTCATACTGAAGTATAATGGTTGTCTCAAGAAAGATTATGTGTATGATTGAGTTGTGAGCTGAACCGGCCACTTATTTTCATGGAACATCATTTTCACTGGAAGAAATGCCTGACTGGTAAATTGGTTATTTAGACTTGTGCATTTGCAGTCATTTTCTTGCAAGTGATTTAACTGAGGCCTGTCTCTTCAAGGAAAACAACTGACAGTATTTGTTGTCAATGATAAAATTTGAGCTTTCAAGCAAAAATGAAAATTTCAGAAGACCTGTCTTCACCACTGTGAGCTTGAAAGCTTCCTAGTAATTAAAAACGTTTCTGGTGAGATGACTGGTGAGATCAGTGGTGATATTAACAAATACAACTTTTTGACTTTTTGACATTGTCTAATGAAATGTACCAACATTTGGGACATCTGCATAACTCAGTGAACCAATATTTTCAAATTACCAATGCATGATGTTATAAAACCATGTAAAAGATCCATTCAAAGTGCAAGACGGACCAATGGATTTTAATGTAACACAGTATGAAAAATGTACTGTTATGGTTTAAGGTTCCATGTCGCAATTAACCTTTAAGAAACTATCTGTTATTAGGTTTTTGGTGTAGTATCAAATAATATTTATAATTACCTGAAAAGGCTATTAAAATGCTCCTTTTCCAACTACGTATTTGTGTGAGGTTTGATATTCATATTTTTCTGCAAAGCCAATATGTTGCAAAAGATTGAATATAGAAGCAGATATGATAATCCAGTTGTCTTCTGTTAAATCAGAGATTTGCAAAAATGTAAAACAATGCCACTCACTCGTTGGTTTGTTCTGGAAAATACAGTTATTTTTCCTAAAAATATGTTATTTATGTTAAGATGTAATGAGCTTTATTGTTATTTTTAAATGAATCAATTAATAAATATAAAAATTATCAGTTTTGCTTTCAAATACAGTAAATATTAGTAGCTATAACCCACATAAACAAAAAGTCTTTAGGATCCTTAATAATTTTTAAGAGTATGAAAGGATTCTGAGACCAGAGTTTTAGAACTACTGATTTAGAGCTCTGTTGTTCCAAATTGTTTGGACCAGCAGAACCCAAATCATTTGGGATCTTGTTAGAAATGCAGAGCCCCCTCCCAGACCCACTGAATCAGACCTGCATTTTAATAAGATCCCCAGGTGATCCATAGGCATAAGAAAGACTGAGATGTACTATCTTAGAGGGACCTGCAGGCCTCTAAGTGCACCTCTAGGTGTCTGATGGGGGAGATCGGGTTCAGCCTCTTTTCCTCCCTCTCCCTCAGCTACTACCATTGGGGTATGCTCCAAGCCTCTTGCTGCTGTGGGGAGCCCTTTGTCTGGTGGGTAGCCCTTTTGAGCGGAATGCCAGCACAGATGCTTAAGCATAGGTACCTTCTTCCTCAATGTCTCCTTGGCCTGTAGGAAATGTACTCATTTTTGCCTTGCCAAACTTTGGCACACAGGTATGTCCACTGCCACCCCTCTTCACTGTCATTTCGGGGTGGGCTGTTCCAGCATCCACCTTGTCCTACCTTGTTCTATATTTCCAGGCTGGAAGTAGGCACTAGTTTCTATGTTTGCATAAGTCTCCACACTGCCCAGCACTCCCTCATCATGCTCTGATGTTTGCACTAGGGTGAGCCTGCAGGTTCTGCCCCTCAACAAGCATCCAGCTGGAGAAGGGGGGCCAGTCCATGCTGCTGCTTTTTTTCACCTCCTTTCCCCTTTTCTCTTTCTCTTCTTTTGCAACAGCTATTGAGATATAATTAACATACCATACAGTTCACCCATTTAAAGTGTACAACTCAATGCCTTTGAATATATTCATGGATTTTTTTGCACCATCACCACAATCAATTTTAGAACAATTTCATCACCCTAAAAAGAAACCCTGTACCACTCAGCCATTATCCCCGACCTTCCCCTCTACCCAGCCTTAGGAAACCACTAATCTACTTCCTATATTAATGGATTTGCCTATTCTAAACATTTCATATAAATGGAATCCTATACTATGTGGTCATTCGTGCCTGGCTTCTGTCATTTAGCATAGTGCTTTCAAGGTTCATCCATGTTGTAGCATGTATCAGGACTTCATTCCTTTCTGCGGCTGAATAATACTCCATTATACGGATGGACCACATATTGTTCATCCATTCCTCAGGTGGTGGATGATTTGAGTTGTTTCCACTTTTGACTATTATGAATAGTGCTGCTGTTAACATTTGTGAACAAGTTTTTGTGTGGACATATGTTTTCAATTATCTTGAGTATATACCTAGGAATGGAATTGCTGGGTCATGTATTAACTCTTTGTTTAACCTTTTGATAAACTGCCAGACTCTTTTCCAAAGCAGCTGCCCCATTTTTCCATTCCCACCAGCAGCATATGAGGGTTCCAGTTTTTCCACATCCTCACCAACCCTTGTTATTGTCTGTCTTTTTGATTAAAGCCAGACCATGTGAAGTGATATCTCATTGTAGTTTTGCGGTCCACACTTTTTGTGGGCACCACTTGACCTTGCCTAAGGATGTGGAAGAGAAGGCACCCTCATTCCTTTTCCATGGGGAGAGGATGAAGTGCCCCACTCATCACACTGCGCTCCCATATGAGGGTTGATTACCCCATGACTCCAGCAACTTCTTCCCCACTGTTCAACTTATAGAGATTGGAGGAAATCGTGCCTCCCCTCCTCTCCTCTGCAAGGTGTGATGACTGACAGGAAGGGGGCCCACTCTGTGAAGTGCCTGGTCCTAATAGTTTGTGCCTGTCTTTAGAATGTGGAGCTACTCACTCCTTCTCTGTCCTCAGCGTTAGGCCCAAAGTCCCACTCAACATTCTTTCCCATAAAAGAACAAATACAAACCTGTAAAACTATTATCACAACTACTTTAACCCCAAACAAACTGTGCTTTGACCAAAAAGGCTAACTCTTTTTGGAGTAGGTTTTTCAATTTATCCTCTGCTCCCACCAAATATGGATGGGATTAGCCTGACTGCTTGGGTCTGATGGTGTCACATCAGTGGGCAGGAGAGAAAATGCAGAAAGGTCAGAACACGCTTGGCTAAGAGGAATTGAAGCCAGAGACAAGTGAGGTGATCATAAGAGAGCCGCAAGCTGCTATAAATGGATTTTCATCTTCTGACACAGAAAAAATGATAATCTGAGGGAATTTAGACAAATGCAGTTGAAATTGCTGAGCCACTGCTGGTAATTCTGAGGGACCGTGGGGAAGAGAAGAGCTCAAAGATTGGAAAGGGAAAGTGTCCCAATTTCCCAAAAACTCTAACCTCAAATTGGAAATGGAATTCACTCAAAATTCTAAAATGAATTATTAAATTGAGTGGTTTATGGGTACTTAGAAAGGGAAGAGGGGTTGGCTAGGAAATGGCTTGGAGCCACTGTGTCATGCTGGGTGAGTCCCATTTCCATGTGAATAGAGTTAGTGCCCTGGCAGACTAGGGGCGTGCTCTGGCATCGAGACTCCACAACTAGATTTTAGATAGGTTTGTCACAGTGTTTTTACAAAAATCCATTTCCTGCTAAGATGGAGAATTACAAATAGGATGAAAAACAGCGGGGGATGGTGTGTGTCTGGAGCTGGTTGAACAACCCTACCCAGAGAGTGCTGATTTAATGGTAACCCAGAAGAGTTCCGGTAGTAATAGTAATAATAATGATAATAGCAATGGCAATGATGACAGTAATAGTTGCAGTTACTTATTGAGCTCTTACTATCTTCCAGACATTGCCAGAAATGCTTTCCATGTATTAAGCTACTTCACCCTCACAATTATGTACTCCATGAGGTAGGAAAGATCCCGAAATATGCTCATTTGCAACCAAGTACCTCACAATTATGTACTTCATGATGTAGGAACTGTGATTATGGCTGGGTCTGTAGACGTGGAAAGTGAGCAATTAAGTTATTTGTCTAAGGCCACACAGCCTTAGACAAGAGGTTCTGAAGAGAAAAAAATCTGAAAAACCATACTTAGACCTCATATTGCAAAGATTTTTAGCTGAAAAGAAAGAGTGACAAAGAATCTTTGTCCAGAGCAGATGACTGTCTTGTTAAAATATTCTTTTTTTTTTAACTTTCCAAAAATGAAGCATTCTAAATAATGGAGCTGGGATTTGAACCCAGTCCTACAGAGGACATGTGTATATGTTGGAGCATACATTCAAGATCTGGCTATAGAAACCCAGGCTCCAGGAAGTAGTATTATGTTTCTTCCATAGTAGCTTGCCTTTTTGGGGTTTTTGATTCAATAGGGGTTGGGGTGTGGGTGGGTAGGTAGATGAGGCAGCCACTTCTGGCTGAGGCACCACAGTTTTTTTCCCATTTGCCCAGCATAGGTCGTTCTTGCCTTCAGTGGGAAGCCAAGCTGAGGTGGTGGGAAAAACCCAAGCTGTGGAGTCAGAGCAAGCAGGTTGATGTGTGAACTTTCAGTGTTCTTCCTCTTCCAGGAGCCTCTTTTCTTAAAACTTACTCTGATTGTGGAGTGAATGAAATGCTATGACCCCTATTTAAGGGATGTGAGGTGTTTGCCTGCAAATGGGCATATTTTGGGGTCTTTCTCTGAGTCCCCGAATTTCCTCCAGAAAGGTCCCATCACATTGGTGCCTGTGTGGGCACAGTTTTTCCTCAGTCCTTTGTATTGGTGCTTCTCAGACTTTAAAGTGCATTGGAATACCCTGGGGATCTTGTTAAAATGCAGATTCTAATCCAGTAGGTCTGGGAAGGGGCCTGAAAAATCTGCACTTCTAACAAGCTCCTAGGGGATGTTGACACCTTTGGTCCACGGACCCACTCCAAGTAGTGAGATTCCACATCACCCTTCAGAGTGCTGAACCTATCAGTAGCTCAAAAATGCTTAGTAACCTGTAAATTGATCCCGACATGTCTCTTCTTTAGGAACATCAGTTGTTACTTACGAGGCTATAGAAAGCACTGTAAAATATAAGGTGGACATGAATGGGTTTGGGGGAAAGGATACTTTATTTGCAACTCAAACCAAGATTTGATTGACCTTCTGACTTTAGTTATTTGAGGGTTCAAAGATGACTGAGCTCATTTGAAGAATCAAAACATCACTATTACCTAGATGGTCAGTATAGGGCTTAATTCTCATGATAAAAATGGAAAGATAAGCATGGCTGAAATTCACTACTTACATGATGAGTCAGTGGTAAGGAAAACCCACACAAATGATGGCATCAACTATTCTCAGTCTATATTTACTAAAAAATCTACAGCTCCCTTCTCCCCAATACCATCTTAATCAGCTTCATCTTGGGAAAGTTAAAAAAGAAAGAATCTTTTGTTAATCTTTTATCAAGACAGTCCTTTGCTCTGGACAAAGATTCTTTGTCATTCTTTCTTTTTAGCTAAAAATCTTTGCAATATGAGTTCTAAGTGTGGTTTTTCAGATTTTTTTCTTTGGAAAAGTTGTAATACTATCATTTTCTTCATTTTATATGACAGTCTTCTTATCCCTTCTAAAATGAACCAGTCTACCTCTCTGCCTCCCAAGAGCAAGAAAAACGGAATAGGCCCTGTAAACATTCTAAAGCCGGAGGAAACACACCGGAAATGAAGGTTTGCAAAGATTGATGGAGGAGAAAAGTGCACAGAGACAACACGAAGCACAAATTCATTCTCCATTTTGAGATTTTTTTTAAAGCAAAAGCATTTTATAGTGAGGGTAGGAGGGGGATTCACAGTGTTTAGCCAAAGATGAAGTTTGAAGCTCTCTCGTTGAGTTTTACTTTTTAAATTTATGAGTCGTGTGTCAAGATGCTTATTGACATATGTCACGGTTTTCATCCATCTCACTGAACTGGTACCATTCCTTCTGAAACTATTCCAATCAATAGAAAAAGAGGGAATCCTCCCTAACTCATTTTATGAGGCCAGCATCATTCTGATACCAAAGCCGGGCAGAGACACAACCAAAAAAGAGAATTTTAGACCAATATCCTTGATGAACGTTGATGCAAAAATCCTCAATAAAATACTGGCAAACCGAATCCAGCAGCACATCAAAAAGCTTATCCACCATGATCAAGTGGGCTTCATCCCTGGGATGCAAGGCTGGTTCAATATACGCAAATCAATAAATGTAATCCAGCATATAAACAGAGCCAAAGACAAAAACCACATGATTATCTCAATAGATGCAGAAAAGGCCTTTGACAAAATTCAACAACGCTTCATGCTAAAAACTCTCAATAAATTAGCTATTGATGGGACGTATTTCAAAATAATAAGAGCTATCTATGACAAACCCACAGCCAATATCATACTGAATGGGCAAAAACTGGAAGCATTCCCTTTGAAAACTGGCACAAGACAGGGATGCCCTCTCTCACCACTCCTATTCAACATAGTGTTGGAAGTTCTGGCCAGGGCAATCAGGCAGGAGAAGGAAATAAAGGGTATTCAATTAGGAAAAGAGGAAGTCAAATTGTCCCTGTTTGCAGACGACATGATTGTTTATCTAGAAAACCCCATCGTCTCAGCCCAAAATCTCCTTAAGCTGATAAGCAACTTCAGCAAAGTCTCAGGATACAAAATCAATGTACAAAAATCACAAGCATTCTTATACACCAACAACAGACAAACAGAGAGCCAAATCATGAGTGAACTCCCATTCACAATTGCTTCAAAGAGAATAGAATACCTAGGAATCCAACTTACAAGGGATGTGAAGGACCTCTTCAAGGAGAACTACAAACCACTGCTCAAGGAAATAAAAGAGGATACAAACAAATGGAAGAACATTCCATGCTCATGGGTAGGAAGAATCAATATTGTGAAAATGGCCATACTGCCCAAGGTAATTTACAGATTCAATGCCATCCCCATCAAGCTACCAATGACTTTCTTCACAGAATTGGAAAAAACTACTTTAAAGTTCACATGGAACCAAAAAAGAGCCCGCATCGCCAAGTCAATCCTAAGCCAAAAGAACAAAGCTGGAGGCATCACACTACCTGACTTCAAACTATACTACAAGGCTACAGTAACCAAAACAGCATGGTACTGGAACCAAAACAGAGATATAGATCAATGGAACAGAACAGAGCCCTCAGAAATAACGCCGCATACCTACAACTATCTGATCTTTGACAAACCCGAGAAAAACAAGCAATGGGGAAAGGATTCCCTATTTAATAAATGGTGCTGGGAAAACTGGCTAGCCATATGTAGAAAGCTGAAACTGGATCCCTTCCTTACACCTTATACAAAAATCAATTCAAGATGGATTAAAGATTTAAACGTTAGACCTAAAACCATAAAAACCCTAGAAGAAAACCTAGGCATTACCATTCAGGACATAGGCGTGGGCAAGGACTTCATGTCCAAAACACCAAAGGCAATGGCAACAAAAGACAAAATTGACAAATGGGATCTAATTAAACTAAAGAGCTTCTGCACAGCAAAAGAAACTACCATCAGAGTGAACAGGCAACCTACAACATGGGAGAAAATTTTCGCAACCTACTCATCTGACAAAGGGCTAATATCCAGAATCTACAATGAACTCAAACAAATTTACAAGAAAAAAACAAACAACCCCATCAAAAAGTGGGCGAAGGACATGAACAGACACTTCTCACTGACTTATGTTTACTATCAATGGCTTTGATTAGTTCACATTTGAATATTAACTATAACTGTAGGAAGTTAGCAACATACAAAAGCAGCAAAATGCTAGACCTGGATGCAATAGTACATCTCTGACAAGCTCTGTTATTTAATATCCCTTTTGTCTTATGAGACCAATTTCTGTTCTGGTGTCTCTACACCAGACCTTTCTGTAAAAGGTCAGTTCTGATGCTGGAAGGGAACATTTAATCAAAAATAGTATGTAAAAAGATAATGTAGCGATTACATCAAATAATAACCTTTATTCTCTCTGACATAAACCAACCATTACCAAGAATATTGAAATGCTAAGCTATTGTGTGTTGAGTCATATTTAGAGAATTAATGTTAGCTATAAAGCAGCTATTATGCAGAATATTACAATGCAAAAACATTATATTTAGAGAATTAGTATCATTCATAGAAAAACTTATTTTTTATATGATTAAAGTTAGCAAATGCTCTTGCTTCATTCAAGGCAATGCATCATTTAGTTATTATCCATACTGTTGGTAAAACTGTCAGTGAATTTTTAAATATATCCCATTTAGATTCAGTGGCATTATGTTTTATTATAGAAGAAAAAGAGAAACATCAGTGCTGTAAAAGTTTGTTTGTAATGAGGAAAACCTCTGCTGTTGTTAATATAAAACCATGCAAAATTATTTGTATAGTCTACTTTTCAACAATTCATTAGGGAATATAGGATTAATATTCTAGAAGGTACACTAAAATTAAAGGAATAATCATGATTTTAGTAAGAACTAATAGGCACCGGTGTTGTGTGTTGTCTTAGGAATTTTGGCATTTTGCAGGATGACAGTTGAGTAATTCATACTCTAATATGTTGTCAATTTCATGTAAAAGATAATCTGTGGCAATACATCACCTCATGCTTCCTCCCTGGAGGTGATTGCTCCAAGACCCCTCCTGTCTCATTTTTTCCAGTCAGCCATTCTTCCTTCATACATTCACATCTGATTCTTCCCCATCCAGCTCCAGTGGTCTGCTTGAATCTCACGTTAGCTGTAGTGGTTACCAGCATGCCCTTTCGAGGTGGACTATTCTGGGTTCAAATCTCAGCTCTGCTACTTCTCTGATGTGTGCTTTATACCTGAGATAATAGTATCACAGGTATGTTGACTGCTTGTGGGTGTGCAATATGCCTACATTCGGCCATACTATTTCCTCTCTTTTTCTTTACTTCGTTTCTTCTCACTTGTCAGAGTCAAGAATATTTTCTCCCCATCTTGTACTGGCCCCATCTTCCAATTCCTCTTGGTCTCACACCAGAGTTTCCATCAGTGTGTACAGTGTAATCAGAGCATTGGAATGCCTAGTTACAAACTCTTGTAATTAGGCCTATGGTAGGACATGTGTGTGGTTCCAGGGGCAGGGAGTTCCGGAAGCTGAATAGCAAGTTCTGCCAGGGAAGGGACTGATATTATTTATCCCCAACACAATCCTAGTGCCTGGAACATAGCAGGTACTGAGTAAATGGTGGAATAAATCCACTGCTGCCTCCTGCCATCAGGGGTCCCAGCCTGGGTTGGAGGAGGAACAGGGGAGGGCATTACATTGTATAAACAAAGACTTCGAGGGGAATTTACCCCAGAACTCAAGATATGTTACTTGTGAATCATCTTGTGCTTTCATACCCATTATTTGATTTAATACGAGATTTTACTCCAGTCTACCTGCCACAGAGCCTTCAGTGTAATTGTTCTTAATATGAATCTTATTTTGGAACTTTCCTGTATGAAATCTTGTAGAGCTGCCCACTGACTTCAGGATAAAATTTAAACTTCTTCACAGGGCATGCCTGGCCCTTCAAGATGTAATCTCTGCTCCCCTCTTCTTTGCCATCACCTGCCCTCTCTTCTTAGATATATCCAGACATAGAGAAACCCCTGCTAGTCTCACATTCACAAATGCATCCCTGCCTCTGTTCATGCTGCTGTCTCTGGCTAGAATACACCCTCATCTATCTACTTTATGGTTCCCATCCATCCTTAGGAATTCACTCAAGGATTACTTTCTCGTGAAACCAGTTGCTGGCTCTCTTAGACTGGAATTTCTCAGAAGCAAGCTCTCTGTGGGTAGATCATTAATAGTGGCCTCTGACAAATCACATCTCCCTGTGACCATGCCCCTTTGTAATATGACTTTAGCACTCTTCCCACCAAGAGGTGAAGTCTATTTCCCCAATCTTTGACTCTGGGCTGGCTGGCCTTGGGACTTCTTTGACCAGTGGAATGTGGTGCAAATGACATTCTGGCCCTCCCAAACCTAATCATTAAGAGTTCTTGTAGCTTCTGTTATTGCTCTCAGAATCCAAATGCCATGTAAAAAATCCAGGCTGTCTTGCTGGAGGGAGACGCCACGTAGAGAAAAGAGGATGTAGAAGAGCACAGAGGTTGTCCAGTCAACAGCTTAGAGCCAAGGCCTCAGACCATGAGTGAGTCTATCCTGAATCCTCCAGCCCCAGTTAGGACAACCCAGATGATACCACTTGGAGCAGTGACAATTATCTGTTCTGGATTAAATATCTGTGTCCTCCTAAAATTCATATGTTAAAGTCCTAATTTGGAGGTGGCATGCCTTTTGGAGGGAATTAGGTTATGAGGGTGGAGCCCTCATGAATGAGATTAGTGCCCTTATAAGAAGGGGTCAGAGAGCTGGTTAGCTCTCTTTCCACCATGTGAGGACACTGCAAGAATATGGCTGTCTGTAAACCAGAAAGAAGGCCCTCACCAGGAACCCGGCCCTGCCAGCATCCTGACCTCAGACTTTCAACTTCCAGAACTGCAAGAAATAAATGTTTGTTGTTTAAGCCATCCAGTCTGTGGTAATTTTTTATAGCAGTCTGAACTCGCCAAGATACCATCCTTGCTGAGACCTACCCAAATTCCTGACCCCTAGAACCATGAGCAATAAATTACTGTTTTGATTGAAAATATTTTTAATTCTGAAGAATTTCAAACATATGCAAAAGTAAAGTAGGATGAACCTCCATGTACCCCTCATCCAGCTTAACACTGACTAATTCATGGCCATTCTTATTTCATATATACCTCCACTCACTTCTGCCTCTCCTATAATATTTTGAATGGCTATTGTTTTGAGCCACTAGATTTGGGGTGATTTTTTACTCAGCAATAGATAACTACAACATGCTGAGACAGAGATTTGAGTGTGAGTGGCTTATTTAGGAGGGGATCCCAGGAAGTACTGGCTGGGGAGGGGGGAAATGAGACAATACAGGGTGTGTTTAATAAGCAGGCTGTTACTGTGGACAACTGGGGTTCAATCCTGCTGGGGACCTGTGGGAGATTACATATACCTGGCCTCAGAATTGTCACTCCCATGGGATGAGGAAGCTGGGTTATAAATCCACCAACTCCTACTTGTCTTGGTTGCAGGCTGTGGCTAGGGGCGTTAGCTCCCTGGCTTCTCTGGTGCATGTGCAGGCTCAGATAATGAATGAGGCGCTTGCAGTAAGAAATGGCCAAGAAGGTTGAAATCTGAGGGGATATGGGCAGATAATTAAATTTTCTGAAGGGATGGTGTCTACACTTGTTAACACCCAGTGAGGTGCCCTTCTTCTGGGCTCCTCCTTTGTTTGCTAATTATGACACCCCTGCTGACCTCTGTTATAGTATTTGTTATACCAACTGTATTCACTCAACTTCCCTACTGTGTTCTCCAGACTGTGAGATCTTCTGCAACAGGGGCTGTGTTTTATTAATTTCCGATCCATTAGAGCTCAGCATAATACATGGCACAAATCACATGGCAACCAATATTACTGAATGTATATCTATTTTTCCTCACAGCAACCTTGTGATATATGCAGGTAAAGCCAGCTGCAGGCCCATGATGCCTTATCCATAACTCCAAAACTAAAAATATTCCAAAGAACAAAATATTTTTCGTGAAATGTGTGCCCAAAGTCATTTGGTGACAAAACCTACCCCGGGCTGTTGTTAGGTTTATTTTTGGCTCACATAGTGTGAATATTCATGTTTGTGACAGAAACATTGGGGTGTTTGATTATTGGGTGCTGCCCAGACCCCACTGGGAGTATGGGAAGAACATGGCATTTATGCCATATTACCTTTCTAAAATCTAAGAAATTAAAAATTCTGAAGCAGGCCTTGTTGCAAGGCCCTCTTGCTATTTCCATTTTACAAGGGCAGAAACTTGTTCAAGATAATGGTTAGAACTACTTTAAGAACCCAGGTTTTTCTGACTCCTGGGACAATGCTCATTTCATTCTACTATCCTGGAAGTGGTAGGAAAATGGATGGATGGAGTAAGGTTTCCTCTCCATTGGCCATCAAATCAGTAGCAGAGGCCTAACTCTGAGTAGTTGGAAATGATACTTTAACATGGTAGCTAGCAAGAAGTCCAGGCTATAGCCCTGTCTCTGAGAACCATCCATTCTCTCCAACATCAATCCCTGCTGATGGGTGATTCTAGCCTTCATGTTAGTACTATGTGACCACCTCCTTGGCCACAGAACCAGGAACAGGTCAATCCAAGTGTCTCTTGGGGATCTGAATTCAGACACAGAGACTTTAGCTGGTCGGTGTTGGGCCTTGAAGCTGGGAGGTCATGTAAGCTGTATCTGGAGTGACCATTCTTATCACATGCTCCATAAGGCAGAGACAGCCAGCCCCTAGAGTGGGATTGGGAGCAGCATTAGCACAGAAAAAAGCAAAGTAAGAGCCCATGTGACCTCAGAGAGCAGCCCTGGAGAGAGCCGCCTTCGGACCTCTCAATTTCCTGTTTTAGGCCTCTCTGAGGCCTGGCTGTTCTTATTGCCATTCAGTTCTAACTCAAAGAGACATAACCTTGTGTCTCTTTTTCCTTGAGCTAATTTGAGTGTATTTCTGTTTTCTTACAACTAGAAATGCTAGAGCATTCTGGGCAGGCTAGAGGGAATTTGTTGGTAGTATGTCTTTTCCACCACAGGCTGATTCCCCTACTCTACTCCCAGTGGGTTGGGCCTAGACTTGGGGGATAGAAAAAGGCACGTGAACTCTAGTATGTTTCGGAGCGGGGAGGTTTGTGCAGTTGGAGCTCCTGTGTTTCCCTCTAAATTGTCTTTAAGATAGGAAGAGAGGAGAAAACTATCTTCCTAAAAAGATACCCGGACAGTAATTGATAGTCTAGTACTTGAACAAACAATAAGAGGTTTGTTTTAGGGCATTCTTTTTTTAATTTTTAATTTTTGTGGGCACAGAGTAGGTGTATATATTTATGAGGTACATGAGATACTTTGATACAGGCATGCGATAAGCAATAATCACATCATGAAAAATGGGTTATCCATCCCTTCAAGCATTCATCCCTTGTATTACAAACAATCCAATTATACTCTTTTAGTTATTTAAAAGTGTACAGTTAAATTATTATTGACTTTAGTCACCCTGTTATGTTATCAAATGCTAGGTCTTATTCATTCTTTCTATTTTTTTTGTACCCATTAACCATCCCCACTTCCCCCCCCATCCCCCACTACCCTTTAGGGGCATTCTTAAAATCCATTGTTCTAACAAAAACAGTCATACCCACATGTAAATAATGTAACAGGAAGGAGGATGCTTCTCTGGAATGTGGTTGTTTCTATACAATCGGCAGTCTAAGTTATTAAATTTTGCAAAATGAGCTCAAAAAGTTTACAATCTACAAAATGACCTAGAAAGTTACTGAATATATATTAGGTTATTTCTCCCTGAGAAAATCCTGTGTTCTGATCCAAAGGTAGAAGTTCATTCATAATTGATGTGAATGATAGACAAGAAATTAATTTTAAAAATGTGCCCACAACATTCATCTATACATTCAAATTCCAAGTAATTTATGGTGCTATGGTATTGGGGATGGAAGTGTGAGGCACTATTGGCTGAGAGTGCAGGGAAAAGAGATGTGCTTAGAGCACCTGCATGCAGGATATTAGGAAGGCATGGGAATGGCTGGAATTAGGATCATTCTGGAAGTTAGCAGCCAAGGTGGAAGCAGTTGTTTGAGGCCAAGGGAATACTTTTGAGTGGAACTGTTTCTTCATAGGAAGTCAAGTTGGGATAAGGGCATAACACATGTGTGTTGTCTTTATTTGGTTTTCCTCAGAAGCAGACCCAGAGATGAGGATTTGAGTGTAAACAGTTTACGCGGGAGGTGACCAGGAAGCATTGGTAAGGAAGTAGGAAGTGAGACAGGGAAGGAAAGGATGACAATTGATATGGTTTGGCTGTGTCCCCACCCAAATCTCAATTTGAATTTTATCTCCCAGAATTCCCAAATGTTGTGGGAGGGACCCAGTGGGAAGTAATTGAATCATGGGGGCCAGTCTTCCCTGTGCTATTCTTGTGATAGTGAATAAGTCTCACGAGATCTGATGTGTTTATCATGGGTTTATGCTTTTGCTTCTTCCTCATTTTCTCTTGCTGCCACCATGTAAGAAGTGCCTTTCACCTCTCGCTATGATTCTGAGGCCTCCCTAGTCAAGTGGAACTTTAAGTCTGATTAAACCTCTTTTTCTTCCCAGTCTCAGGTATGTCTTTATCAGCAGCATGAAAACAGACTAACACAATAAATTGGTACCAGTAGAGTGGGGTGTTGCTGAAAGATACCCGAAAATGTGGAAGTGACTTAGGAACTGGGTAACAGGCAGTGGTTGGAACAGTTTGGAGGGCTCAGAAAAAGACAGGAAAATGTGGGAAAGTTTGGAACTTCGTAGAGACTTGTTGAGTGGCTTTGACCAAAATGCTGACAGTGACATGGACAATAAGGTCCAGGCTGAGGTGGTCTCAGATGGAGATGAAGAACTTGTTGGGAATTGGAGTAAAGATGACTCTTGCTATGTTTTAGCAAAGAGACTGGTGGCATTTTGCCCCTGCCCTAGAGATTTGCGGAACTTTGAATTTGAGAAAGATGATTTAGGGTATCTGGCGGGAGAAAGTTTTAAGGAGCAAAGCATTCAAGAGATGACTTGGGTACTGTTAAAGACATTCAGTTTTATAAGGAAAGCAGAGCATAAAAGTTTGGAAAATTTGTAGCATGACTATGCAATAAAAAAGAAAAACCCATTTTCTGGGGAGAAATTCAAGCCAGCTGCAGAAATTTGCATAAGTAGCAAGGAGCCTAATGTTAATCCCCAAGACCATGAGGAAAATGTCTCCAGGCCATGTCAGAGACCTTAATCCCCAAGACCATAGGGGAAATGTCTCCAGGCCATGTCAGCTCCTCCCAACACAGGCCCGGAAGCCCAGGAGAAAAAGGTGGTTTTGTGAGCTGGGCCCAGGGTCCCTGTGCTGTGTGCAGCCTAGGGACTTGGTGCCCTGGTCCCAGCTGTTCCAGCCATGGCTGAAAAGGGGCCAACATACAGCTCGAGCTGTGGCTTCAGAGGATGGAAACCCCAAGTCTTGGCAGCTTCCATATGGTGTTGAGTCTGTGGGTGCACAGAAGTCAAGAATCGAGGTTCACGTCCCTCCACCTATATTTCAGAAGATGTATGGAAATGCCTGGATGCCCAGGCAAAAGTTTGCTGTAGGGGTGGAGCCCTCATGGAGAACCTCTGCTAGGGCAGTGTGGAAGATAAATGTGGTGTTGGAGCCCCCACACAGAGTCCCTACTGGGGCACTGCCTAGTGGAGCTGTGAGAAGAGGGCCACCATCTTCCAGACCCCAGAATGGTAGATCTACTGATAGTTTGCACCGTTCACCTGGAAAAGCCGCAGTCAGTCAACACCAGTCCATGCAAGCAGCTGGAAGGGAGGCTGCACCCTGCAAAGCCACAGAAGTGGAGGTGCCCAAGACCATGGGAACCCACATCTTGCATCAGTGTGACCTGGATGTGAGATATGGAGTCAAAGGAGATCATTTTGGAGTTTTAAAATTTGACTGCCCTGTTGGATTTTGGACCTGCATGGGTCCTGTAACCTCTTTGTTTTGGCCAATTTCTCTCATTTGGAATGGCTGTATGTACCCAATACCTGTACCTCCATTGTATCTAGGAAATACCGAGCTTGCTTTTGATTTTTACAGGCTCATTGGCAGAAAGGACTTGCCTTGTCTTGGATGAGGCTTTGGACTTTGGACTTTTGGGTTAATGCTGAAATGAGTTAAGACTTTCGGGACTGTTGGGAAGGCATGGTTGGTTTTGAAATGTGAAGGTATGAGATTTGGGAGGTGCCGGGGCGGAATTATATGATTTGGCTGTGTCCCCACCCAAATCTCAATTTAAATTGTATCTCCCAGAATTCCCATGTGTTGTGGGAGGGACCCAGTGGGAAGTAATTGAATCATGGGGGCCGATCTTTCCCATGCTATTCTTGTGATAGTGAATAAGTCTCACGAGATCTGATGGGTTTATCAGGGGTTTCTGCTTTTGCTTCTTCCTTATTTTCTCTTGCTGCCACCATGTAAGAAATACTTTTCACCTCCTGCCATGATTCTGAGGCCTTCCCAGTCATGTGGAACTGTAAGTCAAATTAAACCTCTTTTTCTTCCCAGTCTCAGATATGTCTTTATCAGCAGCAGGAAAATAGACTAATACACCAATATAGTGGGGATCATTGAGTATTAAACTGCTGTGAGCAATTGGGGTTCCTGGAGAACAGTAGGAGACAACGTAGAATATGCTTCATAGTCTACCAAAGAGGTAAGGGAGTTGGGGAATTTACCTACCAACTTCCATCAGCAATTGGTTGAGGGCCGTTTCTGGCTGTGTTAAGGGGAGGAGGTGTTAGTTACCTACACACAAGCTGAGAGGGCTCCAGTAGTCAGAGAAAGCCCCAGGCAGACAGTCACAGGTGCTTGTAGTTGAAAATTATTGAATCAGGATGTATATGAATGGCATATTCCAAGGAGGTATAGGCAAGGCTCTGATAGCCTCTGCTGTATACTTATACATAATGGTCAGAAATGAGACAAGTAGAACTAAGAGAATATCAATCTCAAAGACAGCAGAGACAAGACAGTTCAGGCAAATAATCAGGAACCACAAGGATGGTTCCTTATAGAAGATCACGGCCAAGCAAGCAGGGGAATAATTGTCAGAGCACTGGGTTAGGTGACAGGAGTTCTGGGCCTGAATCCCTTCTCTGTCACCTTCTATTTGCATGCCCCTGGCCAAATTACTGGGCCCCTCTATATCTCAGGTTCCTCACAAGTAAAGTGGAAATAACATCTGCTTTCCCTTCTTATAGATTGTAGAGAAGAACCGATGAAATAATTTATAGGAAGTTCTTGGCTCTTGTGTAACACCATAGAACTGTCAAAAAAGAATGAGATGATGAGGAACAAATTAGGAAGAAGTTTAACTCTAAAATAATTTTTCTGTGTCCAGCTTCAGATTACTCATGTGAAGGCAAATACCAATGTTAGGTGACCAACTGAGTTTGAACATTGCACATCTGACTAAGATAGAGAGTTTAGTTAGTAGACAAGATCTAGGAGCTGCTTCTGGCAGCAAAGTACTGATCTCTAGCACCAGCACTGAGACCAGCAAATCTCATTGCGTACAACACCATTTGACAGGTGACAATAGTCACCTGGAAGAAAGATGCTGGGCTGAAGTGAAAAATGAGGATTTTTGGATTTTAAAAAATGAGGACTTGAACTTTAAAAGGAGTGAATGTAATTCAAACACTAATTTTTTTCACTTAAATTCTCCAAATTAATTACCCTGGTTATATTTGTTAAACAAGCTGTTAGCTAGATATGCACTTTTCCATGAAGCATAGGTCAGACTTTTTGTTGTCAGAGGAGAGATGAAGGTAGGGCTAATCAGTCATGCTTCCACATAAAATAATCCTTGAAATGGCTCTTGCTGAGTGTAATTGCTCCTGGTGTGAGTGTGAACTCTCACAAAGGGAAAATAATAGACTTGTCTCTGCATCTTGAGGATGGCAGCCATTTTCATCAGGACATCTAATGTTCTTTGCCTTGTGGGATCTTGATAATGGTATAATTTTCAGCAAATACTATTTAATGGAAGGCCTTTTGTGAGAGTTTTGTAAAATGTAAAGGCTTGACTTGCTGGTTCAGCCCATACACTGAAATTTTCCAAATGTAGTGCACCGCAGTACTATTAAGAAAACCAGTGAATGAACTAATAAAGGAGAATGTTGCCTGCGATAACAGAGGGAATGCAATAACACAGTTTTATTAGAGTTAAGTAAGATAAAAATATCATACTGGGTCCTTCTGGGAAGCCCCTAATTCTGGGAACAAGAAGGACATAGCTAGTATTTTGCAAATAATCTCTTTAAACAGAATTTTCCCCACTTCAGCATATTTTTCTCTCACCTTATGCAAGTCTTTCATACCTCACTTTCTATTTGTCCGTTATTATTTTTTCCATTACTTGCTAATTTCCCCCATTAAATTGCTGATTGTCGAATAATCGTTGACATTTGGCGTACTTTCAAAGAGACAAGAAGAAGGTGCTGGAGTTTGCCAAATGATGATGCATGAACTCATTGTAATCAAAAGCCGGCATTCCAGGCATCTATGCTGAGTTTATGAGAGATATGGGCTTCCAAACAACATGATTTTATTTGGCTGGAAACCAGCTGTGTCTGTTCTTTAGCACTGCCTATACTCCCAGAGAACAGAGAAACAAATCTGTGTTGATTTATACAGATTTCCCAAGTTCCTGTCAAGCAAATCTAGCTTATTTTAAGCCCCTTCCTCCTCTGCTTTCACAGGTGGGTAGCTATAGGAATGCTCGGGTTTAGCAAGCCCACTTAGAGCCTCTCCTTATGGCCCTTCTATAAATATGTGGAAGGACCTCTATGACACCCCTTCATTTCTGCTAGCTTAGTCTTTGCCTCCCGTCACCAGAGTAGTTTTCTTGGAGTTTTTTCCCCCCTCTTCACATTAAATAACTTATCCTTCCTCCAAAGATCTTAGTTACCTGCTCCTTTTTATTTCTGGGGGGTCTCTCTGAAGATGCATCAACTTCTTCAGAACCCACTTATTAATTTATTTGGCTAGAAAATATAATCAGCAGTTTAGGAGAAAACAATGACTGTGGATACAATGAGAATATTGTGTGCCTCTCTGACTGCACTCTCTAGAGGTTTGACATTGTTGGAGTTTGCAGTTACTAAAACAAACTCCGCGAGGCCTTGTTCCTTCATCTGTCCTCTGCCTTTGTCTCTAGTCTGATCTATTGCTACAGTCCCCTTTGCTCTCTATTTGCCAGCTTACTGAACTATCTTTAGTGTCCTGAATTTGCCATAGTCTTTGTTTTAGTTCTGTTGTGAACAGTAGAACCCACTTGTACCAGTTAGGGTAACGTTAGCTGCCGTAACAGATAAATCCCAACATCTGCATGGCTTTAACACAATAGAAACCCTTATATCACTCCCATGAAGCCTGTCTTAGTTCATTTGTGCTGCTATAGCAGAATACCTGAGACTGGGTAGTTGATAAACAACACAAATTATTTTCTCACAGATCTGGAGGCTGAGATGTCCAAGATCAAGTTGCCAGCATCTGACGAGGACCTCCTCGCTGTGTCTTCACATGGCAGAAAGCAGAAGGACAAAAGGGGATTAATGTTGTGACCTCACATGGCAGAAGAGCAAAAGAGAGTGAACCCACTCCCGATATCCCTTTTTATAATGGCATTAATCTATTCACGAGGAAGACAGAGCCCTCGTGATTTAAACACCTCCCAAAAGGCCCCGCCTCCTAACAGTGTTGCATTGGGGATTAAGTTTCCAATACGTGAATTTTTGGGGACACATTCAGACCATAGCAAAGCTCAAAATGGGTGTTCTTGATTCATAGGTGGCCTTCCAAGTGGTCATTTAGGACCCAGGTTCCTTCTCTCTTATGGCTTTGTGCCTCAGCATTCTTTGCATTCAGCTGGAAAAGGTGAAAGAGGCTGTAGGATAATGCCTGAGAGGCTTTGATGGGCTGGACCTGGAAGTAGTGCATCACTTCCACTCATGTTCATTGCCCAAAATCAAATACGTGGCAACAGCCAACTGCAAGGGAGGCTGGGAAATGTAATTCTGCTTTCTGCCAGGAAGAAGAGATTTGGTGAGTCACTAGTCAGGCTCTATCCTACCACTCTAGCTAGTTTAGGCCCGTAATAATTTATTACAAAGCATTCGGGCTGGGTGTGGTGGCTCACACCTATAATCCCAGCACTTTGGGAGGCCGAGGCGGGCAGATCACCTGAGGTCAGGAATTCAAGACCAATCTAGCCAATGTGGTGAAACCCCATCTCTACTAAAAATACAAAAATTAGCTGGTCGTGGTGGCACACGCCTGTAGTCTCAGCTACTCAGGAGGCAGAAGCAGGAGAATCCGCTTGAACCCAGGAGGCAGAGGTTGCAGTGAGCCAAGATTGTGCCTCTGCACTCCAGCCTGGGTGACATAGCAAGACTCAAACAACAACAACAACAACCAAATAATTTACTGTTTCAGGAAACACTGGGAGGGTCAGAGAATCTGATTTGGAGGCTATACAGTCAGGAACAACACCTTAGTTATACCACTTGTATGCTCCAGTCGAGGTCTTGCTGGGTACTATCACCATATAGCCTCATATCATGGCCGAACTGCATGGAATGCTATGGCCAGCACTGCTCGATGCCTTTTTGTCACATCTGCCACACTCACGTGAACAATGATTCTATGTAATGCCTACTTTCTTACCCAGCTGTCTTCTGAATCAAAGTTGCAGGTGGGTGCATCTGATTGGCTGAGCTTAGGAAAAACACTTGTGCCCAAGCTGTGAGGGAGGCTGGGAAAGTATGTGGGTTTCCACCTCTGGGATGTGGGAACCTAACGTGGGAATTCCTCAAATATAAGAGAGTTAGTTGTTCAAAAGATGCTGGACAGAGCAAATGTCCACTATGGTCTTAGTTTGGGTTCCCTGAAACTTGAAACAATCCCTGAAACAAGGGCTTGGTAGCTTATTTGAGAGATGATCCCAGGAAGTAGGGATGAGGGAGTTGTGTGAGTGAGATAGGGAAGCAGGAATAAGCAATCAAATGTACTTTATTGAGCTAGTTGTCCTGGTGGTCAACTGGGGCTCAATGTGTAGAATACATCTTAGAAATGTCTCCCCATTGTTGGGGGACACAGGAGCATTTATATACTCTCATTATCCATTTGTTGAGAGTTTTCTCTGGGACAATAACTTCATCCCCCACCCCAAGTGTGCTTCTGGACTGTTCTGTATGAGAAAACAACCTTGAAAAAGCTTTAGCAAAAGTCCTGAGGCAAAAAAAGAAAAGCTGAGAGACATGGAAGATCATGAGGTGGGACAGTAGGATGATTCTAGTCTGCATGGTAACTGTCCACACAGCTGCAGTGAAAATCAGAGGTGGTGGAGGGGACCCATCTCCTTTCAGTTAATTCTATATATCATTAGCTGATGAAAGTGCTGCTGTAGTCATACTATCCTTCTGTTCATAAACTTGCAAAACTCATGCCTGACATTCAAAGTCCTCTTAGGCGTGGCCCCACAGACCTTTCTAGCCTTCTCTCCTGTGGCCAGTATATGAAAATATAGCATGGTGCTCCTAGAATTTGGTGATATTTCTGAAGCAACTCAGAAAAGCAGAAGTGTTGCTGAAATCTGATCAAAAGGCTGGTGTCAAATAAGGGTATCTGGCTTTTGGAGGGTGACATCCACGTCTGCAGATGCTGCCCCAGGAAAGGGAACTTTACTATTCCCTCTTCTTCTACTTCCTGTTGCAACCAATAATGGCTCTTCCTACCATTAAAAAAAAGGGTATCTGCCACGGATACATGAGTTTAGTACACTTCAGTGAGACCACCCAGAGGAGACCATCCCACACACTCTCTTTCTCTGGAAGAATAAACTGAACTCTGGATGACTTAAGTGGGAAAAGATTTCACAAAAAGATTTTGGGTGGCTCATAGTGTTGCCAGGATGGCTGGAACCTAGCTCAGATATTAGCTGATATGGCCAAAACTTTGCTAAAAATCACATCTCAATGTGACACTCCTGCTTTCAGTGAACACTGGAGGCCACAGCTTGTGTCACCAGACCAGTGGAGGTGGACAATGGATGCTATCCCCTCTGCCCTGGAATCCTGATGTGGCTCCCATTGCTGTCAGTGCTGTTGCCACCATCACCAAGATGGATTCTCCATTGTCCCTGCTTTTATATTTTGTTCAGCTCCCAACTTTAGTCTGGGAAGAGTGTGTGCAATTGTTGGAGTAATATCAGACTGGCAAGGAACGTGAAATAGTAAGTGTAGTAAGACATTATCCACCTTGAGGCATCTTTCTCCCGTGACCAAACTTCTTGCTTTCAAAAAAATAAATTGCACAACTTGGTCTGCATACTACCAGATGATCTCTAAGGTCCTTTTTGCCTCTGAGAGTCTGTGATTTGCTCATTTTCTATTGCTAACTACATTTTCAGTGTGGGATTTATTCTGCAGGGGCAAGGCTATTACAAAAAATATGGATATGTTTCTTGGCTCGTTTACTTCTCAATTTTATGCTACCAATTTTTGTTTCAAACTAGAATGGAAGGGCAGAATCCACATTTCTTGAGAGCAGCAGACTGCATTAACTTAATGTCTTTGTATTTTGAGACAGCCAAAGGGCTGTGTCAAAGCTATTTAGTTGTTTTTACTCCCATAATTATGCTGGTCTTAGAATGGTGGGTGTGATTTCTCAGGCATTCTATTACAGTTGGGAATACGAAGCTGCCTTTCAAAATTGCTAAAAGCACCTCAGTGCATCTGCAGTACGATAATACTAATCCTAGCCCTGGCATAAATGCTAGTTTTATGGCTGCACACGCAGTAAAAAGTATATTTTAGACTGAAGAAAATGCCAGTGTTCAGATAGTTTTGACTTTATTTTGTCTGTTGGTCTGTAATAATCATGTTTAATTTTGACACATTTAGTTAGACATATGAAACCTAAATGCTTTGTTACGGTAAAAGAACTTGGAGCTGAACTAAAATTTCAGTAATTTGTTGAAGAATTGTGTAATCTACTGGGGAAAATGTACTCCTGTACATATTGTCACTTAATTATATGAAAATGTAAAAATCATTGGTCATATTTCTATTAGGTCTTAAATGGAAGATAAAGTAATAGAATTGTGAAATCTTGGATTTGGTAAGAATCATTCATATTCATTTTGTCCTGTGTTTTATTGAATTATTTTTAGGTATTCTGTGAAAAAAAGGGTGGTTCTGAGGTCAAAGAAGTATAAGGAATGCTGCATTCTATGCCTCTTGTGTGGAGATTCCCAACATATGTTAATACTTTAACGGCACCTAGAAGTCCCACAGTAAAGAAACCTGTTTACTTTTGTAGCATGCTTCTTAAATTTGACCACAAAACTTGTCTTTTGTTTATTTATTTATTTTTTACAAAAACCTGTTGACATATGAGATAATCAAAGGTTCCATTCAGTTTGGAAAACACATCTCTCATAACCTCCTATCCCATTCATAACATCCTTGCCAGACATTTGGTCATCCAGACTTTGTTTGATGGTTACCTCGGCAAATTCAAAAACAGCATTAAAAAAATAGACCGTGGTACTGAGATGAGCAACACACCGACTCTCATTATTTCATCGGGACCTTCAAAGAGCGAACTCACCTAAACTATTAAGTTACAAAAGAATAACTTGAAGAGTTAAAACAAAGTTAGCAGTTAATCGATGTAACTTTCATCAAACTATCTTACAGTCAAACCTTAGACTGTCTAGAGGAATTCTTAATTATTGAGTGCTGTCCTCAAAATGTCATCTCATATTCTTTGGTTTTCATTTTACTTTCTTTTGGTATTACTACTGCATTGTACTTAGTTACAGTTGCCACATATCACCGATGTGCTATAATTTTGTGGTTCCAGTGCCAAAATAGAAACTTTCTATATGAATTGAAAGGTGTTTTCACAGATGTGTAGCCATAGCATGATGTTTGCCATCCCTTGTCAAATTCGAGAATGGAAGGTATGGGTGCTATTGTATTGTTTTTGCTTTGGAGCCAATTCCTCTCCCCAGTTCTGGGATATGGCTCTGGCCTGGCCAGTCAATGCAATCCTTTCCCTTGACCGCAATGATTGATTCAGGGGTGAGCATATGACCCAAGGTAAACCAATGAAACTCATTTCTGGAACTCTGCATTAGGAGCCAATTCTCCATTGGTCTCCAGCATTACTGCACGCCTTACAACTGAGGCATCAAATGCTCTTTTTTGAAGATTATCTTTTCGAGGAGGTTCATGTATCAACAACCTTGAAAGACTGTGATATTATCTCCCTCCAGGCCAAAAAGACAGGTATGCTTACTGTCCAGTGTAATGAAGATAATTTCTCTCTCTAGATCAAGGAGCAGGCATGCTTTCTGCCCACTATTAAAGTGTCAGGTTCATTGAACTTAAGGCTCCTCTCCTGTAATGCAATCTGTTGCATGTAGAGGTGTCACCTGGCTCTCTGTATATTGCCCTGTGGGAATTGGATCTTGGGGAACCAGCACAACACTGGTTAGCAGATAATCTAGCTACTGCTATTGTTGTAAGAAACTGTCCTTCATTTCTGACCTAGGAGTCTCATATCTTCATGTAGCATTCACGAAACATGGACAAATGTAAAATCCCAGATCCTTCACAGTTCTTGACACTTTGGTTGTAACGCTTAGTTGTTTTTCTGCTGAAGTTTGCGAGGAGATAGGGGTGTAAACTTGAACCTGCTCACAGCCATCTTGTCACCACAAGAGAAGAGCTTGTCTGCCTTGGAATGAAACCAATACCGAGGAAGGAAAAGGATAGACACAGGGAGAGGGAATGAGGTGGGGGTGGGAGAACCGCTGTCACAGCTGCCTCTTGTTAATTACCTAGTATGTACCAGGCAGTGTTAGGCACTGTTTGTACTTTTATCATCCAATTCTTCTGCAACCTTAACAAGTTGGTATTTTATCCCCATTTTACAGAAAAGGCAGCTGAGTATCAACAGTTAGGCTCTTCTTAAATGTGGGCAGTAAAGAGAAAGAAATACAAATACCATTCTCTTTCCCTTTTATTTAGCTCTTTCCTATTAAGGCCTAAATAGAAAATATTACACAATATAAACCTAAAATAATTTTACAGTATTAAAATTTATGAAGGCATAATTTATATATAATACAAAGCACAGATCTCTAGTGTAGTTTGATGAGTTTTGACAAGTGTGTGCACCGTTAGCCACCCCATCAACATCTGGAAGTTGTTAAAATACTAAAATATTAAACAGTGTCAACATGAAATAATTTTCCAATAATTATTTTTAAATACACTGAAGAGTAACTTCAAAAGAAAAAATGTAGGCTCAAATGGTACATTTTTTTCTTATAGTAAACTGCAAGTATCATACACCCCACTTAAACCTATGCTTTCCCCATCCCTTAGGCTTAGAAGTGCAAAGACCTTAGACAATTTCTTTACCTTTGTGGGCCTCACTTGCCTTGTCTATAAAATGAAGATTCATAAGAGTACCCACATCATAGGCTTGTGGTGATTAAATGAGTCGCTACATCTAAAGCGTTTAGAACAGTACTTTGCACACAGCAAGGCTTTGATACGTGAGAGGTATTACTGCTAACGCTGCTGCTGTTTTTATTTGAGGGTATGAGAGTGGGTGAAGTGAGGAAGGAGGGAAGAAGAAGCATAGCGAAGCCTTCAGAGACTATCTCCCCCTTTCCAGCTTCCTTTTGTCCCTTTTAAAATTCTCATTCCAAAGAGAAAAATGGACAGAAAAGAATATAATTTTTTCCAACCTTTTGATAATTTCCCTCAGATCAGCAGCCTAGGTTCTAGGTTCTAGATTTCACTTTATTGATATTCATAACTTTGGTATGCTCTTCAATTTTATTATCCTTTCAGATACCAACTTTTTTTTTTAAAAAAGGAGGCCTTACCTCTTCTCTGTTCCTGATTTCTGTACCACTGGAACTCTTTAGCAAAAAAGTCCATCTCACTAAGCTTAAACAACTTGAAACAGATACTTCTTCAGACCTGCTTTAAAAAAAACAAAAAACAATTGACCTCTAAAATATACAAGTGCATATTTTCTCACTTAATTGATTTTTAAATAGTTTGTTTTGATACCAATCTTATTAGCAGCCACTGATTCGAATGTGACCCTTGCTCACCCTCGTCTTGTCTTGGCATCACAGCCCTTGGGCTTGGCTTCTTTCCCTCCCTCGGCTTTGGACTTTTTTCAGTTCGCTAAGGTACAGAGGGCAGGGGCAGGTCTGGGGAGAGCTGGTAGAGGGACATTTCCGCTGTTCACTCTCATTGCCTGCTGTTCTGTTTCCTGAAAAGATGCTTATTTTTGCTTGTTCATAAGTGGGACAACAGAGCTCTTATTCTCCTATTGATGCCAGTTTCGTTCTACAAGGGATTTGAGATGACCGCTTCCTTAATGCTGCTGCAGACAAGCTGAGAACAATGGAACTCTGGGCTGGGACTAGTCTTTCTTATCTAGTGATGGGTATATGTCAAAAATAGGAATAAAACCAAAAATGGCCAATGGTATCATTAACACTAATAACATAGCTTGGCAGTGCTGACAGTTTTTCATCTCAGGCTCCCTTTTATACTCTAAAAAATAATTGAGGGTCCCAAAGAGCTATTGTTTTGTGTGTTATATAACTATGAAAATAGTTTTGACCTTGTGGACCCCCTGAAAGGGTTTTGGGGAGACTCATGGATCCCTGAACTCCACTTTGAGAACTGTGGACATAGATGAACTTATTTTTAAAATGAATTCAGGCAGTTAAAAGTCATGGAGGAACTAAGGGATGATAAAGACAAAGCCAGATTCTGTATAATTAAGGAGGAAATGAGTTTTTTTCTTTCTAGGTGACTCTGAGAAATAAGATTTTGAGTAAGTCAAGTATAGGGAAAACTAGGCCAGTCCTGTCCATTGCAGAACTTTCTGCAATGGTGGAGATGTTTATATTTGCTCTGTCCAATACTGTAGCCACTAGCCACATGTGGCTATTAAGCACTTGAAATGTGGAAAATGAGATTAAGGAATAAAATTTTTAATGTTATTATTTAACTGATTTAAATTTAAACTGAAATAGACACATGTGGCCAGTGGCTACCATATTGGGTGACAGAGTTCTAGACATGGGAACTGCCTGAAGGAAGCCACTCTATCAAAGGAGCAAGAAATCTTCCCATTGGTAGCCGGGCGCGGTGGCTCGCGTCTGTAATCCCAGCACTTTGAGAGGCCGAGGCGGGTGGATCACAAGGTCAGGAGATCGAGACCTTCCTCACTAACATGGTGAAACCCCGTCTCTACTAAAAAATAGAAAAAATTAGCCAGGCGTGGTGGCGGGCACCTGTAGTCCCAGCTACTTGGGAGGCTGAGGCAGGAGAATGGCATGAACCTGGGAGGCGGGGCTTGCAGTGAGCCGAGATGGCGCCACTGCACTCCAGCCTGGGCGACAGAGTGAGACTCCGTTTCAAAAAAAAAAAAAAAGAAGTCTTCCCATTGGAGACACCCCACCCTATGTAGAATGAAGCCTCCATTCCCACATGACCCCAAGGACAGAGTCTAGGAGATAAAATTGAGGTTACAGATGGCTTTTCTGGGTGGCTGCCACCAGTCTCTATTTTATAAAGGTGTTGGTAATTGTTGGAACCAAAAGGTCATTTCTTATTGACGATTGTTACACAGTACTGTAATTTCTCAAGGTGTGTAGTACTGCCATAATTGCATGCACAATGTCATTTATGATGATTTGGCTTTGTCAGGGATACCAGGATTAGGGCATCCAGAAGGTGGTTGTTCCCATTCTCAAGGTAGTGGCCCTGTTTCGTATTGGGATGAGGCATGTCTCCTGCCTCATCCTACTCCCAACATTGGTCTTGGTGAGATGTGTAAGGGAGAAAAAGAGGTAGTATATATGATAGCCCTGGTACAATTTCTTGAACAAACTAGGGGCTCAATAAATGTTAGTTTCATTGTTTCTTGGGGACAAGGAACCTGGAAAGCAGGAGGTGGAGATGAAGTTGGTGAACTGACTGCTGCGGAAGTTATTGGGCTGTGAAAGGCCCAAACCTGAGGTCCTCATTCTGGATACCGAGCAGGGGTGCTCCCAGGACAAGGAGTTATGCATTACTCCAGGGCATGTGCCTGTGACTGGGGCCTCAGTTTCCTCATCTATAAAGTAGAAGGCTTGCAGGAGATCAGTGACCCATCCTCACCCAGTTCTGAGAGCAGCTTCTCTGTACCACAGTGCTACTATGCCATGAGAACTATTGAACTAGGTGATCTGTATAACTTATTGTAGAAAAGAACAAAGGTAGTATGTGGACTGTTGGCTAGGAACTTCAGCAGCTCCTTCACTGTTTGAACACATGTCAAGCCCTCCATGTGGTCTTACAGACAATTAAAATGAGTTGGACAATTACCCTATGGTTTTAATTGGTATAGTCAGCCAATAAGGGTAATTCATAAAAAGTCTTGCTTTTTCTTTGTCTGTGTAATAATTGCCTCTAATCTAGGTCTGACAGAATAAGGACCTGCACTGGAGTGTCAGCAACAGGAACAGAGAGGAAGCAGTACACTGAGAAAGGAATTCGAAGGAAATTAAGAAGGTACTAAGATTGGCTACAGAGGTAAAGGAGAAGCAAGAGGCAAAGACGATGTAGGACGGTGGTTCTCAAAGTATGGTCGATCCCAGGACCAGCAGCATAGCATCATCTGGGAACTTGCTAGAAATGCAAATTATCAAGCCCCTCCATTTCTCTTCCCCTCCCCTCTTCCACTTACTGAATCAGAAACTCTGGGGCAGGTGCCCAGTGAATTGTCTTAAGAAGCTCTCCATGTGATTATGATATGCACCGAAGGTTGAGGACCCCTGGTGCAGTGGATGCTGCTGGTACCCTACCCAAATACCCCAGGCTGTGCATCCATTCCCTGGCTGCTGTGAATACTGGTTGGCTGTTAATATGGTTTGGCTGCATCCCTACCCAAATCTTATCTTGAATTGTAGCTCCCATAATTCCCACGTGTTATGGGAGGAAACTTGTGGGAGATAATTGAATCATGGGGGCAGTTTCCCCCATACTATTCTCGTGGTAGTGAATACGCCTCATGAGATCTGATCGCTTTGTAAGGGGAAACCCCTTCCTCTTGGCTCTCATTCTCTCTAGTCTGCTGCCATGTAAGATGTGCCTTTGGCCTTCCACCATGATTGTGAAGCCTCCCTAGCCACGTGGAACTGTGTGTCCATTAAACTTCTTTTTCCTTATAAATTACCCAGTCTTGAGTATGTCTTTATCAGCAGCATGAAAATGAACTGATACAGCTATATTAGTCAAGGTTCTTTAGAGAAATAGAAATTTATTATAAGGAATTGACTCATACAATTATGGGGGCTGAGAGGTCCCATGATCTGCCTTTTGTAGAGACCCAGGAAAGTCAGTGAGGTTTGAAGCCTTGACAGCCAGAGAGCCAATGGTGTAGACTTCAGTCTGAGTCTAACGGCCTAAGAACTGGGAGTGCTGAGGGCAGGAGAAGATTGATGTTTCAGTGCAAGCCAACAGGCAAAGAGTGAAATTAACCTTCCTCCACCCTTTTGTTCTATTCAGGCCCTCAGTGGATTGGGTGATGGCCACCCACATTGGGTAGGGCCATCTGCTTTACTTACTTTACTAGTCAAATACTAATTTCTTCTGGAAACACCCCCACAGACACACCCAGAAATAATGCTTAACCAGATATCTGGGCATCCCTGGCCCCATCAAGTTGACACATAAACTTAACCATCACGGTTGCTAACCGTTCATAGCTGCCCCCCGTCTCAGGATACTTCCCCCTAGCTGAACAGGAGCTACAGAATCTGAGAAGTTAAAGCCCACTTCCCCCTACTCTGGGGCCTAGAGTCTGACATTGGGGTATGTAAAGCTGGCCTTTTAGTCTTGAGGAGAGAGTTTGTGGTGATCCTAAGCCCCTGTGTGGTTCCGCCCAAGGCTGGACTTTATCTAAGACTGTATCCTTGCTTGACGCTTTCCCTGCTCTATTCTGCTTCCTCCACTCCATAACTCCAGAACAGGTTTCTCCTGAGCGCATTCGTTCAGTCAGTTACAAGCATCCAAATCCCAGTCTCAGGCTCTGCTTCTAGGCAAAGCGGATGGCTCTAATGTCGGGGAAGCTAAACATAGGCTCCCAAGGATGTAATGAGTATGTCGAAAATATATGACTCATGATGGCTTGATCTGACCTGGAGTTTTTATAAAATTATTATTTTTTTCAAATAGTAATACATTTACATGGTTCAAAAATCAAAAAGTAGAAAATAAGATGTGGTGGAAAATCTCTCTCCTAACCCATTCCTCTATCATCTCCCCATTTACTTCCCTGCATAGGTCACTGCAGTTGTTAATTGCTAATATATCGTTCCAGGGATTTCAAAAATGCATAGACAAATAGATACAGATTTATATTATTTTCCCCATCCCCTTTACACAAATGATAGATTTTTATACCCCGTGTTCTGCACCTTGCTTCCCCTTCCCCTTACATTATATTTTGGAGGACTTACCACATATATACATAGAGAGCACCCTCATGTATTTTTTTTTTTTTTTTTTTTTTTTTTTTTTTTTACAGCTGCACAGGATTCCAGTGTAGGGAAACACCATAGGTTTTGTAACTGGTTCCCCCATTCCTGGCCATTTAGGTTATTGTCAATCTTTTGTTTCAATCCTACTTTTGAAAACTACTGGACCACATAAAGTTGCCTATATAAGTGTGATTCTCCACAGTGTGGATGTTTTACATCATTACTAGTCAGGTGTTCAAGGGGGACATGAACTCTTTCATAGGGGGCCATGTTAAAGTCTAAAGGTTGTATTATTTGGGAATCTGCCATTTAGGAAAGCCTGATGTCTGAAATGATGTGTGAAAAAAAGCACATAAGTTAGGAGGTGATGATTTTATTTTTATGACACTTTATTTAATAAGCTTACCACAGTGTTCTTTTAGATGGAGAATTTCTTGGTCTTAAAAATATGATTTAATGGTACAAAAATCTAAATTACCTTCATCTTTGCAGGAATACATTATTGTATTTAAGCAAGCTGCTTCTGTATTGTTTTATACTTATCACCTACTGTATATGGACTTTGCGAGGCCTGTTTAAGCAGTACTATTATTGTTATTTTGAGACAGGGTCTCACTCTGTCACCTAGGCTGAAGTGCAGTGGTGTGATCATAGCTCACTGAAAGCATTAATATATTGTGTTAAAATTTTGTTATAGTGAATGGTCATTGGTTAGGGTTTGGCAATATTATTGTTGAATAAACTTTCTTGGTCAAAATTGTACTTATTTTTATGAAATCCAATCTGGAATGATCCTTTGGGGTCTTGAAAGATGTAATTCACGTCTTAGAACCTGGCTTTGGAAAAATATTTTGGCTTGGCATAGTAGATATTTTGTTTTTAATCTGACAAAGCTTTTCAACTCTCTTTACTAGTTTTCTTTTCAATTTGTTAGAATCCTTTAACTAAAAGAATAATGAATTTTTTTTTCCAAGAAGGCAGGAGGTACTCTGAATATTTTAAAAATCCATTTCCTAGAAACGAAAATTTTTGTTTTTCCTATTGCTGAGGATAGCGCAATTAAATTAGAGACACTCTTGTGGCATTATGAGTAGTTTTCTGAATTTTTCCTTCCCTTTTTGATATGTCAGACCTGTAAAGCATAAATTATAATTTGAGATTCAAATTTTGTTGTTTTAGTTCACTTCAAGTAACACCTTGCTGTTAATTTCTACCGATTTCTACTCAAACAGATTGCAAATTGTTTAGAATTGTTACCAGTACAAATTGTTTAGAATTGTTTCCACAGAGTAGGGAGGTTGTAAAATGTTAATTGAGCGGAAGAATTTGATCTTTGCAGATTAGTGGGTCTTTGTTATCTCGGAAAGCGGGATTTAAAAAAAATCCTCAACCTTACATATTATCCCCTGAAAATGCCAAACAAAAATAGTAGTTGTAGCTGCTTTAGTATATGCAAGTAAACATTTGTTCAGGTGAGAAAGGAATGTGTTATCTAAGGCAAGGGGGAGACCGCTATCACTTGACAGGGGAGGAATTTTAACTGAAAGGGCACTTTCTAAATTTCCAGATGAGCCCACAGAAATGACAGACATTGAAGACTCACAGACTTTTGTGAACAGAATTTTTGTGGCAAAACATGGAAAACAGAGAAAGCATGTCATGTTTTATCCATGTGCTCGGTTGTGCCAATATTGGCTGAATGTTGCACAACAGCCCGGTAGCTGCACTTACCGCAGCTGTCGTTTAAGGAATGTGGCAGATTTGCTAGACTTAAAAATTGTTCCAGCAAAAATTCCATTTTTACTTTAGGAATTTTACTTAGGAATTGGGGAGAAAGCTCAGAAAAATGCAGAGTTGGATGCTTGCTGCCATTTACTTGTCCAGTCTCATCTGTCTTCCCTGATATTTGGGCTAGGGGCAGGCACAGCTGGGGCGGAGTCTCAATGGGCTGGACAGGGTTGGGGAGAGGGAGAAACTGTCTTTTATCCAGGGTGGCAGTGTGTGAAGCTGCTGGGCAAATAACAAGAATCAACTTGGTTGGAGTTGGGGAGGAAGCTGCTCACCCCAAAACAAGGCAAAGTCCAGAAACAAGTGCCTTGCAAGGACTTCTGAAGCCAGGGGCAAAAAAAAAAAAAAAAAAAAAAAGCCTGCAAGGATTTTGAAGCCTGGTGCTTTCTCTATGCAGTTTCTCTGCAAGCTCTCATGGGCACTGCTGCATCTGAGTCTCCTTTCTCTCCCGTTCTTCCCAGCTCCCTTTCACCAGTTGACCCGGTGTGGAACTCTGAAAATCTAAGAGCTCACCCATCTGGAATGTTAAGAGGCAGCATCTAGATAAAAGGGACTTGGATTACGCAAGAGAAACAGGGCTGCTTTTTCCTTGTCATTTTTTCTTTCTATCTATTTGGGTTTTTAAAAATTGTTATAAAATATGCATAACATAAAATTTACCATTTACATGTTTGAGTGTTCAGTCCAGCGCACACTCAAATACAGTTAAATACATTCCCACTCATGTGCACCCACCACTGTGCATCTATCTCCAGAGAGAGCTTTGTCACCTTCCCAAACAGAAACTCTGTACCCATTAAACACCAACTCCCACTTCCCCGCTTCCCTGCTTCCCCCAGGTTCTGGCAACCACTCTTCTACTTTCTTCCCTTATGAATCTGATTGTCCTAGGTGCCTCATACGCGCAGTTTCATCATTGTTGTGTGGGCATAAAAATCCCTCCTAGCGCTGTTTGCTGTGCACTTGTTGACTGAGGGCTGGCCTCTAAATGCAGACAGGACCGATGGGGGCAGATACGAGGGTGAGGGTGTCTGTATAGCTGAGCAAATGCTGAGCAGGAACACACAGCACGTTAACAATATGTACACCCACACGCATGCTGCTGGGAATGAGTGAAGAGGAAGCTGCCATGTTAGAATGGAGTTTGGGCCGGAGAGTCTCTGCATTTGTTACTCACTGGTGGACGGAGGAAGCTGAATTCTAAAAGCCGTTTAATGAAGGAATGGTGAGGGCTGGGCAAACATGATTAGTCACAGAGCTCCAGGCCTAGGTTATTTATTCTCTAGAGAAGCCCAGGGCTTGTGAGTGGGATGAATTGCTGACTGGCAAGCTGAGTAAATTTGACCAAGAGGCCTAAACTGAGGGGGAAACTGGTCTCTTTATGAGCTCTATTGACACTGAATAGAAATATGGGCTCCATTCCAATTTGTTTCCTAGCAAAATAAATACATAAATATCAAGAGAACTTCCTTGTTTTCAGAAAGAGGAAAGAGTTGAAGTTATTGTAAGTATAAAAGGCAAATGAAAAGGAGATGAGTGGTTTTGAGGATACGATAAAAATATCTCGGTAGGCAGTTACACGTAAGTGTAAGAGGATACTCTGAAATCTTTCCTGGCTGCGAGAGCGAGAGGAGTGGATTACAGCACCCAGCAAGGTTGTGGGTGTGATTATATTCGCGGGTGTGCTGGACTTGGACACCGGACCAACTAACAGCATAAACCTTTGAAATAACGTGTTTGTTTTTGCCAAAATAACAACACGCTCATCTCCCTTAAAATGTCAACATTGCGTTAAAGTCTAGATCCAAATATGCATGGAAATATTTATTGAGTGAAAGAACGAACAATATATGTAATTTAGAACTATGAAGAGTTGCCGGTTTAAAGAAATCCTATGCATTTTAAGATACCTAGACAAACGCCCTGTTCCTGACACTGTTTAGCTCTCACATCTTACCACTGCATTTGCTTTAATCAGGGATCTTAAGACTATCTTGTGGGCTCCTTCTTGGTAGGAGCTAAATTGTTACAACCAACATTTCACACTTTTCAAGCAGATAATAGCCTGCCCACAGGTAGTGTGTATCTGTTATTACATATAATAAACCAAACATTGAAAAGTTAACTGATAGATCCTTTCACACTTTTAGTTTCTTACAGCAGTTTTGATCATTTATCTATTTAATATTTTCATGTCCTGATAATACATGGTTATTGTAAAAAATTTAGGAAATATAACCATAATGAAAATATGGAAATTACTGGTAGTCCACTGTCAGAGATGAATATGATTATATTATGATGTATTTTCTCTAATCTAATTATATATGCCTATAGATCCTTCTCATTTGATGTTTCTTCCTGCACATTTTCTCAGCCATTCAAAAATTTTCAGACATGGTTATTATGATGGCTAGATCATTTCATCACATGGCCTGTACCACACTTTCTTTAAGTGTTCGCCCGGTGTCAAACATTTAGATTCTGTCAAGTTTTTGTTATCAGAAATGACTCTTGGGTGAACATTCACTATGACAATCTTACATTTTTTTCCTCAGGCTGGAATCCCTAGGATTGGGCATAAACAGTTTTTAAAGTTCTTAGAACATTTTCTTACATTCCTTTTTCTCAAAGTTATACCAATTACACTCCTGCCAAGTGGACATTAAGATGCCTGCTACTATTATCCTTAAAACGAAGTCAGCACAAGAATTTAAAAACAGGCTAGACATGGTGGTGTGTGCCTGTAGTCCCAGCTACGCAGGAGGCTGAGGTGGGAGGATCTCTTGAGCCCAGGAAGTCGAGGCTACAGTGAGCCATGATCACATCACTGCATTCCAGATGGGGCAACAGAGTGAGACGCCCGTCTCAAAAATAAATAAATAAATAAATAAATAAATAAATAAATAAATAAATATAAAAAGAATTTAAAAACAAACTTTTTTACTTTGGCAGGTGTAAAATGATTATCTCAGAGCTGTTTGCATTTCTTTGATTGTTAATTAAGCTAAAAAATTCAATGTGTTAATTGGTTATTTTTGTTTCTCCTGAAAATTGTTTGTTCATGTCCTTTGACCACTATTTTTCTATTTGTTTGCCATTTTATACTTGATAAGGATTTTTTGATACTAAAAATATAGTTCTTTGTCATTAGTAGTAACCAATAAGAAACCCAATAGGAAAAAAGATGTTTGTAATAACAATATAAATTATAAAGTTCCTGAAAAGATTATAAGGAGAAAAGTTTCAAACTTTATTGAAGAACCTGATCAATGGAAAGCTGGTTCCGTCTACACTTGGGAGACTTAATACTTTCTAGATGTCAGTTCCCCCTAGGGTAAGTTAAATTAAGTGTAGTTAAAACACAATACATCTACAGGATTTTGGGGAAACTCAAAAGCAAATTGACCCTAAAGTTAATATGAAACAATGAAGTACACAAAAATCTTTTAACAATTTTGAAAGAGAGGAGCAAAACGTGGTGGGATAGTGGAGTGAGACCCCTTCTACTCGATATCAAGACATAGTGCAAGATTACAGCAATTTGAAAAGATGGCATTCACACAGAAATAGAAAAACTATTCTATGAACCAGAATAGAGAGTCCCCTTAAAAGAGAGCCATTGATATATAACATGACTTGTTTCACAATTCGATTGGGAAAAGAACGACTATATTCAAAGAGTGGTGTTGGGACAATTGGCTCTTCATATGGAAAAAAGTTAAAATGACATCATATCTCAAAATAAATTCTGCTAAAGTTCTAAAGGTTAAAACGACAACAACAACAACAGCAGCAGCAGCAGCAATAACAAAACAAACGATGTTCTAAAAGAGAAGAATATATAGACCTTGATGACCTAGTATATGCAGCTATTATGTCTTGCCTGGACACTGCAGTACCCTTCCAATGAATCTCCCTGCCTTCTTTCATGCTTCTCTTCATCTCTTCTCTGCCCTGCAGAACACAGTGACTCTTCTACCTTACAAGTAAGATAAGGTCTCTTTTCTGCCTCTTTACAGTGGCCCACAGATGTCCCTTGCCCTGTGTACCTCTCTCACTTCGTTTCCTACCACTTGGCCTGCTCACTGACTTCCAGCCCCAGCGGCCTTCTTGTTGACTGCTCCTCAAACACTTCAGACATCTTTGCCATCTCAGAGCCTCTTCTTTGGCTTTTCCCTCTGCCTGTAATGCTCTTGTCCCTGATATGTGCATGGCTTTTATTCTCTTACTCCATCCAGGTCTCTGCTCAGCATAGCATCCCCTGACCGCCCTAGGTAAAGTTCCTCCCTATCCACTTACTCTTATTTACTTCTCTTCATAGCCTCTTCCCTCCTAGACAGTCAATTATATATTTATGTAAGCTCCACAAGAGCAGGGGCTTTGTCTGTCTTACATATTATTGTAAGTAATAGTGTGTCCGGAATTGGTGGCTTCTTGGTCTCACTGACTTCAAGAATGAAGCCGCGGACCCTCACGGTGAGTGTTACAGCTCTTAAGGTGGCACGTCTGGAGTCTGTCCCTTCTGATGTTCAGATGTGTTCGGAGTTTCTTCCTTCTGGTGGGTTCGTGGTCTCGCTGGCTCAGGAGTGAAGCTGCAGACCCTCGCGGTGAGTGTTACAGCTCTTAAGGTAGCGCGTCTGGAGTTGTTCGTTCCTCCCGGTGGGCTCGTGGTCTTGCTGGGCTCAGGAGTGAAGCTGCAGATCTTCGCGGTGAGTGTTACTGCTCATAAAAGCATCGTGGACCCAAAGAGTGAGCAGTAGCAATATTTATTGCAAAGAACGAAAGAACAAAGCTTCCACAGTGTGGAACGGCACCCGAGCTGGTTGCCAATGCTGGCTCGGGCAACCTGCTTTTATTCTCTTATCTGGCCCCACCCACATCCTGCTGATTGGTAGAGCCGAGTGGCCTGTTTTGTCAGGGCGCTGATTGGTGCATTTACAATCCCTGAGCTAGACCCAAAGGTTCTCCACGTCCCCATCAGATTAGTTAGCTACAGAGTTTCGATTGGTGCACTCACAAACCTTGAGCTAAACACAGGGTGCTGATTGGTGTATTTACAATCCCTGAGCTAGACATAAAGGTTCTCCAAGGCCCCACCAGAGCAGCTAGATACAGAGTGTCGATTGGTGCACTCACAAACCCTGAGCTAAACACAGGGTGCTGATTGGTGTATTTACAATCCCTGAGCTAGATATAAAGACTCTCCACGTCCCCACCAGACTCAGGAGCCCAGCTGGCTTCACCTAGTGGATCCCGCACTGGGGCTGCAGGTGGAGCTGCCTGCCAGTCCTGTGCCGTGCGCTCGCATTCCTCAGCCCTTGGGCGGTCGATGGGACTGGGCGCCGTGGAGCAGGGGGTGGTGCTCGTCGGGGAGGCTTGGGCTGCACAGGAGCCCATGGAGGCGGTGGGAGGCTCAGGCATGGCGGGCTGCAGGTCCCGAGCCCTGCCCCGCGGGAAGGCAGCTAAGGCTCGGTGAGAAATCGAGCACAGCGCCGGTGGGCCGGCACTGCTGGGGGACGCAGTACACCTTCCGCAGCCACTGGCCCGGGTGCCAAGTCCCCCATTGCCCGGGGCCAGCAGGGCTGGCTGGCTGCTTCCAGTGCGGGGCCCACCAAGCCCACGCCCACCCGGAACTCCAGCTGGCCCGCAAGTGCCGCACACAGCCCTGGTTCCCGCTCGTGTCTCTCCCTCCACACCTCCCTGCAAGCTGAGGGAGTGGGTTCCGGCCTTGGCCAGCCCAGAAAGGGGCTCCCACAGTGCAGTGGGGGACTGAAGGGCTCCTCAAATGCCACCAAAGTGGGAGCCCAGGCAGGGGAGGTGCCGAGAGCAAGTGAGGGCTCTGAGGACTGCCAGCACGCTGTCACCTCTCAACAGTAGAACAAATAACAAAGTAGACACTCAGTAAACATTTTTTCAATAAATTAATGAGTGATCTTGGGTTAGCTTCCTTCCTTTCTTTATTCCTTCCTTTCCTCCCTCTCTCTCTTCCTGTCTCTCTCTCTCTACTCCTCTTCCCTTCTTTCTTTCAAGAAGACACAGAAAGTGCAAACATAAAAGAAAAAATGGTAAATTTGTGTATTAAAATATAAATAATTTGTTTGGCACATGAGATCACAAACATGTTAAAAGCCATATGATGAGCAGGAGAAGTATTCAAAATATATATAACTGACAAAGATTAGCATCTAGAACAGGGGTTCCCAACCCCTGGGCTATGGACTGCTATCAGTCCATGACCTGTTGGGAACTGGGCTGCAAAGCAGGAGGTGAGTGGTGGGTGAGCAAAGCTTCATCTGTATCTACAGCTGTTCCGCGTCGCTCGCATTACTGCCTGAGCTCTGCCTCCTGTCAGATAAGCTGCATTAGATTCTCATAGGAGCTTGAACCCTATTGTGAACTGCGCAGGCAAGGGATCTAGCTTGTGTGCTCCTTATGAGAATCTAATGCCTGATGACCTGTCACTGTCTCCCATCACCCTCACATGGGACCATCTGGTTGCAGCAAAACTGCAAGTTTTCCTGGAGTTCAGGGCTCCCACTGATTCTACATTATGATGAGTTGTATAATTATTTCATTATGTATTTCAATGTAATAATAATAGAAATAAAGTGCACAATAAATGTAATGCACTTGAATCAACCCGAAACCATCCTCGCTGCCCCCTCCCTTCCACCCCTGGTCTGTGGAAAAATTGTCCTCCATAAAACCAGTCCCTGGTGCCAACAAGGTTGGGGACCATTGATCAAGAATATGCCAAGAACTCTTATAAATCAATAAGCAAGAGACAAATAGTGCAATAGTAATGAATAAAATATATGGCTAGGCGATTCAACAGAGGAGGAATCTGAATGGCAGGCAGACATGTGAAAAGATGTTTAACCTCATTATCAGGAAAGTACAGCGTAAAACAACAATGAGATACTGTTTTCCATCTTTGTGAATGGCAAGAAAGAAGTTGAAACATATCAGGTGTTTGCAAGGACAAGGGGAAATGAAACTTCCATACATTGCTTTTGGAAGTATATGTGGTGTTTTGGTTACTTGGAGGCAAGTAACGGAGGATTCAGTCAAACTAGCTCACACAATAAGAAAATGTATTGTCTTACATTAGTCCTGAGGCAGGACAGGTTCCAGGACTGATTCATTTGGTGACTTGATAATAGCTAAAAAGAACTCAAGTTGTTTTTATCTTTCCTTTTTGCCATCTTTAATGTTGGTTTCAGTCTCAGCTGGTGTATTAGTTTGCTAGGGTTGCCATAACAAAGCACCATAGATCTGGTGGCTTAAACAACAGAAATCTATTTTCCCACACCTCTGGAGGCTGGAAGTCTGAGATCAAGGCGTGGGCATGGAGGTTGGTTTCCTCTGAGGCCTCTCTCCTTGTCTTGTGGATGGCCGCACTCTTTCTGCTTCTTCACATGGTGGCCCCTCTATGCAAGCACATCCCTGATGTCTCTCTTTGCATACTATCCTTCTCTTCTTATAAAGATACCAATGATATTGGATTAGAGCCCACCCTAAAAGCCTCATTTTTTTTTAAGAGACTGAGTCTCACTCTGTTGCCCAGGCTGGAATGCAGTGGCACAATCACAGCTTACTGCAGCCTTGAACTCCTGGGCTCAAACGATTCTCTCACCTCAGCTTCCCAAGTAGCTGGAACTATGGGCATGCACCACCACACCCAGCTAACTTTTAGTATTTTTTGTAGAGACAGGGTCTCACCATCTTGCCCAGGCTGGTCTCAAACTCCTGGGCTTAAGGGATCCTCCCACCTTGGCCTCCCAAAGTGCAGGGATTACAGACGTGAGCCACCACATCCAGCCAACGTTTGAACTTAATCACCCCTTTAAAGGTTCTGTCTCCAAGGACTCCACAAGTTGAAGAATTGAGGGTTAGGGCTTCAATATATAAATTTTGAGGGGACATAATTCCATTCATAATGATGGGTAACAGGGCCACGGAAGTTCTAGATGTGACATCTAGGCAGTTCAACATTCAGACTAATTTGCAATTTACATTCAGAAGCTAGGTCTCGCCCTTAGGATCTAAGAAACATTCTCCAAAAGGCCCCTAATTAACTTTTCATGTCTTAATGGCCAGAAATGAGTCAGACGCCCATTCCTGAAATAAGCACTGGCAAGGAGGATGGAATTTCCATGATGGGCTCAGGGCTCAGACTAATAATATGGGGAGGCACAGATGCTGGGTAATCAGACAAAATGTCCACTTTGGAGAACAATTTATAGCATGTACAAAATAGAAAATGCACATATCATATGAACCTTTAGTTAAATATCCTGTGGTTATTTTTTTCACAGGCATGGGAGGTGGGGAGACACGTACACCAATGTTCATTGCAGTATTTTTGAGGGATCTTTTGAACTATAATTTATAAACAATAAAATTCACCCATTTTAAGATGAGTTTTGACAAATTTGTATACTCACATAACTACCACTTCAATCAAGTCATAGAATGTTTCTATCACCCCAAAAGTTCACTTCTGCCCCATCCCAGTCAATCATCCTCTCTCCCAGCCCCCAACCCTACCCTCAGGGAACCACTGGTCTGCCCCATCACTATAGATTAGGTTTGTCTTTTTTTAGAGTTTCACAGAAATTGAATCATACATTATGCATCTGGTTTCTTTTGCTCAGCATAATGTGATTGAAATTCTTCATGTCTTTGCATGTATCAGTTAGTGATTCTTTTTTATTGATGAGTAGCATTCCACTGTATGGACATATCACAATTTATTTATTCATTCACCTGTTGATGGGCATTTAAGTTGTTTCCAAATTTTGGCTGTTATGAATAAAGTTGCTGTGAACATTGATGTACAAGTCTTTGTATGGACATCTGTATTTACTTTTCTTGGGAAATAGAAATACGCAGGAGTGAAATTGCTGGGTTGTGCCCTAACTGTATGTTCAACTTTTTTAAAAACTGCAAAACTGTTCTCCAAAGTGGTTGTACCATTTTTAATTCTCACCAGTAATATATAAAGGTTCCAGTTGTTCTGCATCATTGTCAACACTTGTTATAGTCTTTTTAATTTTGAATCTGTTCTAATGGATGTGTAATGGTATCTCCACGTGATTTTGATTTGCATCTTCCTAGTGACTAATGATGTGAAGCATCTTTTTGTGTGCTTATTGACCATTTGCATATATTCTTTTATAAAGTGTTCAACTCTTTTGGTGCATTTTAAATTTAGATTGTTCGTCTTATTTTTATTGAATTCTAAGAGTTCTCTATACAACCTGTATACAAGTCTTTTGATATGTATAAAATTTTCTACTAGCTATGGCTTATCTTTTCTTTTTCTTCATAGGCTCTTTTGAACAGTAGAAGTTTTAAATTTTGATGAAGTTCAACTTATCAATTTTTTTCTTTTATGGTTCACGTTTTTGTGCCCTAAGGAATCTTTGCCATCAAGGTCATGAAGATATTCTTCTATGTTTTCTTTTAGAAATTTTATAATTTTACCTTTTGCATTTAGGTCTATGATCCATGTTGAGTTAAGTTTTTTGAGTGATGTGAGGTAAGAGCTGAGGTTAATCATTTTCCAAGTGGATATCTTGTTCCAGCACTGTTGCTGAAAAGATTATTTCTCCATGTGATTACCTTGGTACTTTTATGGAAAATCAATTGGTCATATATGTGTAGATCTATTCCTGGACACTCTACTCTGTTCCATTGATCTATATGTCTATCACTTCACCAATACCGTTCCGTAGTACTGTTCTTGATTACTGTAGCTTTATAGTAAGTCTTGAATCAGGTAGTATAAGTCTTCTAATTTTGTTCATTTTTAAGTCTAATTTTGTTCATCATAAGTCCTTTGTATTTCCATATAAATTTTAGAATTGGTTTGTCAGTTTCTAAAAAAAAAGCTTTCTGGGATTTTGATTGTGATTGCATTGAATGTATAGATTAATGTGGAGAGAATTGCGTCTTAACAAGATTGAGTCTTCCAATCCACGAGTACGGTATATTTTCCCATTTATTTAGTTCATCTTTAATTTCAGGCATAAATGTTTTACAGTTTTCAGTGTGCATCTAAATTGCAAGTTTGTTAAATTTATACTTAAGAATTCCATATTTTTGTTGCTATTGTAAATGGTAATGTTTTTTAATTTAAATTGCTAATTGTTTATTGCTAGCATATAGAAATACAATTAAATTTTGTATATAGACCTTGTATCCTATGACCTTACTAAATTCATTTATCAGCTCTAATAGGTTTTTCTATAGATTCCTTAGGATTTTCTATACATGTCACCATGTCATCTGCAAATAAATATAGTTTTACTTTTTCCTTGTCGATCTGTTCTTTTATTCATTTTTCTTGCTTTATTTCACTGGCCAAGACCCTTAGTACGATGTTGAATACAAGCGGCAAGTAGATATTCTTGCTTTGGTCTGGACCTTGGGGGGAAGCATTCAGTCTTTCCCCATTAAGTATGATGAAAACCACAGGTTTTTCTTAGATATTCCTTATCAGGTTAAGGAAGTTCCCTTCTATTCCTAGATTGCTGAGAGATTTTATCATAAGTTGGTGTTGAATTTTGTCAAATGCATTTTTCTGCAGTCGTTTGAGATAAACATCGGTTTCCTCTTTTGTCTTAATTACAGCATTGGTTTTAATAGTGAAAAATTAGAAACAACATAAATGTACCTCAATAAATCATGTTCACGCCATGAAATAGTATATAATAGCTAAAAATGATAAACATTTCTGTCTATATCAACATGGATAGGACTTAAATACTCAATATATATAGTGAAGAAACAGGATAATACCTGTGGCAGACATTTGTGGTTATTTTTGGTGGGGAGTACTCAGCCTCTAAACACTCTTCCTCTTTTAGGGGAACCCCTTTTTTCAACCAGAGAAAGAAAGCACACCAGAAATTTTAACAGAGAGAATTTAATTTAAAGAATTGTCAATTAGGTATTGGACAACTGAAAGCAAAAAGGAGCCACTAAGGACTACCACCCCTAAGGATGGATGAACCAAGGGAAAAGGTTGGAATCTTCAAAACGTAGAGGCTTGGAGGAGGAGCCCCATGGGGCATAAACTTGGACCTCTGAGGAGGATGAGGGCTGAATGCCTGGTACTGGAGTCTTTGAGCTCAGAGTGGGCATGATGAGCTGGTTCTGGGAGTGTTGGAAATATTGCAATCAGGAATTTACTGCTACCACAGGCATGAATCACCACTGCTGGGGTGAAAAAGCATTACTAAAGTAATGCTGACAGGCATAGGAAGTAAATAGGATGGAACATTGACCTTTCTTTCTTCCCCAGACTTTTAGGGTCCTCTATTGGCAGAGTCAATATAGGGAGCAAGTGATGAAGGAGAAATGAAGTTTACAGAAAAAGAGAGTCTCAGCCCTGACATCACAAAGGGATATACAGGAGCCTGCGCTTGAAGCAGCGATAAAATAGCTTCATAACTAGCACTCTCCTATTTTGTGAGTATTTTTGGGAGACAGTGTCTTGCTTCTGTAAGGGGCTCAGATACGCCCTCTCCCCGGCCTTTGCAGCTAGAGTGCAACCTAGGCCACCTGAATGGACTTTGAATCTTGAGAGAGTGATGCTAAAATTCAGGAAGAGTTGAAAAATTACTCGTGGTTGAAACAGCACATTGAGAGGCCAGAAGCGGGGGTGTCTAATGTGCAGGGAAGGTAGGAGCGATGGTGACACCTAAAACTGTTCCTGTGCTGTAACCTGGCTGTGCTTCCTGTTGTCCAGCTGTCTTTGCACTTGCTCATCTTATGAAACCATCTCCAGACTTTCCTTCTATCTGCTACTGACTCAATAACCAGTAAATCCTTTTTCTGCTCTCTTGCATCCAAGCACTCAAACTGAGAAAATATCATGCGTGCAAATGTTAACAGATAAGCACAAGCAAATATTATAAAACCTTAATTTTGTTAATAATCAACTTGTTAATTCTGGGTGATGGGGCTAGAGGAGTTTATGTTTTTCTTTGTACTTTTATAACTTTCTAAGTTTCAAAAACAAATTAAAATTTTAACACCTGTGTGAAAATTACTTTTAAAATTTCATAAAAGGCAAAAATTGGCTAAATACCCACCTCTATTTTCTTTTCCTTTTCTTATATTTTAAAAAGATGCCTCTAACCGTCAAATGTATCTGAAAATTAATTGGTAGATATAGAAAGTGAGGCCTCTATCTATGGTTTTTTTTTTCTAAATAATCAATTTTCCCAGCATCAAATTTCCCAGTCCCATTTACCAAGTAGTACTAACCTGAGTAATTTTTTAAAGTTGTGCTGCATTTCTGGTGCTGCATAGGTCTTGTGGTAATAGGTTTGGACAAGTTTAGTAATACCAGCCAGAGCTACACACCATTTCAAACCCTAAATTCCAACTATTGATTTGTTTCCATATTCTCCTACTACAGGTTGAGTTCTCCAAGAAGCAGGCTCTGAGACAGAGTTTAGTGGGAAGGATGTTTATGAAGTGTGCCCTTGAGGCCAACACCTGTGGAAGGGAGGAGAGGAAAGGGGAGAGAGAAGTCGGCCTGTGAAGCGGGCCCAGCTCAGGGCCCAGCTCCCATGAGAGAGGTGGGCTACTAAAACGGCCCATCAAAGTTGCCCTGTGTCAAGCCTAAATGGTCAGGCCTTCATACTCCTGCCTTTCCAGGGTCAAGGCTGCCCTGGGAAGGGTGTGCCTTAGGGCCCAGGAGTCTCTCTGCAGCTGAGGCATCTCCAGAGGAGCCCGCAGCTGGAGGCTGCCTGCTGACAGCATTTTCAGCAGCAGGTATGAGGAGCCCTCCACTGAAGGGGGCTCCAGCGATGAAGCTCCCATATTCACTGCATGCCTTAACATTCCAGAAATGTGCTCTGTGTGTCAGGCCTATGCTGGGGCATGTTCACATTTGTTATATCATACAATTCTCACAACACTCTGAGGTATGTATTGTGTTTTGCATTTTACGCGAGGAAACTTGGCTTGTGTTTGTTTTTCCCAATGAAAACCTAGCATGGGGCAATATTTCACAGGTGGCCAACTACTTGGAGCAGTCTTCCTGCTTATGTAGAGGAAGAGAGCCAACTCTTTATCAGGGAGTGTAGGAAATTTGGACTCGATGTTCCGCTTTTAACTTCCTCTTGTATCTTAGGGCCATCACTCTTCTCTCCTTACTGTCATTCCTGCTTTCATTTTAGTTTATAATTTTAAAAAGAGGTATAAGTTGAAACAAGACTAGTGAGAGCTATAAGGAATTCTCATTTCTCTTTTCCTGTTAAGATTTTGGCAATGGGGTAGGTTATCTTGCCCTGATAAATATAAGTAGGATTGTACCAAGAGAATTGATATCTTACTTCTCTGCTTCCATGCCCCAGAGTTGCTTCCCTGCCTTTCATTGAATTTCTCATTAGTCAGCAACTGATGTCCCAGCCACATGGCACATAGAGGTGACTCAATTCATTATCTGATGATCTGGAAAGTCAACACCGGCAGGGCAGTGCTCAAGTATCATTAAGAGAAGCAAATGGGTACCTATTAGAACTTTGGAAGACATTTCTGCTAGGGAAGTGGTGAACACAGCTTTCTCTTTGAGCAGTTTGACAGGGAGACTGAAGAAAGCCAGATATCAAGAGAAAACAAGTGGGAATGAGGCCAGCCCAAGGTCGCATGAAACAAGAGGAAGATGACAGGAGCAAACTTCAGGACTGGCTCTCACATCAATTTATGAGACTGAAGCCAGCATTTTGGGCCACGGTTTCTTTCTCTGCAAAACTTCCTCAAAGCTCTGTGTTTCTACAGCGTCACTTGAAAAGAGAGGCAGAGCCAATTTTTTTTTTAAAAACTACATGCAATCATAAAAAGAGGAAGTAGAGGGATTGATGAAGTGTTCCTATTACTTCGGTTCTTCAAATCATGTGAATCTGCTAAGACAGTCAAATTTGTTTCATATTAAGATTTGATGACCATTTCTACTGATGAGGGGAGGGAGGATTGTTCAGTATTTCAGAAAATGAAGACCTCAAGTCAGTTTTCTTTTGGTGAGTTTTATAAAGCTTAGCCTTGTGGTGGCCATCTTTATACTTGGAAAGGGTGAAACTGACATTTTCACAATGAAACTTCTGAAGAAGTTGGCCCATTATAGGGAGAATTCTATATTCCTGGATATAGCAGATTATGGCTCACATTTAATAAAAATACTTTGTTGGCACAAATAAAAAGACGACAGTATAGTAATTCAGATGAGCAAAGGCACAAGAGGTGGAATTAATTTTTTAAAAATACAAAGATGTGGACCTCACAGAGACTCTCTGCTATGACGATTGAAAGGAAATGGAGGCTTCTACTTTTTATTTAGTAAAAGTAATGTCAATGAGCTTATGGACGTTAGTGTGGTGCCCTAGCTTCAGATTCACTAGCTCCCAATTTGCTAGCTATGTGTCTTTGGGAAATCTACTGAACCTCTTTGAGCCTTGGTTTCTGCAGCTTCAAAATGAAGATAATATTAGTACCTAGCCTTCTGAGGATTAAAAGGGCCTGAACAGTGCCTGACACAAAATAGCAGTTCAAAAATAGAAGAATATAAATCTGAAATGAATGCCTTCATTCTTACAAAGCCATTCTGAAAATGATAGCAATTACAGGGCAGATAGAGATGCAAAATGAGGATGTCTGACGAATGTAACTAATGTCATCCACAAATTGAACTGTGCAGATTTTAGCACAGAGAAGAGAAGCCAAGACTTGAAATTCCACATTCTACTCATGATGCCATTTTATGCCGGAACTCCAAAGCTTCATTACTACTTCCTGTCATTTTAAATATTGCACTAATTACGACGGCCTCTAGGAATGAATTAACAAAATTTCCTAGATTTGTGAGTGTAGAAATCACCTTATTTTTACAAAGATTTTAAATGGTTACATTGTTGGCAGATACACAGACAACAGGATATTCACGTAATTGCCTCTTTTATCTTAGAAAAAAAGGTTAATCAAATGCCCTGTCTGATGAAGAGATAAAAAAAACAACCCTTACTGTTTGTGTTTCTTTTAAAAATGCTTTCCTGGCATTATCAGTTGGTTGATTCAAATGAGACCTTATCCTGTGGGCAATGAACCATATTCTTTCTGTCTAACTGAAGAAATAAAAATATATTCTTTTTTACCCCTTAGGGCCATTTTTGCTATTAAACTGTAGTATTCTATGCTCTACCTATTCTGAATTATCCAGAATGGAGAGTTTCTTTTGGCGCTTTCCTTTCTGCTTGTTGCTTAAGCAGTGTTTTTTGTTGTTGTTGTTGTTTTGTTTTGTTTTGTTTTTTGATGTATAAATATGTATGTGTGACTGCGTGTATGAATAAAATAGTATAATAACACTTCTCCTCAAATGAGTGCAGTGATACAGCAAACTGACCTTTCAAGAACTTAGTCAAGAACTAACAAATAAGTAAAACAGACCTCTTAGTAGCTAAACCAGATAACACTCAACCCTTGCACAAAAGCTGATTCACTTTATTATAGACGCTTTCTAGACCTTTTTTTGACAGAGTTTTGCTTTGTCGCCCAGGCTGGAGTGCAGTGGTGCAATCTCGGCTCACTTTAGCCTCTGCCTCCTGGGCTCAAGGGATTCTCCCGCCTCAGCCTCCCAAATAGTTGGGATTATAGGCACCCGCCACCATGCCCAGCTAATTTTTGTATTTTTAGTAGAGACGAGGTTTCACCATATTGGCCAGGCTGGTCTCGAACCCCTGACCTCAAGTAATCCACCCACCTTGGCCTCCCAAAGTGCTGGGATTACAGGCGTGAGCCACCACACCTGGCCCTAGACTCCTATTCAGAGCTTATTTATTTGTACTCAACACACATACAGTTCTTATCAACATTGTTATCTGCTTTCACTCCTATCCCCAACAGTTCACAACAGATTAGAAGCAGCAGTTTAGAAATGTTGTTTTGGGAGAGTATATCCACGGGGGGAGTCACTGCTGAGAGCTTATAGGAGGAGGGAGAAAGAAAAATTATAAAGCAGTCATAGAGATTCCAAAAGCACAGTCATCTAGCACCATTTGGTGTAGGGGCAAATAAACTCTGAGGGTATCAGTTTTCTACAGAAGAGAATAATCATTAGAATTCATAATTCCGTTCAAATCCCAGATCAATAAAGGTAAGATTATGCTTAGCTACAGAAAATTCAAGATGGCGTGTAATAAAATTTCAAAAGATTTCAATCCAAACTGATGAAAAGAAATAGAAACAGGTTTATTGAGGCATAATTTACCAGGTGTGTATTTGTAGGACTTTTGTACACTTTTTGTTCTGTAACCATAGTATGTAGTCCTTTGTCTGGCTTCTTTCATTAAGCATAATGCTTGAGATTCATCCATGTGAGCTGGTTAAAATTAAAAGAAGAAGTTTTGTGCTTAAACCTGGAAGACACATCACCTAAGATTTTCTGATAACTGAGATTTGCTCTACAGGTAATATAAAAATAGTGAGTTCTCTTAAAATAAATCCACACCATGGGAAAACAGGCAGCAGCGTTCACCTTTCTTATAGTAGCCTAAGTTTTTCCTTCTCCCCTGTTCTCCTTGTCAAACAAACACAACAGAAAACATATAAGCTCCCAGCATATTGTCTGGCATTCAGTAGGTGTTCAATACATAGTCATTCCTTTCCTTTTCCTTTTTCTTCTGTTTATATCTTGCTTTCCCTTTTTTCCACACCCTTTGATACTCTCCCTTCAGGCTGCTTTATAGGTCAGCTAATATGAGTAATTATGATAAGAGTTGCTCATTATTGCCCCAGTTTCCTTGACTACTAAGAAGTGCTGGGCAAATGTTAGTTTTTTACCAAGCCTCAGCGACTTAGTCACCTGTTGATGAGTTATCCAAAGAGAAACAGAGCTGACGGTCTTGGCCTTTCATACTATATTTATTTACACATATGTGTCACACCCATTTTGGGGTGCCAACCGAATTTCCTCTCCTTTGCAATTGCCCTTGCTGAAGGGAAGGGCACAGACAGCCATGTTTGTACTGTGTAACCCTTGGCCTCAGCTGATTGGGCTATAGACACCTGATTCAGGGCAGCCAATCATAAGGTGGGCTGGCTTAATCTCTCTTGATCATCTCTTTTGAGAACTGAAACAGAAGAACCCAGGTAGAGACTCCATGGAGGACTCTTGAATTGAAAATTCATCTAGAGCTGGCTTTCAAAAGTGAAAGCTGAAAGAAACTGAGGTCTGAATCATTCTTGCTGAGAGACCTTTGGGACCCATGAGAGACTCCAGAATTAGTCTTTTTCTGACTTGCTGGTGGCTGCCTCCTCATGGCCTGATAAGACTATGCTCCCTCCTTGGATGTCTGCCTGCACTATTGCCTGTTATGTCCCTACTGTCATCCTTTCCCTTTTACTCATGCAAATGTGAATTGGTTCCAGTTTACTGCAACCAAGCAATGTCTATTAGGACAATGGCCTTGCAGTTCAGACTCTTCTTTGCCTTTTTTTTTTTTTTTTTTTTTTTTTTTTTTTTTTTGAGACAAAGTCTGTCTCTGTCGCCCAGGCAGGAGTGTAGTGGTGCAATCTCTGCTCACTGTAACCTCTGCCTCCTGGGTTCAAGTGATTCTCCTGCCTCGGCCTCCTGAGTAGCTGGGACTACAGGTGTGCACCACCATGCCCAGCTAATTTTTGTAGAGACGGGGCCTACAAAATGTTGGCCAGGCTGGTCTCGAACTCCTGACCCCAAGTGATCCACCTGCCTCGGCTTCCCAAAGTGCTGGGATTACAGGCATGAGCCACTGCCAAGCCTCTTTTTTTTTTTTTTTTAATCTCTGATAGAAATGTATTTATATATAAAAGTCTTTATGAGACGCATACCTATTTCAAAATTGCAATTTAATGAGTGTATTAGTTTCTTATTGCTGCTGTAACAAATTACCACAAATCTCGTAGCTTAAAACAACATTAATTTATTGTCCTACAGTTTCAGAGGGCAGAAATCAAGTATCAGTGTCACTGAGCTAAAGTCAAGGTGTTGGCAGGGTAGAATTCCTTCCGGAGGCTTCAGGGGTGAATTCATTTCCTCAGCTCTAGATCACCAGAAATCATCTGCTTTCCTTGACTCATGATCCTTTCCTCACATCACTCTTAATTTCTTCCCTTCATTCAAACCTCTTGCCTCTGTTATCACAGATTCTACTGTCTCCTTTAACCTTCTTGCCTTCCTTTTATAAGGACCCTTGTGACTGCATTTAGGGCCCACTCAGGTAGTCCAGGATAACCTCTCCATTTCAAGATGCTTTGTTTAATGACATCTGCAAAATTCCTTTTGCTATACTGTGTAGGGTAACATTCACAGGTCCTGGGGACTAATTTGTGGATATTTTTAGGGGTTATTATTCAGCCTATTCCAGTAAGTTTTTTTATTAAGTGTTACAGGGTCAAACTATATCAGGAGGAAAGATGTATTACTGGGGTAAGTAGAGCTGAGTGAAAAATGGAGGAGGAATTAAGGGACAAGCAGCCAGAGGGCAGATGTGGAGTCTTACAGATTCTGAGTGCCAAAGGCTAGCAGGGGGGAAATAGAAGTATACTGAAAAGTTCTTACGTGTAAAGTAGTCTATTACTTGAAGATAGACCGTGGTAAGTTAAAGAGGTGTACTATTAACCCTAAAGCAAACAATAGAATAACAAATAACTTCAGCTAATAAGCAAACAAAAAAGATAGAACAGCATCATAAAAAAACCTCAATCCCAAAGAAGGCAGAAAGAGAGGAAAAAGGGAACAGAGAACAGATGAGACAAATAGAGGACAAATAGCAAGACAGTAGATTTATATACAGCCATATCAATAATATGATTGAGTATAAATGGTCTAAGTAACCTCAATTGAACTGCAGAAATTGTTAGATTAAATTTTTAAAAACTCAGCTATATCAGAAATATGAAGATGGTATGTCACTTGCATTTATCTGATTTTTTATTATTGTTTATTTTCAAATATGGTTAAGCATTCTAGATATACCTTGAAGTACATTTTGTACTGAAAATTTACTCATCAGGTGTAGTGTAGGTGTATATTTATTATTACAAGTTTGTAAAATCCGTTAATTTTAAATAAAATAATTATTAAGAATTCTAAAATAGTTTGCTGAGAATGATGGTTTCCGCACATGTACCCTCGAACTTAAAGCATAATAAAAAATAGAAAAAAAGAATTCTAAAATGGATGAAGAAATAAGTGTACAGATGATAGGATATTAAGAAAATGTGTTAGCTCAAAACTTCAGGGACTTCGTGATATTCTTTTTTAGTCAACAAATGTTTATGAAAATATAAATAATAGTATAAGGAGAAAGTCTAAACTTATATATAACAGCATTTATGATATGTTGCCCTCAATCCCTACATAATGAAAAATACAAGGAGCATAAAAATATGAGGAAATTGTGCTAGAAAAAAATGAATGACACAAAAATATCTTGCTCTTCTATCAGCTTCAAGCTGAAGGTGAGCGTTTATTGAATATCCCAAATTATTGTTCCTATATTATAATGGTGACTTTAAAACTTCGACTGCTAAAACTTTTAATTATAAAATTATAATTATAGTTAAATTTTGGATAAAAGTTGATTTATTCTTGTATCCCTGAAGTTTATTCTGTGATAGTGAGATTCAGTTTCAGACAAGTATCAATTTTAATACTCAGCCATTTAACATTCATCTAAAACAGGTATTCAGTGTGACTTTATGTGTGTCTATGTCCATATTCTGTTTATAAAACTAAACATTATCATAAAAATATGAAGTTCCCTAAGTCTCTAATATTCTTTTATAATGTGATTTTAAGTAAAATCAAATCATTAGACTATATCATAGTTTAAATTATTTTATTGTTGGCCAGTTAGTTGCTTTCCAGATTTCTGAGTATTTATAAATGTGCTGAATATCTTGTTCATATATCTTTGATCTTATCTCTGAATTTTTTCCTCTCCAGAAACCCTGGGCTACTTTCCATGCCTCTGTCTAATGTATAAGAGTGAAATTCTTATTTCAGGCCATTTTTTCTAAACCCTTGCCAACGCTGACTATTATTAGTTTTATAATTTCTGACAATTTGATAGGCAAAACTGGCATCTCATTATTAATTTATTTTACAGTCTCTTCGGTTACTTGGTCCAATTTCTTCTTTTGTGAAGTTTCTATTTGTGGCCTCTTCCTATTGTCCAATTGGTGTTAGTGTTTTTCATGTTTATTTATAAGGGTTCTCTGTTTATATAGTAAGGATATTAACATTTATTCATTAAAAATGAAAAATATCAGCTTAGAAAAGCCTTCTGTATTCTCATATGCTAGCTACTTTGATAGGCTTGGATGGAGTGGGTGGAGAGAGAATGCGAGGGTGTTTACTGGGAACATTATTAGTGGGGAGCATGTTACAGTGAGCGGAAATTCAGTTCACCCTCTATACACCTCCAGACTGATTTTCCTAAAAATAATACTGTCAACATGCCTTCTGCTCAAAATCTCCCCATTGTCTTCATCAGCCATCTACCAAAGCATAATTTTATCAGCCAGGCACCAACATTTCTCCATATTTGGGCCTCAAGTATTTATTTTCAAATTGTGTCCAACCCAACCCAATCCAACCCAGCTCTGTCTAGACTAGTCTAATGTGTTAGGTGTTGAGGATACAGAGATGACAAGGTCTCTATCTTCAAAGTGCTTGCAGACAAGGAGGGAGGGACAAATAAATAGATTTCTGACATAAACCTCCTGTTAGGAATACATAAAAGGCATTATTGGGAAAGAGGGGACAGACAGCCTGGCTGGAAGAGACGGGTCAGGAAATCTTACCAGAAAAGAGGATGGCTAACATGCATCTTGATGAATGGACAGTTTGTCAATCAGTCAAAGACAGGTCATGGTGGAGGGGGAATAGTTTAAGAAGAGGGAAGATCAGGTGAGACTCAGTTCAGGTCAAGTGGAGGGATATGGGAGAAGTGGTCAAAGATGAGGTGGTGGGCAGGGTTCAGAGAGACTACTGCATCAAGGGGGTTGCGTTTTAACCTCAGAGTAGTGGAGAGTAATTGAAGAGTTATGAACAGAAGACTGTCTGATCAGGGTTATGCTTTAGACAAATCACCCTGGCTGCACTCTGGAGAATGAATCAGAGGGGAAATACTTAGAGGGACTATAGGTCTGGGTTGGCCTGAGGCAGTTTTGATTTACACCTGTTGTCCTGGGATTCTGCCCAGTTTAGCATTTGCTGTAGGTTTTTCATTTTTAAATCAAGTATTTTTATTAATAAGCATTAAAACAAGTTGGGGCAAATTTGGTAAACCTCCATTTAGTACTTTCGTTTTCTGTCATAGTCTTATCTAGTATTGAGATGAATATTCACTGAGCAGACGTCTTTATCATGCAGTTAAATCTGGAATAAAACCAATGAGCCTGCCTCTCTTCTCCCTGCCCTTTCCAGATGCAAGGTGGTTAATATCTGCCTCTCAATGAAGGGGAACATGCAGGTTGTTCCCTGATAAGACCAAGTGGTTCTGACATTAGCAGCAGGGGTGATCAAAGTCCTTCTGGTCTCTGGTGGTGATGGGAGAAATATTTGAAGCCACTGTTCCTGCCAGCCTCTTTGTCTACCAGCCAGTTGCTGTGACTCATGCTGCAGCCTGAGACATATGTGAATCTGCCTAGGCTACCTCTTGGCAGTGTCAGTGAGAAACATGGAACAACATAGGTTAGATGTATGTGAGGTATATGCAGGAAAGAAAGGCTGAGCAATTATGCTATGGAGGATAGAAAGAGTCATCTCAATGCTTTTCCCACAGGGGTTTTATCATTTATTGTACAACACGAACCTATATCTATTTACTTATTTATTGTATTGTTAGCTAATGCTTATTTTTTTGTTTTTGCAATAAATCCTTTTGGCAGCAATGAACTCAAGGCAATGTTAAGCAAAAAATGAAATACTGAATTCTCACCTCTCAAGAACGTTGATGTTGAGGGTGTAATCTGCACAAAGTGTTTGTGGACATTTATCACCTGTCATGGAGGCCATAGAAATGTCACTGACCTCATGGAAAACAGAAGGCACAAAGCTGCTGAAGAAGCATTATTATCTGCTTCAAAAGTAGTTGTCACCATGAGAAGACTGCCTGGAGATGGTGATTTACCACATGCAGCTGCAGATGGTGTGTTCTGGCTGCCCCTGGCATTTGTGGGCCTGGGGCAAGAGGACAAATGAAAGCCTACATTCCATTAGGTTTAAATATTTACAAGTTATAAATCAAGCAAGCAAGCTGTTAAATAAAATATGCTGTATACTCCTATCTTAACAAAAACACCTTCATTATGACAAAAATTTTTAAAAATATGTAAAGCTATGGTTTTTATATGCAGTTGGCAAAAACTGAAAGATGACTGAACTTAAATATTGAACACATCTGAGTGTTGTCTTGATGGCTTGGCAAAGTTTAGAAGAGTAATACAAGTAAACTAATATGTAATTCATAAATTAATATATATTTATCCCATAAAATTTAGTGTTCTTTCCTTCATTTCAGCAAAATCATTAATATTTTTATATTCAAGATTTTCATATAATTTGCATTCTATTGATAGTAAAAATCTAAAGGATTAAAAACTAAAATCTAATTACATTCAAAAGTATAAAATTTGAATTCATGTTCATCCAAATGTGTAAATTAAAGTTAATTTAAAATATTAAAAAAAGTGACTTTTCATGTTCTTAAAAATATTTTTCTTAGAAAATATTACAAATTATCAATTAAAATAAAAGGTAACATGCAAGTTATAATGCATATCATGAAATTTTAAAATCAAAATTAAATAAAGGTGAAATTTTTTATTCAATCTTTGAAATTGAAATTAAAATCCAACTATATTAAGGAATTTTATAAAAATAAAACCATTCAAAATTCTGAGGTTCAGTGTCTGTCTAGTTGTCAGTTTAAAGAACCTGAAGCATGCTTCATCCATGTTACAGCTGGATTTATATATACTTGTACATAAATATATAAAACTAAATAAATGTATGTATATGTGGACACATACATTTAAGAATAATATGAACTGTTTAATATTGGAAAATATTACAAAGAGGAACTAAATCATTAGTATCTCTGGAATCAAGAAGTGCAACGAAAAGAAAAGCAAGGTGCTCAGCAATAATGGAAAATGATGCTTGGTCGTGAGTAAATCCATGGCATTCTCTCTATCTGTGGGGAAACACATTTGACAAGTTAATTAATTTCCTTTTTCTCTTATATAAGTGTCTCCACTGCTCACCTCCTCCTTGCACTCTAAAACTGTTTCTGTCTCTGATTTCAGTAACAGCATTTGGACGCAGTTGCTTTTTCTTTCTAGAACACTGGGAAGGAGTTGTGGAAAAAAGATTTCCGAGCTTTGAAAAGTATGTCTTGAGTGTGGACGTTTAGGGTGTTGGTTCGCAGTCTACCAGCACTGAATTTGGGATCTTCAGTGACAGAACTGCCCATCAGTTTTTAAATGTACTTATTTTTTGATGTGTGTCTGTGATATGCAAGCCTCCCTAGAGTTCGGGACCCAGCAGGGGTCCTCCTTGTCCTTGTCTAAGGGTATGTACAAATCACTTCATGCAGCATATATTTTCATTGAGCTCTACTGGCTGAACTTTATTTCAGGTTTTTCTTGTGCACAAGAAAAAGCTCATCATCACTGGTCATTAGAGAAATGCAAATCAAAACCACAGTGAGCTACCATCTCACGCCAATTAGAATGGCAATCATTAAAAAGTCAGGAAACATGCTGGAGAGGTTGTAGAGAAATAGGAATGGTTTTACACTGTTGGTGGGAGTGTAAATTAGTTCAACCATTGTGGAATACAGTGTGGTGATTCCTCAAGGATCTAGAACTAGAAATACCATTTGACCCAGCAATCCTATTACTGGGTATATACCCAAAGGATTATAAATCATTCTATTATAAAGACACATGCACGTGTATGTTTATTGCAGCACTGTTTACAATAGCAAAGACTTGAAACCAACCCAAATGCCCATCAATGATAGACTGGATAAAGAAAATGTGGCACATATACACCATGGAATACTATGCAGCCATAAAAAAGGATGAGTTCATGTCCTTTGCAGGGACATGGATGAAGCTGGAAACCATCATTCTCAGCAAACTAACACAGGAACAGAAAACCAGACACCACATGTTCTCACTCATAAGTGGGAGTTGAACAATGAGAACACATGGACACAGAAAGGGGAACATCACACACTGGGGCCTGTCGGGGGGTGGGGGAAAAGGGGAGGGATAGCATTAGGAGAAATACCTAATGTAGATTATGGGTTGATGGGTGCAGCAAACCACCATGGCACATGTATACCTATGTAACAAACCTGCACGTTCTGCACATGTATCCCAGAACTTAAAGTATACAAAGACAAAAAAAAAAAAAAAAAAAAGCCAAGCAATAGCTGTCAATGTGTTAGCTCCATCTGAAGATGAAGTTTACAGATAAATGACACCAGTTTTCTATTCGTGTCTTCAGATGCTTCGAAGAAAAAAGAATCAGTTCATTCCAATTATAATTCGATATTTTCAGCCAACTCATGGATCTAAAACAAGCTTTTGGAGGTTCATTCTATCAAAGGTGAAACATCTGTTATTATTGTAAACGCTATAGTAAATTCATATTAAAAGTTCAACATTTGGGCCAGGCGTGGTGGCTCACACTTGTAATCCCAACACTCTGGGAGGCCAAGGTGGGCAGATCACCTGAGGTCAGGAGTTCAAGACCAGCCTGGCCAACATGGTGAAACCCTGTCTCTACTAAAAATACAAAATTAGCTGGGTGTGGTGGCACGCACCTGTAATCCCAGCTACTCTGGAGGCTGAGGCAGGAGAATCACTGGAACCTGGGAGGCGGAGGTTGCAGTGAGCCGAGTTTGTGCCATTGTACTCCAGCCTGGGCAAAAAGAGTGAAACTCTGTCTCCAAAAAAAAAAAAAAAAAAAAAAAAAAAAGAACTAAAAAACCAAAAACCAGAACAAAACAAAAAGTTCAACATTTGAAGATAAAATTATTTGTTTTGGGGATGACGGTTAAAACACAAATTTTGGTGCAGCACAACATCATGATGAAAACAATGTTCTTACTAAAATTTAAAAATCTATGGAAGTGAACTATACTTGGAATTAGTCATGGTGCATACATAATTCATAATTACGTACAAACAAGCTGCAATATTATACCAATCAAAATAGAAGCTGTAGTTGTCAAAATTTACAAATATTTCTATTTATACAATGTTAGAGTAACTGAAATACAAAAATTTTATGACAAAACTGATGTTGAATTAAAAATACTTAGCATGACAGTACGTGCGTCATCGAGCGGATTTTAGAAATGTTTTGCCTTTGAAGAACTACTTTGCAAATCAATCTAAGTGTCCTACATTGGCATTGAACAGTTTTATGAGTCCTCTAAATCTTATTTCATTGTTGTCTCAAAGCCATTTGGAAATGTTTAATCAAAGTATTCAAAGAAAGCTCACATTTGAAGATTTTAGAAAAGTAAAATCATTGAGAACAAAGCTTTCAAATGAAAGACATTGAGATTTATCCCTTCAAAACAAGAGGGAAACTAAATAAATTAAATAACGAGAGTTCAAATGATTTATAAGATTTAGTTTCACAATTCTGTAATTGAATGTTAGAATATCTTAACTCTGAAGTGGCTTTTGATGAAGCTGCTATTTTTAATTGGAAAAATTTATAGTTTGTACCAAAACAAATTGAAATTGAGCAGCCTCTGAGTTGGGCAAAGCAGTAAAAAGATCATAGGGATAATTTATTTAATCAGTTTTGTCTCATAAAAATACTTGTCAAAGAAAGGTATTCCAAATGGAGTAAAAAAGACACTACCTAAGAAAATATTTGGGCTTATATATTTATATATCAATAAAAAATAACTTGAGAATATCTTCCAGATATTCCACTTTATACCCACTAGGATGGCTATAATAAAAAACAAACGAGCAAACGAAAACTGAAAAGTAAGCGTTGGCAAGGATGTGTAGAAATTGGAACCCTCATACACTGGTGGTGGGAATGTAAAATGGTGCAGCCCCTATGAAAAGTAGTTTGGCAGCTCCTCAAAAAGTTAAACATAGAGTTACCATTTGACCTATCAGTTGCACTCCTAGGTATATACCCAAGAGAATTGAAAACATGTGTTCACGTAAAAACTTGTACATGAATGCTCATAGCAGCATTATTCATAATAGCCAAAATGTGAAACAACCCTTATGTCCATCAACTGATGAATGGATAACCAAATGTGGTCTTTCCACAGAATGAAATATTATTCAGAGATGTATATGGTGAAGAAACCAATTAAAGTATGTCAGTATGTATATGTCAATATGTACCGAGAACGATTTCTGCTTGTGTGTGTTTAATGGTCACAGAATAAATATAGCTTAAGAGTTTTTGGTTTAATATGCATAGATATACATAACTTTTATTATTAGAAATAATTTCACTTAAAAATAGTTTCTGAATAGAACTATTTTATAGTTTTATTCTATTGCAATATAATAATGCCAATTTATTGATCAAGTAAACATTTCTAAAATTACATATTTTTAATTCTTTTTGGTTATCCTTTTTACTGAACTGTCCCAATAAATTATCACACTATGGATGTTGGAAGTACTAAGACCAGTTAGGAGGTTACTGCCTCCAGGTAAGAAATGAGGATGGCTTGAACTAAGGCAGAAGCTGTGGGGATAGATAGAATTGGATAGGTCTGGAGATATTTAGGAGGTAGAAGTGACAGGATTTGGTGGCTGGTTGGAAACTGAAGTTGAAGGAAAGGAAAGTGTAGAATGATCCTCCAATTTTTGGTTTGGGTAGATGGTGGTATTATTTACTTTGGGAATACAAAAGGAGGAGCAGGTTTAGTGGGAGAATTCAGTTTTGGACATGTGGAATTTACGATACTTGCTTAAAACTCTTCAATGATTTCCTAATGACTTTCCATTATCCTTAGAATTAAGATAGAAATCCTTGAAATCCTAAAAAACTGGCATATAAACAGACTTGGAAGCAATTCGTTCTCAAGATGGGGAAAAGAGCTGGGAACAAGGCAGTATTTAGTGGTTAGGAGATAATAACACAAGGCTGAGATGTGGTCACAGAGGAGGCAAAAGATAAGAATGTGGTGCTGGGATTGGCTAGGAATGTAGGACCGGCAGAAAGGGTTCATTCAAGTTGGCAAGCAAGTGACTTAGTGTTACTTTAGGATGGTTTGTAGAGCAACCTTCGGAGCTAAGTGGAACAGGGAATCATGCTGAGTAGGGATTCCTGATACACGTGCACTCCCCCCACCCACGCCATGCTGAAAACCAGGGCTGGTACTAGGGTGAGGCAAGAGAGCTGCCAAGGCACAAAATTTAAAGTGGCACTCACTTTCAGGTGTGGACAAGTACACCTGAGACCCCGAGAGTGAGTGCCTCCTTAAATTTTGTACCCTAGGTGCTTATCTTGCCTCACTCTAGTCCAGGTTCTACTGAAAACACTTTTTCTATACCTTAACATGAATTATCAAATCTAGCCGAACGTCATGGTCCCCTAGGGAATTATTCTTAGTGTTTTTTTTTTTTAAATGCAGATTTCTATATCCCCACTTCAAATATACTGAATTAGAATCTCCGAGGGTAGAATTCATCAATCTGCATTTTTAAAAATGACTTAGGTGATTATTATACACGAGGTCTATAGGATCCACTGGTCTTTAGCACTTCCTTCATGCATCTGACCTCACATATTAACAGTAAGATCCTGGTGGGTAATTGGGTTGGGGATACTAATAGTACACACTCCTTGGTCATATGCATTGTGAACCAACTGAGAAATAGATGCAGGATCCATGTGGCAATTAAATAATAGCATCATTGGCCAAAGAAGAAACTGCAAGGGAAATTAGAAAATACTTGGAATTGAATGTATCAAAAATTGTGGGATGCTTGTAACACAGTGCCTAGAGGAAAATCTATAGCATTGAATGCTTACATTAGAAATTTTAAAAAGATTGTCAAATCAATGGGTCAAATTTCTACCTTAAGAAACTAGTAAAAGAAGAGCAAATTAAATCCAAAGCAAGGAGGATGAAGGAAATAATAAAAATAAGAGTGATTTCAGCATTTTGGGAGGCCAAAGTGGGAGGATTGCTTGAGGCCAGGAGTTTGAGACCAGCCTAGGCAGACCCCATCTCTACAAAAAAAAAAAAAAAAAAAAAAAATTAGCTGGGCATGGTGGCACACACCATGCTACTCAAGAGGCTGAGGAGGGAGAATCACTTGAGCTCAGGAGGTCGAGGCTATAGTGAGCTATGATCACACCACTGCACTCTAGCCTGGGCAACAGAGTGAGATCCTGTCTCAAAATAATAATAATAATAGCAGAAATCAATGAAATAGAAAACAGAAAAAAATAGAGAAAATCAATGAAACTAAAAGTTGGCTTGAAAAGATCAATAAAATTTATAAACTTCTAGCCAGACTGATCAAGAAAAACAGAGAAGATACAAATTACTAATATCAGGAATTAAAGAAAGGACATCACTAAAGATCACATAGACATTAAAGGGACAATAAAAGAATACAGTTGGCCCTCTGTATCCATGAATTCTGCATCCACAGACTCAACCAACTGTGGGTATAAAATATAGTAATCACCGAATGCAGAATTCGTGGACGCCAAAGTCAGACTTTTCATATGTAAGAGTTCCACAGGGCCAATTGGGGGACTTGAGCATCTGAGTATTTTCATATTGGGGGTGGGGGTCCTGGAACCAATCCAATTACAAGTGAGAATATGTAGTGTTTGGTTTTTTTTTCCTGTGTTGCTAAGGATAATGGCCTCCAGCTCCATCCATGTTCCCACAAAAGACATGATCTCATTGTTTTTAAATGACTGCATGGTATTCCATGGTGTATAGGTGCCACAAGACTGTTTTGCGGACAGCCTTAGGCCAATACATTTTATAAACTAGATAAAAAATTTTGAAAGGCACAAATTATCAAAAGCTCACTCAAGAAGAAATGAATATTAGGATCACCTTAAAGCTATTAAATAAATTGCTTTCACAGTGTAAAACCTCCCTCTCCCCCACCCAAAAAAACTTTATTGGTGACTTCTACTAAACACTTAAGGAAACAATAATACCATTGCTATACAACCTCTTCCATCAAATAGGAGTAAAATTTTCTCAATTTACTTTATGAGGTCAGCATTACCCTGTTACTGAAACCACACAAAGACATAAGAAGAAAAGAAATCTGTAGCCTAATATCCCTCATGAACACAGTTGCAAAAATTCTGAACAAAATGTTAGCATATCAGGCTGGGCATGGTGGCTCACACCTGTAATCCCAGCACTTTGGGAGGCCAAGGCAGGCAGATCACCTGAGTTTGAGACCAGCCTGGCTAACACGGTGAAACCCTGTCTCTACTAAAAATACAAAAAATTAGCCGGGCGTGGTGGCGGGCGCCTGTAGTCCCAGCTACTCGGGAGGCTGAGGCAGGAGAATGGCGTGAACCCGGGAGGCTGAGCTTGCAGTGAGCCGAGATCGCGCCACTGCACTCCAGCCTGGGCGACAGAACGAGACTCTGTCTCAAAACAAACAAACAAACAAACAAACAAACAAACAAGTAGCCGGGTGTGGCAGCAGGCACCTGTAATCCAAGCTACTCAGGAGGCTGAGGCAGGAGAATTGCTTGACCCGGGAGGCAGAGGTTGCAGTGAGCCAAGATAGTGCCACTGCACTCCAGCCTGGGCAACAGAGCGAGGGTCCGTCTCAAAACAAACAAACAAACAAATAAACAAAATGTTAGCATATCAAATCCAGCAACCTATGAAAATACTACACCTCAAAGAAGTGGGGTTTATTTCAGGAATGCAAGGTTGTTTCAATCAATAAAATTTGCCATATTAACAGATTAAGAAGAAAAATATTATTTTGATTGTTGCAAATTTTTTTTGACAAAATTCAACACTCATTTTTTGTAAAAACTCTCAGAGCACTAGGAATAGAAGGGAATTTCCTCAACCTGGTAAGGGGCATCTCTGACAAATCTACAGTTAAATTTAGTGGCGAAAGGCTATGCTTCCTCCCTTGGATCAAGAACGATACAAGTATATTGTGTCGGCCATTTCTATTCAACATTGTACTGAAGGTCCTAGCTAGTATAAGAAGGCAAGAAAAAAGAAATAAAGGCATACAGATTGGAAAGGAAGAAATAAAACTGTTTTTGTGAACAGACAAAATGATTGTCTAGGTAGAAAATTTAAAAGAATCTACCAAAAAGCTACTAAAACTCATAAGTGAGTTTAGCAAGATTGCATGATACAATATCAAAATACACTATCCTAGCAATGAATATATATATATATATTTTTTTGTTTGTTTTTTTTTTTTTTTTTTGAGACAGAGTTTCACTCTTGTTGCCCAGGCTGGAGTGCAATGGCGTGATCTCGGCTCACTGCAACCTCTGTCTCCTGGGTTCAAGTGATTCTCCTGCCTCAGCCTCCCGAGTAGCTGGGATTACAGGCATGTGCCACCATGCCTGGCTAATTTTGTATTTTCAGTAGAGACGGGGTTTCTCCATGTTGGTCAGCCTGGTCTCGAACTCCCAACCTCAGGTGATCCACCTGCCTCGGCCTCCTGAAGTGCTGGGATTACAAGCATGAGCCACTGCACCTGGCCAAATATTTTTTTAAAAAACGTTTATTTTAGGTTCAGGGCTACATGTGCAGGTTTGTTATATAGGTAAACTTGTGTCATGGGGGTTTGTTGCACAGAATATTTCATCAACCAGGTACTAAGCCTAGTAGCCATTCATTATTTTTTCTGCTCCTCTCCCTCCTCTTACCCTCTACCCTTCTTCGCCAAGTAGGCCCCAGTGTGCATTCTTCTCCTCTATGTGTCCATGTGTTCTCACAATTTAGCTCCCACTTACAAGTGAGAACGTGTGGTATTCGGTTTTCTGTTCCTGTGTTAGTTTGCTAAGGATGATGGCCTCCAGCTCCATCCATGTTCCCGCAGAAGACATGATCTCATTCTTTTTTAATGACTGTATAGTATTCCATGGTGTATAGGTACCATATTTTCTTTATCCAGTCTATTATTGATGGGCATTTAGGTTGATTCCATGTCTTTGCTATTGTGAATAGTGCCACAGTGAACATATGTGTGCATGTGTCTTTATGTAGAACAATTTATATTATTTTGGGTATACACCTGGTAATGGGGTTGCTGGGTCAAATGGTAGTTCTGTTTTTAGCCCTTTGAGGAATTGCCACACTGCTTTCCAGAATGGTTGAGCTAATTTACACTCCCACCAGCAGTGTATAAGTGATCCCTTTTCTCTGCAGCCTCACCAGCATCTGTTATCTTTTGACTTTTTAATAATAGTCTTTCTGACTGGTGTGAGATGGTATTTCATTGTGATTTTGATTTGCATTTTTCTTTTCTTTTTTTTTTTTTTTTTTGAGACGAAGTCTCGCTCTGTCACCCTGGCTGGAGTGCAGTGGCGCGATCTCAGCTCACTGCAAGCTCTGCCTCCCGGGTTCACGCCATTCTCCTGCCTCAGCCTCCAGAGTAGCTGGGACTACAGGCGCCCACCACTGCGTCCGGCTAATTTTTTGTATATATATATATTTTTTTAGTAGAGACGTGGTTTCACAGTGGTCTCGATCTCCTGACTTCGTGATCTGCCCGCCTCGGCCTCCCAAAGTGCTGGGATTACAGGCGTGAGCCACCGTGCCCAGCCTGATTTGCATTTTTCTAACGATCAGTGACGTTGAGCTTTTTTTTCATGTTTGTCGGCTGCATGTATGTCTTCTTTTGAGAAGTGTCTGTTTATGTCCTTTGCCTGCTTTTTAACGAGGTTGTGTGCTTTTTTCTTGTAAATTTGTTTAAGTTCCTTATAGATGCTGGATATTAGACTTTTGTCAGATGCATAATTTGCAAAAATTTTCTCCCATTCTGTAGGTTGTCTGTTTATTCTGTTGATAGTTTCCCTTGCCATGCAGAAGCTCTTTAGTTTAATTAGGTCCTAACAATAAAAAATTGGAAATTGAAATAAACAATATCATTTACAATATTGTCAAAAACGTGAAATATTTAGGTATAAATGTAACAAAATATGTGCAAGATTTTAATGCTGAACATTAGAAAACATTGCTGAGAAAAGCTAAAGACCTAAATAAATGGAGTGATATAGCACATTTATGGATTGGAAGACTCAATATTAAGATGCCAATTCCCTCTGATCTATAGATTTAATGCAATCCCAATAAAAATCCCTGCAGAGTGGTGGAAGTTTGGAAGTTTGGAAGTTGATTCAAAAATTTGTATTCATGTGCAAAAATACAGCATCAGCTTTGTTAGATAAAATAATGCCGGAAAACATTTATTGAATGTTTACTGTGTGCCAGGTATTGCTTCACATACTTTGAGTGTATTGAGAAATCTAGTTTTCACAACAATCCTCTGAGGAAAGAAAACAGTCTTATCCCAGTTTATTGATATACAAACAGAGCACACAGAGTGAGAGTAACTTGTTTGAGTTTATCAGCTTTTGGTTTGGAGAGTTTGCCATTGAACCCAGGCAATTGGAATCCAGAGTTCAGCCTTTTAATTACCTGTAATCACCAGTTTCTGTATCAACTAGCTATTGTTGCAACCAACCACAAAAATCTCAGTGGCAAATGATAATAAGCTTTAAGTTTCCACATGTCTGCAGGTTGGTGGGGGCAGCTTTACTGATTTCAGCTAGACTCAGCTGGGTAGCTCCAACTGTAGGGTGAGTTGAGGGTTTCTTCATATGTCTCTCATCCTTCTTGAATTATTGGCTTAATCATGGTCTGTTCTTCTCATGGCGATAAAAGAAGCAAGAAAGAGGGACTCCCATCAGAACTAAGGCCCACATCAATCTGTCTCCTATTTTGGGCTTTAATTGCCCAAGTCAAGGGAGGGAAAAGTAGAAAACGGAAGGTCTCTTTTGCAAGGCAAGGAAGTCCCGCCCTGATGTGCTCATAATGGGGAAAAGAATGCAAGGCCTAGGAGCTCCTTCCATAGGCCGGCTGGATCAAGAAAGTCAGATGAAGAGGGGGGGCATTTCTGCTCACTGACATTTTTGCCACCTGAGGAAAGATGAATGGATGTCAGACTTCTGTCTGTATTCATGAAATGTCTCATGGAGGAGGGGAGTGTGGGGTGAAAGCTTCTGTCTACCCCTTCTACCGCTTCTGAGGAAGTGTTAGGAGAAGTTACTATGTAAGGGCCAAGGAGGCACAGAAAGAGAATAACCTTTTCTCGTATAGAAGGCAAGGACTGGGTTCTTTACATCTTAGTATCCCTCTTCTGACATGGAAGTTTCCTAAGAAGTGTAGTCGAACAATAAGTGAAATTCGCATTTTCCATTCTTGAAGAAGAACCTCCAAAATTTCCCTCTCTGAAACCTTACTTCCTGGGGGTTCCACTTGGCCTGGCAACAGAAACCGTGTTTGCTTTCTGAAGAGTATTTTGGCCATCTGTTTTGGTTGCCCTGAGTTACTCCAATATAGCCGCGAAGAAGCTTGTCCTGCTGAGGTTTATCACTGATTGCAAAACTAACCCTGGCTAGCAAAACTGGCAAATTCTGCTTAGTGAGTGTGTGTTTTTGTTGTGTGTATGATGTGTGTGTGTGTGTGTGTGTGTGTGTGTGTGTGTGTGTGTGTGTTTTGAGCAGAGTTTCCATAGAAAAAAAGAAAGGCAAGATGTTGCCCAGCTGTATTGTCCTGGCAGGACTTCTTCACATAATTCTCCTGGAAGTTTCTGCAATGTTTCTTTCCCTTCCTGTCTCCCTGTTTCTATAGAACTGTGAAGATTTACTGAGTCTCTCCAGCTGTAGCCTAAATTCCTCACTGAGACAGTTTCAGACTGCCTATTCTGAGGTGGGAAGGTGTAGGATGGGAGGTGGGGAGGCTTGTGCCCTTATTATATAAACTGATCATTATTGGAAGAAAAAAAGCTGAATCCCTCAGAAATGTTAAGACGTCTGCTTTGACCACACCCTCAGAAGCTAGCACTATTGCTCTGGGTTAAGGGCAATAGCATTTCTTGTAAGCCAGTTTTTAACCTCTTTTGAACCCTCAGCGGCACAGAATTTCAGGGCTTGACTACAGTGGATTCTATCTGAAATGGCCTTCAAGAATTGTTCCACAGAAATACATGGACAGAAATAGGTGTTCTTTGGTCAAATTCAGTGTGGGGAATTTTCAGTCTATATGACTCTTCCAAAAAAATAGTCCAGAAATATGTAAAATGATTTGAATTGTTCCCATTTAGTTCAAATTCTACTACTCTGTGAGCTCCTTAAGATCAAGAAATGTGCCTTGTGGTAATTCAGCACTTAACAGACACCTGGCAGAGATAATAAATGTGAGTGAATGAATGCATGAAATAATGAAATATCACATCCTCAATAAAGTTTTTTCCTCCCTGAAATAACTAGCATTTCTGGGAATTTTGTCATTAAAAAAGTTCCGCTTCAATTGCCAACTACTATATCATTTATAAAATTATTACTGCACAGAAATTATCTATTTCTGTGTAACAAACTACCCCCAAATTTAGTAGCTTCAAAATAATAACCATTTATTATTTCTCATGATTTTCAGGGTTGACTGGACTCAGCTGAGTAATTCTTCTGCTTCATGTGATATTGACTGGGCTGTAATCAACTAGGGGCTTGACCGGGCTGGGCATCACAATGGCTCACTAACATGGCAGATGGCTTCCAAAAGGGAGTGTCTTAAGTGTGACTATTTGAAGAGAGAGGAAACAAAAGTGGAAGCTGCCCAGTCCTCTTACAGGGTAGGCAAAGAATTGGCTCAGTACTATTTCTGCTGCCTTCTGTTGGTAAGCAGCCACGGAGCCATCCCTGATTCAAGGGGAGGGGAAATAAACTCCACCTTTTGAGGGGAGAGTGACAAATAATTTCTAGCCATCTTTAATTCACCCTATTGTCTATGTAATAATTGACATGGAGAATAAAACAATGGTAAGAGGCGAGAGTAAAGTAGGATGAGTGAAAAGATTGCATCAGGGGAGCGAACTAGTTAATTAGATTGGATGTTGGTAAACAATTAATCTGAATTAATTGAAAGCCGAGCCTGACATGAATATTGTAAAAGAGATTGCTGAAAAATCAATAAACATCTTTGAAGAATTATGGAAAGCAGGGATGTCCCAGAAATCTGGAGACAGGTAAATGTCATTGCCATTTTCAAAAATGTAAAGAAAGTGGAATCACTGCAAAATTTGATTTTGATTCCAAGCAAGATGCTAAAAGATATTATTAGAATGACTAGGTTCAGCTGGATGTGTTAGAAATCAAAATAACAAAAACATAAAATATGGAAGATTATTTTTCTCTCTGTGTAAATAAAACATAGATCACAAGGCTGATATGGTGGCTTCACGAAGTCATTGAGGACTCATGTTCTTTTTAGCTCATTATTCCACCAGCCCTATTTCTCACGGTCCAAAGTGATGGCTAGAGTTCCAATGAATGCATCTACATTCCAGAATTTTTTTTAAAAGTGGAGAAGGGGAAATCATCCATCTAATCTTTTAAAGAGGTTTTCTGGATGCTGCCGTACAACCTCTGCTTATATCTCATTGACTAAACCTTAATTTTGGGTGGCCATGTGCTACCCTAAGAGTTGGAAGTTTTATTACAGAGAAGGGCAGGATGGATTTTAGGGTAGGCAACTAATAGTATCTGCTCCAGATGCTTTGTCCCTTCTGGTAGAATCCAGCATGCATTTTCTAAGAAATCATGGCAGAAATGCTAAGCTTTTAAGGCTGGAAATGTAGTTCCCCCTCCTCTCTGGGTTTTAGTAAATGGCATATGAAAGTGCATTGTGTATCAGACCATCTTATCCTCCTCTTCAGATTCTCTCAGCCTCATTTGTCTCCTGGACCCTCTGTTATTTGTGTTGCCATGGCAATCGTCTCTGTATAGGCCTAAGTGGTCTTTTTCTTGAGCCTGGAGCCCAGACTCTTGGCTCCTCTCACCATATCCCAACTCAAATACAACCCCAGGGTGTGGGATCTGGTATTCCCAGTGACTGTCAGAGAACTCAGGTGATGCAACAGGAAAGTGCAGGTGAGTTAAGTCCACATGGGGTGAACTTTGACCTATGGGAAACAGCAGACAGGGGTTAATCAGCAGATACATTCCCTCTCCCTACCTCCCTTCCATGGACTATTCTGAGACACCAAGGTTGTGTTGTTTTGTTTCCTTCCTTCTTCCTTTCCTTTCCTTTCCTTACCTTTCCTTTCTTTTTTTTTTTGCAGGTCGCCTGTCCAGAGGTATCTTGCATGGCTAAGTGACTGGCTGCGTCTCTTTGAGAAGCAGTGTTAGCTCAGGAATGCATCATCTTTACATTTGCTTTTCATCTTTCTCTGCCTGACTTCCCTGTTCCTTCACTGTCCTTGTCCTAGGATTGCACATCTTGATAGTCTTAGCACTTAAGCCTTGACTCAGGCTCTATTTTATTATATTTATTTATTTATTTATTTTGAGACAGAGTTTCGCACTTGTTGCCCAGACAGGAATGCAATGGTGTGATCTTTGCTCACTGCAACCTCTGCCTCCTGGGTTCAAGCGATTCTCCTGCCTTAGCCTCCCAACTAGCTGGGATTGCAGGCGTGAGCCACCACGTCTGGCTAATTTTATATTTTTATAGAGATAGGGTTTCACTATGTTGGTCAGGCTGGTCTCGAACTCCTGAAGCGGATCATTAGAGACTCTGCCCGCTTCCTGAAGACAAAAGGGTAAGGAGTGTTCCTCTAGGAAGAGATAATCTCATTTCTTACTTTGAAATGGTAACTACAATTTTAAAAATAATCAGAGATAGATGTTAGAAACAGTGTATTTAGAATTCAACGAGACAAGTGACAAGGCCTCTCACGATATCCTCAGACCAGGGTTTGTCATCCTTGGCACTATGGATACTTTGGGCAGGATAATTCTCTATGGTGGGAAGCCATCCTGTACACTGTAGAATGTTGAGCAGCAGTCCTGGCTTCTACCCTTTAGTTACTAGTAGCATTCCTCCCTAGATTGCGACAATCAGAAATGTCTTCAAACATTGTCTAATGTCCCCTGGGGGGCTAAATCGCCCCTGGTTAAGAACCAAGGCTTTAGACGTTGATCTGCCCACAATCTTATCTCTGATCATGTTTCTCTGTGAGTGCTCTTGGAGATTTAGTCACACTTTTGGCTTCAAAAACTATCCCTCTATGATGGTTCCTACATCTATCCTCTAGGCCAGCCTTTTCTTCTGAGCTCCAGACTCTGAAATCCAACTACTTATTGGGGGTAGATTCTTGGATATAAAACATACACCTCAAACTGTGTGCTTAAAATGAAATGTGTTGTTTCCCCCTTGTATCTATTCTTCCCACATCCCTTCTTGGTGATAGCATCACTATGTTACCAAATTGCCCAAGTGAGAAAAGAAATCATGTTGACCATTCCTTTCTTTCTCACCACCAGACTGAATTAGCCCCCCACACTGCCAATCCTGCCTTTTGAACAGCTCTTTGAGCATCTATTGTTTTTCAGCCCCAAGCTGACTGCCTTAGATCAGGCCTTCTTAATTTCTTGTCTGAATTAATCTTCCTGTCTCCAGTCTTACCTCCTTCCAATCAATTGTCTACAGAGTGGCAAGTCTTTTGAAAACCTAAATCTTTTTCTTAGGCTCCTTCACACTTCCTCATTGCCATCAGGATGTAATCCAAGTTCCTTACTTTTTTTTGTTTGTTTGTTTTTGAGACAGAGTCTAGCTCTGTGGCCCAGCCTGGAGGGCAGTGGCACGATCATAGATCACTGCAGCCTTGAACTCGTGGGCTCAAGTGATCCTTTTGCCTCAGCCTCCTCAGTAGCTGAGACTACAGGTGTGAGCCAGCTCATTGGGCCCTTGAAAATGAAGCCCCTAGTGCAGGAATAGAAGTAGGGTGAGGCCAGCAAGTTGCCTTGAGTACAAAACCCAAGGAGACACTCACTCTTAGGATTGTCAAAGACAGTGTTGGCATTTGAGAGTGAGTGCCACTTTAAATGGTAATCCCTAGATGTCTCACTTGTCCCATGCTAGTTGCTTTGCCTTTGCAAGGGCCCCTGCTCCCCTTTCTGGTCTCATCCCTCATCACATCCTCACTCAAGTCCTCATTTCTAACACATGAGCTGTTTGCAGACCCTGAACTGCTACCATAACACCTGCCTTAGCAGCAGACTCCTCCTGGAGTGTCAGGGCAATGACAGAGTGACAGAAATCCAGATAGCATTCATCTCATGATGAATCACAAACATCAAGAGAGCAGTAGATGGGGTTTTTTCTTCAAGTTTTTTTTATTGTGGTAAAATACTCATAACATAAAATTTATTATCTTAACCATTTTAAGTATATAGTTCAGTGATATTAAGTACATTCATGTTGTGCAACCATCATCACCATCCATTTTCAAACTCTTTTCATCTTGCAAGACGGAAACTGCATACCCATTAAACAACACTTTCCTATTCTCCCTCCCCTCAGCCTCTGACAACTACCCTTCTACTTTCTGTCTGTATAATTTTGACTATTCTAGGTACCTCATATAAGTGGAACCATATAGTAATTGTCCTTTTGTGACTGACTTGTTTCATTTAGCGTAAGGTCCTCAAGGTTCAACCATGTTGTAGCATGTCAGAGTTCCCTGCTTTTTAAAGGTTGAATAATATTCTTTTGCATGTACATAACACATTTTGCTTATCCATTTGTCTGCAGATGGACACTTGGGTTGATTCTGCATTTTAGCTACTGTGAATAATGCCTCTATGAACATAGGTGTGCAAATATCTCTTGGAGACACTGCTTTCATTTGTTTTTTGAGATATACCCTGAAGTGGAAATGCTGGATCATATGATAATTCTACCAAATGTCATGTTCTAAGCCTAGCTCAAAGGCATTCATTTTGACAAAAGCTTATACATTTAAACAAACAAAAATCATAAAACCCATCTTCTGTTATTGTCATAACAACATCACATCTCATAGCGTATGGTTGCTGTGGTATAATTTACTTTAAAATGCTTCAGCAAAGATAGCATGATATATATTTGTGCATTTAGTTTAATCTATGCCCTAGGGCCTGCTAGTTAACATTTGAAGTCCTCTAATTGAGGATATTCATTCCAGAGACTATTAGCTCTTGAGAGAGTCTAATCAGGAATCAACATTCCCAAAGCAACTACTATAAGCCTTCAAATATCAATCCTCAGCTCAATATCACAGACTTATTAATTAGCCTAATGGATGTTAGAAATGATTTTCACTGGTGAAATGAATGTTATTCAAGAAGTGTGTATTGTTAGAAATATTGTCCAGGACGTCTTGCCCCTTGCACAATAGGGGTATAAGAATTCAGTGAGACCAATAACCCACAGACCTTTAAAATGGCACTCTAGGCTTAGGATTCCAGACTGGTCCCTTGTTTAGCTATTTATTGGAGGACTTGATTGCCTGATTCTGACTAGAAGTTTTGGTAAATTCAACAGTTTCAATTAATATTGCACATTTATCTCATGTGAACCTTTCATGTAAGATATAGCAGCTAAAGGGTCACCAAGATAGAACATTGAACTTCCAGAACTGATTGGATGGCTGTCTAGATGTCTCTTTGCATGACTATTTGTATGAGTGTCAGAATTTGGTCTGATAGACTTGCTTTTATTATAGCACACTACCTGCTAGTGAGGTTGTTGGAGAGGAGACCTATTGTTCTCACCTATTTCTAACTCTTGAAGGCTACCCCTATGCATCCAAAAAATCCTAAAATGTGTGAATCACCAAGTTGCTTAGGTCATTTTGTAGCAGGTACCCTGTTGGAAGCAAATAGAAGGGTAAACCTGTGCATGCAATCTTTGTTTCAATTTGGAGACGCTTGCCTTCTTGTTGAGATCTCACCCAGTAATGCTATCATCCTTGGCCCTTAGCATCTTGTAATGTAGAGCCCCTGCCCAAAATAATTGGAAAAAAAGTCATTCTTATGCAGCTGGGTACTCCACCACCTTGATAACCGGGATTTCACTTTCTCCCATATACGGCTTTCCTAATGCCCAGTAATAAAGCTCAGGTAAATTAAAAAAATTATATAGATGAAAGGTAAAGGTGAAATGTTCTGCCACATTTTCCTTCTATGGCCCTGGTTCTAGGAAATACAAGATATTAGATGTGCCTAAGCATAAGTGAAGAGAAACACCGTATGTATTAGTGCATTTTCATACTGCCATGAAGAAATACCTGAGACTGGGTAATTTATAAATAAAAAGAAGTTTAATGGACTCATAGTTTCATGTGGCTGGGAAGGCCTCACAATCATGGCAGAAGGTGAAGGAACAGCAAAGGCATGTCCTACATGGCAGCAGGCAAGAGCACATATGCAGGGGAACTTCCCTTTATAAAACCATCAGATCTCATGAGACTTATTCACTGTCATGAGAACAGCATGAGAAAAACTTGCCCCCATGATTCAATTACCTCCCACTGGGTCCCTCCCATGACACGTGGGGATTATGGGAGCTACAATTCAAGATGAGATTTGGATGGGGACACAGACAAACCATATCACCATGTATTTAAAAGTGTGTCTGATAGAAAAAAAAAAGGTATTTCATGGTGCCACAGCCAAAGATCATTGATTATTTAAATAGAAAATCATAGAATTTTTGACAAATGATTAAATAGAGAAAAAACAATATTATAATTTGAGTAATAGCTAACATTTTCTTTAATTGTTTAAGCTGTGACTACAGTATATTTTATGAGCAGCAAATTACAGACGGAAACTTCATGATATAATTAATTATAAGGCGGAAAGATTGATTTTCATATATTGCTCATAGAGTCTCATGGATTACTGTCATAATCAACTATAACTTGAAACCATATCAACAGGACACATGTTAATGATATGTACATATTTGCTATTATGCTGAAAGGTGATTTAGCTTAAAAGGTAAACAGATCACTTAAATGATGTAATTAGTATTACATTTACAGAAGTGTATAATTTTTGTGCTTTTCTTGCTCTGATGCAGATGAGATTTTCCTCTCATCTTCAAATTGTCTCACATGCACACACAAAATGGCACCCACTTACAGCTGAGGCTGGGCTGAAACATAACAACATGTGGGCTTCCATTGTCCCTCATTCTTCACTCCTCTAGGGCCCAAGGTGGAGATCCTCAATGTTCCTCAAAAGGGTTCCTATGCTGCTGCTTTCCACCTTGAGGTTCTCGAATAGCTTTCAGCCTGAGTTGTATATGTCAAGGAGGTTTTAAGGCTGTAAGGCTCTGGGTCATAGACTGTGGGATTGAGAGTGGTGGCGTCATAGGAGGAGGTGTACCCTTGGGTACAGAGGTACTACTGAAATGTGAGGAACAGTGTGCCCAAGTGTGACTCAAGTGGGCCCTCTTTTCTCTCTGTTCTTTATCTTCCCAAACCATCTTGGTGCCCAGGGCAGGGAAAACAGGAACTGAAATTGAACATTCAGTGTACTGGCTTGGTACCAGACTGCTAGGAATAGCTGTTAAAGTCAATTTTTTATGTCAAAATGTTTTAAAGCTATTCGTGAATAGATTAAGCCTCTGGTAAGTTTTTGGGGATGTCAATTAATAATAATAACAAAAAACCCTTTCCTGGTGGCTTTCAGGACTCCTATACATGGATTGCTGCCTCTATATCCTGAGGTGCCCTCTCCTCCTTTGAGACTGCCAGTCTAGGCTTGTCACCTTCAGCTCAATGGCCCAGGGTCTACAGCCTCAAGACCTCCTTGATGCTACTACCTGGGCTGAAAGCTGATTCAAGGACCTCAGAGTGGGGAGTGGCATATCGTAGCACCTTTGAGGAGTATTGCGAGCCTTCACCTTGGGCAATGGAGGGCTGGGGAATCAGGGACAAGGGAAGCCCAGGTGTAGATGTGGTTGAGCTCAGTCTTAGCTGTTAAGTGGGTGCCATTTTGTATGTGGAAGCGAGTATCATTAATTTTGTGCCTAGAAAAAACTAGACGAGATTCCCTTTGAAATCTGAGTTGCTGGAAGTTCGGAAGCAGAGTATGCTGATATTGGGGTAGAGGATAAAGAGGTGAGAAGAAAAGATAAAAGGGCATTTATATTTTGCCCTTTTGCCTGGGAACACCAAACGGAAACGCCTGATGAAAACCTTCCCAGGAACTGAATTTAATTGCATATTCTGAAGCTAGTAAGACATCCTGTGGTTAGTGGATTGAGCACTGCCTTTGGATTCAAATCTAACTAGATGACTTTGGAATACTTTCTTAACCTTTGTAAGCCTCACTTTAATCATCTATAAAATGAGGATCCATCTGGATTTATTTAATGAAAGAATAGCCTAAAGCACGTAGGACTAGAGTATGAGGGAAGTTGTGGTAGTCTACTACATCCATAGCCTTGATGAATTATGTCTCCTTATATCCCTGCCCTTGCGTAGTTGCCGTCCCTTGAAGCTGGGTTGGCCTTGTGACTCACTTTAATTAGTAGAGTGTGTTCAAAGATTAAGCCTTAAGAAGACCTGCTACTTTCTGCTTTTGTGCTCTTGGGAGCTCTGAACCACCATATAAAAGTCTGACAGGCCGGGCGCGGTGGCTCATGCCTGTAATCCCAGCACTTTGGGAGGCCGAGGTGGGTGGATTGCCTGAGGTCAAGAGTTCGAGAACGGCCTGACCAACATGGTGAAACCTTGTCTCTACCAAAAATACAAAAATTAGCCGGGTGTGGTGGTGTGCGCCTGTAATCCCAGCTACTTGGGAGGCTGAGACAGGAGAATTGCTTGAACCTGGGAGGCAGAGGTTGCAGTGAGCCGAGACCGGGCCATTGCACTCCAGCCTGGGCAACAAGAGCAAAACTTTGTCTCAAAAAAAAAAAAAGTTTGACTGTCCTGTTGAAGAGAACATATGAAGAAGCCATGTGAGAGAGAGGGAGACCCAAGCATCCCAGTGTCCCAGCTGAGCCCAGGCCCCAACCAACCTGCCAGCTGAATGCAGGTACATGAGTGATTGCTGGCAAGACCAGCAGAACTGCTTAGCTGAGTCCAGGCCAGATTGCAGAACTGTGATTAAATAAGCTATTTGCTGCTTTAAGAAGCTAAGTTTTGGAATACTTTGCTATGCAAGCATAGGTAACTGAAACCTGGATCATGAGTGTTAGGCAGATATTGTTTATGTAGTAGGCCCGTGTCATTCATGAGTATGTTCTAGGCCCTTCTTGAATACATTATGACATTTAGACTCACTCATAATACGCAGTCAAGTAAAACTGAAATATTTGAGTGGCCCTTTCAGACTTACGATGATTTTAATATAGCGTAGTTGTAGTCTGTTTATAAAAGAACTTGCAGCTTCTTCACTTCCAGCGCAAACATTAATAGTTGCTGCCATCAGAGGGACGCTTTCACTAAGGAACAAAGTTTGCCTTTTGTCACCAGCTTTCCATGTAGATGCAGGAGAGAAGAACAAAGCCATTCTGAGATGTGGTTGACAGGTGGTCACTAGGCTCATTTATTAGCTAAGTACGTTTTCACTGCTTTCTGGCTTTATGGCATAGGCAGTGCAATTCCGTGCCTTTGCAAAATTAAAAAGTATGAATATCATGGGTATTCGAGGTGACTCAGGAATGGTCGGAACCACGAAAGTTAAATCCATAAATGGAAGTGCAGTAAACTGGGGCAGCTTTAGTTATTGTCCACCTAATATCCTGTCCTTCCCTCCCCAACCTTCTTCTCGTGGAAGAACTTACTTTGTTCACAGAAAATTCATTGCAGATGGATTAGATGCAGATGATCTCTCCTCCTTGCCACAGTGTTGGACACATGATTCCACCAGGCCTTTCAACAAACGTTGGCCTCTCTTGGCAGATGCTGGGAGCCTCTGGTGGCTAGCAGCAGGTGGAAGCCACGTGTCCTTTCCCCATAACCCCATTCCCAGATAGCATCCTACAGTGAAAGCAAGTCTTAGACCAAATGCATGAGTATTTATTAGCAAGCAGGCCCCAAACACACCATTCAGTATGTTTTGTAGTTCTGGGAAGTTTCATTCTTACCTGGATACTTGAAAGAACACCTCGCATGAGAGTCTCTTGTGGATGCCACAATATTCTGATGGTAGGACGAGGCAGCCCTGTAAGTGGGCCAGGTGACATGGTTCTCCTTGAAGTAGAGGGATGCAGGAAAGTGGGGCTCTGGCCTTTAAGTGCTGCCTGTGCCATTAGAATGCCGGGCTTGCCGGCTCCTCATGCAAAGTGGGGGAGAGTGGGCTTCTACATTTTTCCTTAATCATTTACTACTTTGAATATTACTCATTTCACCTATAACATTTTCCTAACATTCTTTATATTATCAATAATTAGGAAACACTCTAGGTGTAGATTTTGATAATATATTTTAAGTGCTACATCCTCACGTTTGCTACTGAATGTTTTCTGTTTGACTGTTTAGATGTAACTGCTTGTGTTTCTTCCCTTGCTCTCTGACCTGGGAGGCCCACGTGTCTAGACCGACTCCCTTACGTTCTGGCTCCCTTACCCTCTGGCTTCTACTTGCGTTTGGCTAATGGTGAGCCCAGCGGATGATTGGACAGGGGAGGAGAGTAGGGTTAGGGTAATTATTCCTTCAACCCCATCCCTGCAGGGCTGCCTCACTGGCACTGACCATCACGAAGGTCAAGGTTCTTGTCAAGGTGGCACTGTCTACGTGACTTTCTCCTGCCTGGTTCTGGTAACTGTTCCTTTCCCTCATCCCTTTGGGCCTATAAGTAGTAACAGCCCTGTTGTTACTAGTTTTTGGTACTTCACTATCCTTTGTGATTTCTGTATCCCTTATTCACACTCCTCTTTGAATTATCCTAATTTGAATGGGCTGCCTTTTTCCTGCTGGGACATTGGGAAGGTGCTGATTCCTGATAAAAGTACTTCCATGCTAATTATCACCCCTGGGGTGTTGATTCCTGATTAGAGGATTTTAGATGTTAATCCCACCTAGGGTGGAGATCAGACTTGATTTATATACATATTTTACATTGTTCATACTAAAACTTTTCTTTTTTGAGACAGAGTCTTGTTCTGTCACTCAGGCTGGAGTGCAGTGGCATGACCCCGGCTCACTGCAACCTCCGCCTCCCCAGGTTTAAGCAATTCTCCTGCTTCAGCCTCCTGAGTAGCTGGGATTAGAGGTGTGCACCACCACACCAGGCTAATTTTTGTATTTTTAGTAGGGGCAGGTTTCACTATGCTGGCCAGGCTGGTCTCAAACTCCTGGCCTCAAGTGATCCGCCTGCCTCAGCCTCCCAAAGTTCTGGGATTACAGGAGTGGGCCACTGCAGGCGGCTCATACTGAAACATTTTAAAAGTTATTGGCTATGTAGACAATTTAACACAAAGCTTCTTGGCAACAGTGATTGGCTCAAATATGGAGCTATAACCCTAGATGGAACTATAACCCTAGCTCTAACCCTAATTAGAGCTTCTCCAAGAATTTTTGCTGTAACAAATAGTAAAGAGGTAACCCCTTTTTGCTGTGATTGCTAGATATAAGGGTAACTGTTGAACTTCTAGTGGATATTCCTACTACCCAGAGAGGAAGGCTTAACAGAGACTAAAAGTCAACAAGAGAAAGACAGAACTGAGAGATGGACAGAAAGGGACAAATTCCTGGTTATATTATTGGACCCCTGGATCCAGCCATGCCTGAAGCTGAAGCCTTCTCTTTGAACCTCTCAGTTATGAAGGGAAATAAATTTCATTTTGGTTTGTGTATATAAGATAATTTGAGTTGGGGTTTATTTCACTTGCAGCTGAATGAGTCTCGACAAATACACTAAGGGCCTATTTTCTTAATGCTCTTTTTTATTTTTATTTTTTTCTCACTCTGTATTATGGTGTTAATCATAATATTCTTACATATATTGAGGAGAAAAGACGCACCAATACAAGTACCTGAAATGAGTTCAATCAATGCAGGCAACAGTTATATTTTGATGGAGGAGCTGGATATGTTATCAAGGAAGGATGGCTGGGTGCCCAGTCTGGGGTTTTAGTAGGCTGGTGTGTTAGGCCATCCTCACAATTCTATAAAGAAATATCAGAGACTGGGTAATTTATAAAGGAAAGAGGTTTAATTGGCTCACGGTTCTACAGGCAGAACAAGCATGGTGCTGGCATCTGCTTGGCTTCTGGGTAGCCCTCGGGGAGCTTTAACTCATGGCAGAAGGTGAAGCAGGAACAGGCATGCCACATAGTTAGAGCAGGAGCAGAGAGGGAGGGGCTTGGGGGAGGTGCCACACGCTTTTAAACAAGCGGATCTCTTGAGAACTCACTTACTATCATCAGCACAGCACCAAGAGGATGGTGCTAAACAATCCATGAGAAATCCAGCCCCATGATCCAAGAACCTCCCACTAGGTCCGACCTCCAACATTGGGGATTACGATACAACATGATATTTGAGGGGAACAAACATCCAAGCTACATAAGTTGGAGAGATCGTTATGAATTTGCATGTTGAGACTTCAACACTGCAGCTTCAGAAAATTGATTCTGTTAGTGTGACCGAGGCTACCCAAGTTTGAGGGGTTGGCTTCTTCTAGCCAGTCTCACGGACACTGATGCGTAAATCTAAAGTGAATTCACAATAGAAAACCTCACTGCTGTGCAGACCAAAAAGTTTGTGCCTTCTGGTACAAACTGGTGTAGTCTCTCTCTTTTGAATCTGCAAAAACAGCCAAATTATAATCCAGAAGACTAACAGGAGAGCAAGGAATCAGAGCTGGGACAGCAGAGCATGAAGGGCCAAGGGGGAGGGGTGAGAGGTCATTTGTTGAGTGTAATGGTTAGTGTCCTGAAGCTCTGACTGCCTGAGGAACTCATCCTGAGGTAGGGGGGTTGTATTAGTCCCCAGTAACCACTGCAACAAATTCCCACAAATTGAGTGGCTTAAAACAAGTAAAATGTATTCTCTCACAGATCTGGAGTTCAGAAGTCCTAAATCAGTATCACTGGGCCCAAATCAAGATGTTGCTACACTCCCTTTGGAGGCTCTAGGGGAGAACTTGTTTCTTGTCTCTTCCAGCTTCTAATGGCTACTCAACATTCCTTGGGTTGTGGCTGCATCACTCCAATCTCTTCTCCCATCTTCACATTGCTTTCTCTGTGTATGTCAAATCTCCTGCCTCTTTCTTATAAGGATACATATGATGGCATAATTTAGGACCCACCTGGATAATACAGGAAAATCCCCCATCTGAAGATCCTTAATTTAATCACATCTGCAAAGTCAATTTTGCCATGTAAGGTAACAGTCACAGGTTCCAGGGATTCGAATGTGGATATCATGTAGGGGGCCATTTTATAGCCTACCGCAGGGGTGGACCTGTTGAGTAGGGTGGGGTGTCCATTTTGGCTGTGCAGTGCCTTCACTCCTGGGTGGTTGCACTGATACCGGCTGATTCTTGCTTTCTGACTGAGCCTTCTTTTTTGACCCCAATATGAGCATCCTTTTTCTGCCATTAAGATCTTTTATAAACATAGAACAATCCAATCAGCTTTTTAAAAGTTCTAGTTATATTCAAAATTTTGTTGATGGGATGTGGGTGTCCTCAGATATTTTCAGCCACAGTTTACATGGACTATACAGGTTATATTGGTAAGTAACACATCTGTTACTTAAACTCATCCATTCCTGGATATGCCTAAATAATGTCACCCCTACCCCAATATATTGACAGCAACAGATGCTCTGGAATATCCACATGCCGAAATCTCTTCAAATCCATTCTGACCTCTCCTGCCTCCCCAACCCACCCTAACGCATGCACGCGAGTGCAGGCGCACATCCCTCCCCCTCGCCCCATGAAGTTTCTTATATTTTTGGAAGCTTCTGGATAATTGACCTACTTCTGTAATTCTTTTGGCTTGTTTAGATTTGGGCAGAATTGAATCTTCACCTCTTATTAAAATTTCAATACAAATAAGATTTAGTTTGCTTAGTGCTCTCAGCCACCTTTGAATTAGTTGAGACTACAAGTGTATAAAACAGACACACTTGTTACATTCTGATTTTCTCTTATTTAGTGTAGAACATTTAAGATACCTATGATGCCGGGCCACTTTCAGAAAAATACAAATCATTCCTTCAACTTCGGCAGGTATGACAGTCGTGAGTAAACTGTCAGCATCTATTTGAAAATGCGAAGGGTAGAGAATGGAACTCGTAAATTTGACAAGCTCTTTATGTTCCATTCATAAGGGCTAGCGATAAATGAATCTTGATTTAACACTTATTTGTACTGTTATTGGCTTTAAAAAAAAAAGGAAAACATTTTATTGCACTCTGATTGTAGATTATGCTTCTCGGGACTCATCCCTCTGTTTAGCAACATAGGGCAGATTTGATTCAATATTTACCATGTAAACACATGGTTCAGTCTCATGAGTGACCATTTCTGGTTACCCGGCCCCAGTTGAGTGCAGCATTTCCACTCCATCTCCAGAGATCTTTATGTTAGTTTAAGGCAGTTGAAGGCCTTGTGCAATGTTTTTTCTTTTTGCTACATATGATCTCCTCTATTAAGTAAATAGCTTAAATTGTATTCGGGTTACCTTGGAATACGTAGTATAGTAGCATTTTACCTGTCGACTGAAAACAATTTGCAGAGGAAAGCTGATCTAATGCTACCTCCTTGCTTAATTTGTGGCTTCTTACAGAATATAGGGTAAACTCATTTTCTTATATCCATGTCTCTCCACTACCTGTCCCCAGGAAACCTCTCCAATCCTATCATTACCAACCATTTGCTATTATGAAAATGATCTCTGAGTATGCTTTATTAATTTCTGCCTCCCTCTCTCCCTCTTCCTTCCTCCCTCCCTCCCTCATTCTCTCTTTCCTCCCCGTCCATCTCTTTCCTTTTTCCCTCCCTCCCTCTCTACTGGCCTCTTTCTAGTGCATACTCATTAAGCACCTACAGTATGGTGGACTTTACACTTAGCATGGTAGGAAAGATGAAATCGACAATGCAGCCCCCAGCACTGCAGGGGATGTGGACAGAAGCAACAGTACTTACAGTATCTATAATGGTGAATGAATTACCCAACTTTGCTTGAGGAGGTCAGAGAAGTTTTCAGAGAAATGATGACTTGTAAGCTGAGTTTTGAAGGATAATTGGGGCTCACCAGGTAGACAAAGCCAATACATTTATGGTTCACAGAAGCAATGGTACAAATGGAAGAGCAGAGGCAAGAAACACCACATCTGTGCTACCTCCCTTCTCCCTTCCCTCTCTGCCTTCCTTGCACACATATTTAGCGGGTGATCATGTGGCAAGCATCGCCCTAGGTCTCCAGAGACAACACTAGACAAGAAGGACAATATTCCTGTCCTGGGGAAACTTATCTGCTAGTTGTGAAATGACACATGATTTGCTGAGACTAACAGCTCCTATATCCCTAAACACTTCAAAAAATGTTTGGGACGTGTTGCATTCTGAATGCTGCCTCCTGGAGTTTCACGGTGCACAATTTCACAGTCGAGGCCCTGGGAAGTCCTTCATCAAGAAATCTGTTATCTTCATTTACTGTGGTTCTCAAGTGCATTTAACCAGGGGAACTTTGTTTTAAGTAGCAATTAATACCACACAAAGCCAGTTTTCTAAAGGAGTCACTGCAGGAAATGTTTGAGTGTTCGTTTCTTCCAATCTCATTGCCTATTGTATCAGTTGCGTGTTTTCATAATAATGCTGCATAAAAACAGCCACAGAACCTCCGTGGCATACAACGATAAGAACTCAGTGCTTGCACCCCTGGGGAGGTTGGTTAGGTGGCTCTGCTGACCTTGGCTGAGCTTGATCCTATGTCTGGGGTCTGGCTGGCTATTATAGCTGGGACAACTGGGATGAATTGGCTGCGCCCTGCTTGCCTGGGCATACACCTGGGCATATTTTCCTGGTGGTGACTGAGGCATAAAAAGGCTAGTGAAACTATGTAAGCAATTTTTCAGATCCCTGCTTTGTGAAGAATTTTAGCTTCCTAATGTCCAAAGCAAGCTACATGGCTGAGTCCAGAATTAAAGTGGCCGGGGATGGGGCACTGCAAAGTTTCATGGCAAAGAGTGAAGATACAGAGAACAGGGAGGAATTGGGGCCACTTTAGTACTTGACCGCATCTACCTAAGACCCCGACTCAGGTATCACCTCTTCCATGAAGCCTTTTCTGACTTTCTCAGACCCATATCCATTTCTTTATCTGAGACTTCCCACTGCACGTCCAGTACCTTACTGCCAAGTTAGGAGCTCTCTTAAACTCCCAGCTTGCTTCACATTGGCTCCCCTACATAGATGACAAATTCCTCGAGGGTAGAGACCATATTTTTTCTGTGTGTGTGTGGTATTTTTTTTTTTCCTTTTGAGACGGACTCTCACTCTGTTGCCCAGGCTGGAGTGCAGTGATGTGATCTTGGCTCACTGCAACCTCCACCTCCTGGCTCAAGCGATTCTCCTGCCTCAGCCTCCCGAGTAGCTGGGATTACAGGTGCCTGCCACCACACTGGGCCAATTTTTGTATTTTTAGTAGAGACAGGGTTTTGCCGTGTTGGCCAGGCTGGTCTCGAACTCCTGGCATCAAGTGATCTACCTGCCTCCCAAAGTGCTGGGATTACAGGCGTGAGCCATCGGGGGAAGACCATATTTCTTTTTTTTTTTCTTCTAAAAAAAGAAAAGGGATACACGTGCAGAACGTGCAGGTTTGTTACATAGGTATACATGTGTCATGGTGGTTTGCTGCATCTATTGACCCATTCTCTAAGCTCCCTCCCCTTACCCCAACCCCCAACAGGCCCTGGTGTGTATTGTTCCCCTCACTGTGTTCATGTGTCCTCAATGTTTAACTCCCACTTATGAGTGAGAACATGTGGTATTTGATTCTCTGTTCTTGTGTTAGTTTGCTGAGGATGATGGCCTCCAGCTTCATCCATGTCCCTGCAAAGGACATGATCTCATTCCTTTTTGTGGCTGCATAGTATTCCATGGTGTATATGTGCCACATTTTCCTTACCCAGTCTATCATTGATGGGGATTTGGGTTGGTTCCATGTAAATAGTGCTGTCTCCTGTGGGCTTCCCCTGAGGCTGGGCCCCTGTACTCCCGATGCCACTCAGATTTGTGCCTACAGGGCCAAGATCAGCTCGGCGAGGTTGGGGGTTGGTGGGGGGGGACTGGCACTTGTGTCAGAGAAATGCCAGAAAAGCTCTGCCCAAGAGCCGGAAGTTGCGTCTGTGTGTATGTACTTCTTTGCTTTTGTTGTGTTCTCAGCCCTCGCAGGGACTCTAACCACTTCCCCCTGAACTTCAGGCCGTACGGGAACCTCACCTCTCTTGCGGTAGTGGTCCTTCTAAATTCGGGCCACTCGACTCATTCCTTCCTGTCTCATTTTGTTCTTCCTGCCTCTTCTGTGCATGGGGGCTACATTACTGATGCTGCGGTTGCCCAGTTGGAGAGGAGAGCAGTAGTATAAGAAAAGCACCCTGGACCTGTGCCCCTCAAAGCGAGGTCCCTGGGCCAGCAGCATCGGCTTTACCTGAGAACTGCTTAGAAATGCAGACTCTCTGGTGCCACCCCAGACCTCCTGGATCTGCCTCTGTATTTTAACTGGACCCCCAGAGGTGTCGTCAAGCCTGAGAAACACCAGCATCTGGTTACAGCTCGCCAGCCCTTTAGCTCTGTAACCTGGCAAGTCTCTTCGCTTCTCTGTCGGACACACTGATTTCCCCTGTGTCAAATTAGATGCATTTAATTATGTGGTAATTCAGATTACTTTGTTGCTTCATCAGAGAAGTACAAAGGTGTGGGAAGTGGCAGAAAATCATATTGTGCACAAAATCAAGAACTTTTAGAGCTGGAAAGAACTTGATTGACCACCTCCTCCAGTTCCCTCTTGTTTTATAGCCACTTAAGGTCAAGCCTTGCTAAGGAGAATGTCAGTCTCCTCCATCCTTCCAGGAGAAACACAGCCCCTGCAGTCAGAAGAGACAGGAAGGCCACATGAGACAGGAGGGAATGAGCCGACTGGCCTGAATTTAGGAGGACCACTACCATAAGAGAGGTGATGTTCCCATATGGCTTGAAGTTTAGGGGGAAGTGGATCCCTGATATGAAAATTGTGGTCCCTGAACCAGTAGCATTACAGTCACCTGGTAAGAGAGGCAGTGGGTGGTGTGCGAGAAATGCGGATTCTCAGGCCAAGGCTCATACCTACTTGATAAATAGAGTCAAAATCTCTATATACCAAGAACCCCGGATGATCTGTAAGCACAGCCAAGTTTGGGGAGCGCTGGGCTAAATGACGCAGTCACTGGGAATGCTTGAAGACAAATGAAGCCCAGAATAGAAGCGTCATTTCCCAAGTAGTAAGAGTGCTGGCCCTGGAAGCAAAGAAATGTAGATTTGAATTTCAACTTGCCACTTCTAGACTGTGGTTTTGAGAAAGGTACTTAACCCTCTCTGAGCTTCAGATTCCTCATCTGTAAAAAGTGTGAAGCAATTAGCATGATGTTTGGCACTCAGGAAGTGCTTAGTAAATGTTAACACAACAGGGCTTCATGGCTGAAAGCACAGACTTTGCAGCCAGAGTGCCTGGGTTGATAATCCTGGCTCTGCCACTTCCTAGCTGGGTGACCTTCAGCAAGTCACTTAACCTCTCTGAGCTCCAGGTTACTCATCTGCAAAGTGGAACTCACAATAGGGTTGTGATGACAATTTCATGGGTTAATATCTGTAAAGCATTTAGATACAGTCTGGCACATAGCAAGAGCTAAGTGTCTATTAAAAATTATATTGCTATTTTAGAGACTTGATGAAAGGAAGAGAGCCAGGCATACATGTTTTTTTTTTTTTTTCAAGCTTCAATAAAAGAGGAGTCTATTTCTCCCTCATGTAAAGAGAGTCAGGAAGTGCGCAGCCCTGTGTTGGCTTTCAGGCATCCACAGGACCTAGATGCCTCCATTTGACTCTGCCATGCTCATCCTGTGGATTCTGTCCTTATGGTGGAGAGAGGCTTGTGCAGCTCTCACTCCTGTACCCAGGTACAAGGCCAGCAGCAGAATGAAACAGCTGAGGAGGGTCAAGGGGTTCTGGATTAGTGGTGTATTGCTGTGTAATAAATTACCTCAACACTTGAGGGCTGGATATGATAAACACTATCTCACAGTGTCTGTGGCTCATCATCGGGAGCGGCTTAGCTGTGTGGTCGTGGCTCATGCTCTTACAGGCTGCAATCAAGGTGTCGGCAGGGGCTGCAGTCATCTCTAGCTCAACTGGGGAGGATCCACTTCTGAGCTCACTTCTGCAGTTGTTGGCAGGCCTCACAAGGTCCCCTTTCAAGCTTACTTATGTAGGCCCCTCCAGAGGGCTGCCTTATGACATGGCAGCTGGCTTCTCCCATTAGAAATTTAGCCCACACTCAAGCGGAGGGGGTTGTACGAGGGCCTAAATCCCAGGAGGTGGCATCATAGGGGCTGCATAGCACAGGCCTCTTCCCAGTGACTCAGCTTCCCTCAAGCAGCCTTCCTGGAATTCCCACACAACACTTTTGTTTATAGCTCACAGGTTGGAACTTAGTCACGTGGCCATACCAAGTTGCAAGAGAGGCCGAGGAATAGAATCTTTTAGCTAGAGGCATTTTCACCCCGAATTAAAATCAGGGTCTCATTACTAAAGAAGAAAGGTAGGGATGGCTAGTTCATTTTCTATAGCCTTCCTATAGAGCTGTGGTTCTCAAAGTATGGTCTCTAGACCTGCAGCATCAGCATCACTGGGGAACTGGTTAGAAATACAAATGTTTGGGCTGCATCCCAGACCGGCTGACCCAGAAACTCTGGGGATGAGGTCCAGTGATCTGTTTTCACAAGCCCTCCAGGGGATTCTGATGCACGCTCAAGTGTGAGAACCACTGCTACAGAGGACAATTGACATTCATACGATTGGTATAATAAAACATGAAGTCTGTTTATAAGAACCGACAAAAAATAAGAACCAACAACTTGGTGGTGTCTTTAGACAGTATCATCATGAACGGAGAGGCTTTCAAAAATGAGGCGTGTGCTACCTAATGATTCAGTTACAATTCACTTTGCGGTTTCCATCCCGAGGTTGCACATAATTTTATCAGGCAATAAGCTCCATTGTACAGATAAAACTTGAGGGTATACTTGGCAAAGGAGATCATAAATGAAGATTTCTTTATGATGAGCAAGGAACTATAGATTCTCGGTGGCTAGAAATTCCATACTTAAATAGTAGAACCAAAGTCGGGTTATGTAAGAGACTACTTAAATAATCAAATCCAGCAAAGCTGAATGTTTTAATCAACATGCAGGAAACAATAAATCAGGGCAGGCTGTAAAAAAAGTGGAGGACTTCAATAACCCACAAGTAAATTGTTGGGAGGAGGCTGCCTGGTATGGAAGACAGCTTATGGAGTCTGCAGCCCAATTCCATTTGTCCATGCACCCAAATATCCAGTAAGCCTCAGGACCTCTGAGCTTCATTTTCCTCCTAAAGTGGGGATGGTAATAACAGTTTTATCTGGCAGATGACAGAAAATTCACTGATGTTAAAATTCAGCACTGTACGCCGCATATCTACAACTATCTGATCTTTGACAAACCCGAGAAAAACAAGCAATGGGGAAAGGATTCCCTATTTAATAAATGGTGCTGGGAAAACCGGCTAGCCATATGTAGAAAGCTGAAACTGGATCCCTTCCTTACACCTTATACAAAAATCAATTCAAGATGGATTAAAGATTTAAATGTTAGACCTAAAACCATAAAAACCCTAGAAGAAAACCTAGGCATTACCATTCAGGACATAGGCATGGGCAAGGACTTCATGTCCAAAACACCAAAAGCAATGGCAACAAAAGACAAAATTGACAAATGGGATCTAATTAAACTAAAGAGCTTCTGCACAGCAAAAGAAACTACCATCAGAGTGAACAGGCAACCTACAAAATGGGAGAAAATTTTCGCAACCTACTCATCTGACAAAGGGCTAATATCCAGAATCTACAATGAACTCAAACAAATTTACAAGAAAAAAACAAACAACCCCATCAAAAAGTGGGAGAAGGACATGAACAGACACTTCTCAAAAGAAGACATTTATGCAGCCAAAAAACACACAAAAAAATGCTCATCATCACTGGCCATCAGAGAAATGCAAATCAAAACCACAATGAGATACCATCTCACACCAGTTAGAATGGCAATCATTAAAAAGTCAGGAAACAACAGGTGCTGGAGAGGATGTGGAGAAATAGGAACACTTTTACACTATTGGTGGGACTGTCAACTAGTTCAACCATTGTGGAAGTCAGTGTGGCAATTCCTCAGGGATCTAGAACTAGAAATACCATTTGACCCAGCCATCCCATTACTGGGTAGATACCCAAAGGACTATAAATCATGCTGCTATAAAGACACATGCACACGTATGTTTATTGCGGCATTATTCACAATAGCAAAGACTTGGAACCAACCCAAATGTCCAACAATGATAGACTGGATTGGGAAAATGTGGCACATGTACACCATGGAATACTATGCAGCCATAAAAAATGATGAGTTCATGTCCTTTGTAGGGACATGGATGAAATTGGAAATCATCATTCTCAGTAAACTATCGCAAGAACAAAAAACCAAACACCGCATATTCTCACTCATAGGTGGGAATTGAACAATGAGATCACATGGATACAGGAAGGGGAATATCACACTCTGGGGACTGTGGTGGGGTTGGGGGAGGGGGGAGGGATAGCATTGGGAGATATACCTAATGCTAGATGACGAGTTGGTGGGTGCAGCGCACCAGCATGGCACATGTATACATATGTAACTAACCTGCACAATGTGCACATGTACCCTAAAACTTAAAGTATAATAAAAAAAGAAGGAAAAAAAAGAAGAAAAAAAAAATTCAGCACTGTAACCCAAATCCCTGGCACATAGTAGGGGTCACACATGTGAAGTGGTCTCTGTTCTCTCCTTTTATCTAAATAATGTATAGAGAGATGGTTCATAGCAATAATACTTTTAAGTAGTTTCAAAACTCACAAGGAAATTAAGAACTCTTAATTTGGTTCTGATTTCCTTGAAAATCTGTATTTTGTTTTATTCCATTTCTTTTCATTATGCTAGTTTCCATCAAATTACATAATTCTTGCTCCATTTGGTGTTTACTATCAATCTTTATTTTTTCTTTATTATTGTTAGGCCCTTTTTGTGCAAATGGGTTTTGCAATTTAAACACTCTGGTCATTTTTTGTTTTGGTGTTTTGGCTTTCCTTTTAATTGAATATTCCTGACAACTTCTTGCTTCTGAAGAGCTGAGGAGAGCAGGCAGAATCCATCATTTCCTAGGAGGGGACTGTTACTTCCTGGTGAGATGACACACCGCAGAGAACCACCCTGTGTCTTTCTACCCCTGTATGTCTCTGTGTTGGGAGTGGGGTGGGGGGCTTCTATGTGCTTAAATTCCAGCCCCTACTTTTTTTTCCCCACTCACCTCTGCTTTAGCAAAATGTGTAGCCTCTCTTTTCAACTCCTTGTTTGCATTGCCTGCTGCTGTGGGGGGAGGCTCCCCAGCACCCCCACTCCAACCCAAGAAAGGAGCTATTCCCTTTGCTGAACACCAGTCTCCTTCTCTCATAGTGGGACTACGTAGTGGCACAGAGGAGCTGGGGGAAGTTCGACAGTGCGAAGTAGCAGGGCTTCTGAGGGCTCTGAGCCACATGTGGGCCAGCAACCCAGGGGCCTCTTTCTCTGGCCCTCTTCTCTGCCCACGCTTCCTGTCTGGGTTTAGCTTTGGCCCTTAAGCACAGCTGGCACATCCTCTAGGGTAAGAGGGGCCTCTCCTTGGGGGCTGTGGGGTGTGTTATTCTTTTTAGGCTTTCTCTGTGGTGAGGAGGGTGCAATAGAAAGGCATCTGGTCGCCCCGTGGGAGCAGCCTGTCCCTGGACTAGTTCTGGTGGATTACCCTGGGGTCTAATCAGGAGACAGAAGGCATACCAGGTATTTGAATAGTGAGGTTTTCATAGAAAGACACTGTTAATGAAAACGAAGTATAAAGTTGTTGTTGACTAGGTAATTGAAAGGGCAAAAAGAGAACTCGAAGGTACTTCAGAGGTAGCAAGTGCAGGAACCCCACCCCTGAGGCTGAGGGAACAAAGGAAGAAGCTGGAAATACCAAAATCTAGAAACTTAGAGGAGGGGCCCCATACTGCTGAAACTCAGAGCTCTGAGGGTGGGCACCGCTCAGCTGGTGCTGAAGTCTCTGAGCTCAGAGGAGGGGCCTGTGGGGCTGGACTCCTGGGAGGTGGTATCTGGCTGGCAGAGCTGAAAAAGGTGCAGCTGGCAAAGCAGATATGCGCTTTATGGAGCCCCAGCGTCAGCGTCACAGAACAGAGCATAGGAGAGCAGGTTTGGAGCTGAGAGAATAAATTAGTTACTGGACAACAACTTAAAAACTGGCACAAGTCCTTTTTTACTATTGAGCCTGCCCTAGGGCAGCGCTTCTCAACTCTAATGCAAGTATGAATCACCTGGGGATCTCATTAAAGTACAGCTGGTCTGGGATAGGGCCTAAGATTCTACATCTTTGACAAGCTCCCAGGTGATGCACATGCCTTTAGCAGCAAGAGCTAGGAGTCTTTGAAGAACCCGGTGCTTGCACCTTCCTGCTAGATGTGGACAGCAGTCTTCTGCAGGAGTCCCTTGCTGGGTTAGCTGTGTCCTTGTGACACCCTTTATGCAGGCATGTGGTATGCCCTTCTCTCCCATGTTCCTTAGTCCCGGACTTTCTCATTTCTTTCCTCCACATCAAATTTGTCAGGACTTTGCTAGCTGATGGGAATTTGGAGTGGTCACAGGTTAAAGCCTGGACTCTTCTAAGTGACATTAACATTTTCACCTGAGTCTTTTCACGCCTTCAGTCAAATAGGGAACATAGGAAGGGAGCCCATTTGGGCTATTCTCAAATTGTTCCTCATTATAGACCTGAAGATGACGCCATATTGATGACTGCCATTTTGTGATATCTGTAGAGGGTGTTTATTCGCCAATATTCTGTTGAAGAGGTGAGAAACAATCCCAAACATGTATGTACATGATCTCCACAAAGGCTCTCAGTACCATATCCATGTTTTCACAAGGGGATCATTTTGCCAAGTAAGTTTGAGGAGAAACAATGTTGTCCTTAAACAGCTTGAATGACAACACCAGGCTTCATAAATTGAAGTATAACAAGCAGGGTGGCAGCCTCAGCCCAAAAGTGGCAACCTGGGAACATCTTGAGAAAACAGCAGCTAAAGAACAAACTTCAAGCAGCCATGGCCAGCACAAACTTCTGGCAGCTAGCTATGGGGTCTCATGTTGGTGCTGGGCCTAGTAGCTCCCTGGGTGGACTCAGCCACTGAATTCCTTCTGCAGGGAGTATGTGAAGCTGGCCTTATGCTTCTTTATCACAAGTGAACTCTCACACCTGGAAAGGGAGGGTATGAAGGTGAGTGAGCAATTAAAGACAAATATTGAGATTGGAATATCTCAATTGGAAGGCCTATTTGCTGCCCAGGTCATTTGTGGATGATGCCCGCTGGAAAACCGTGTTCCTGGGATCTGAAGTTACAGTGTTTCAATACCTTTCCCCATTCATATATTGAGAATGTAATTTTATGTGTGATTACTGTGACCTTCTGAAATAGGGGCAAAAATGACTTTCGGGGGTTCTGATTTTACAAATGAGAGAACTGGAGCACAGAGATGGTAAGTGACTTTCTAGGGTCACAAGGTAGCCAAATTGTGATCCAGGCCCCTGACCTAGAGACATATGTCCAAAGACCCCGGAAATCTGGCTGCTAGAGTCTGAGGGCTATACTTTGGTCAGCAAAGTTTTTCTGTATAGGTCCATATAGTAAATATTTCAGGCTTTGCAGGCCATAGGGTCTCAGTTGCAACTATTCAACTCTGCTCTTGTACCACGAAAAACAGCCATAGACAGTATGAAAACAAATACGTTAGCCTGTGTTCCAACAAAACTTTATAACAACAGGCAGAGGGCTATATTTGGTCAACAGGCTGTGGTTTGCCAACTCCTGCTATATACCAATGGCAAAAGTTGAAAACATGATACATGTACATGATTTAATTCTTTTCGGAATTGAGAAGGGTAAAGACTACCAGTTAGGAAGATAGGAGGTGAGAATAGGAGAGAAGGAGGAGTAGGAGATAAGATGGATAAGGTAGGTGGAGGGAGACAATAGATAAAAAGAAAAAGAAAAAAAGAAGGAATAGGCATTAAGACAACTTTGATTTGAGGGGGACTTACCAACAAGATAAAAGAAACATGAGTTTGGAATCTTACCTAGGGCTGTGTGAAAGACAGTATAATTTTATCATAGTTTTTCTGTGCAAGATGAATTTGCTTTTCTCAAATGATTTTATTTTCAAATGACAAACTTAGAGCAGGCACAGTGAAGTTTGTGATATTAAATCACTGTCAAGTTATGCCTCTGTAAAAATAATTGTCCAACTGACTCTATCAGCTGAGTAACAACAATTTAAAAATACATAATTTATGACCAGGAATGATGAAATCTAGAAAATATTTCCCAGGAAAGAAATATATTTTAGCTGCTCAATAGAAAAACAAGTCCTTTGTTATTAATGCACTGATGCTTATGACGTCTTCACTATCTCAGAGATTAAAGGGTTTCTTGGAGATGTCGAGTGCCTGGTATTGCTAAAGCTTTTGGAAAGTTTTGCAGACAGATCTTATTGTTTTGCAAACATTTCCCCCTTCTACATACTTTGAAAAATGATTTCAGATCTCTTTTGAGAAGCTTTCTTCTTCATAGTTTCCTTATTGGCTTTATTGCTTTCCTGTGCCAGCAAGAAAACCATCTGAGCCAGCAGCACAAAGACTTAAAAACATTTGAAGAAGCAATCATTGCTGCCACTTTAGGGAATGTATTTTTCTAAAAGCACGGGAACCTGGGGGCTGAGGAATTGTATGACTACAGATGGTGAGCTGGGTCAAGTGGGACTACTTCAGAATTTTGGAGTACGCCCTGTGTCTAGAAATCCTTGTGGGTGTTGAATGCCTCCCTTTGTGGGGCAGTGTGGTGTAGTGGTTATGGGCACTGGATTTGGACACAGACCACTTTGGCTTGACTCATATCTCTGCTGCTGATTGGGTGGCCAATCCTAGACCAGTTACTCATTCTGTCTGTGGCTCACCCTCTTCATCTGTGAAATGGACATGATAATATCAATATCTATCTTAAAGAATCTTTATAAAGATTGAAAGAATTAAAATACATGAGAGCACTTAGAATGCCTGGCATATAGAAAACACTCAATACATGTTACTATTACAATTAATGAGAGGAAGACAAGAATCACAACAAATCAGGTTTTTTTTTGTGTGTGTATGATTTGCGAATTATTTCTGTTATTGTTTTTTAATTTTTTTAACTTTTAAGTTCAGGGGTACACGGGCAGGATGTGCAGGTTTGTTACACAGGTGAACATGTGTCACGGGGGTTTATTGTACAGATTGTTTCATCACCCAGGTATTAAGCCTAGTATCCATTAGTTATTTTTCCTGATCCTCTTCCTCTTCCCACCCTCCACCCTCCACCCTCCACCCTCTGATAGGCCCCAGTGTGTGTTTTTCCCCTGTATTTGTCCATGTGTTCTCATCAACAAATCAGGTTTTCTTTTGAAATTTTGTTACCTATGGAATGGTGTATATGCATGTGTGTTTCCACCTAGGCTGTTAAATATTGGCAGTGGATAACCTTATAAGGTATACATGTAAATCCAAAATTGTCGTGACAATTTTTGTGCAGAAGTGATACTGCAGCTAATGAGATTTTAATCAAAGCACAATTCTTGCTGATTGAAAGTTGTCATCAGCTTAGGCAACATAGAAAGACCCTGTCTCTACAACAAAAATTAAAAAAAAAATTAGCTGGGTATAGTGGCCCAGGCTTGTAGTCCTAGCTACTTGGGAGGCTGAGGCAGGAAGACCACTTGAGCCCAGAAGTTCGAGGCTGCAGTGAGCTCTGAGTGCACCACTACACTCCAGCCCGGGTGACAGAGCGAGATTCCATCTCTAAACAAGATTAAAAAGGAAGAAAGAAAGTTGTCATGACTGTTAATATATTGTTAGGTGAGATTAATCATATTTTAATGCTAAACTTTAGCTCAGACATCTCCTCTTAGTTCTAGACCCCTTTGGATTAATGGTACCTCAAATTCAACATATCCCAAACTTATCTCAAACTTGTTCCAATTCCTGCATAACCTAAGTCAGTAAATATATCAGTATCTATCCAGTTTCACAAACCAGAAACTTGGAGTCACCTTTGACCCTTCAGTATCTTTCACCAGATCCAATTCACCAGCTTGCCAATTTTAACTCCTGCCATGGTCTGAATGTTTGTGTCCCCCCAAAAATTCATATGTTGAAACCTAATCTCCAATGTGATAGTATTAAAAGATGGGGCCTTGAAGAGGTGAGGAGGTCATGAGGGTGGAGCCCTCATGAATAGTGTCCCTGTAAAAGAGGACTGAGAGAGCCTCCTTCACCCCTTTCACCATGTGAGGATGCAGCAAGAAGGCGCCATGTACGAGAAAGTGCGCCATCAGCAGACACCGAATTTTCCAGAGCCTTGGACTCCTCAGCCTCCAGAACTGTAATAAATAAATGTTTGTTGTTTATGAGCTACCCAGTCTACAGTTGGTTGTCATAGCAGCCCGAATGAACCAAGACACCTCCTAAATATCTCTCAAATTGGGCATATCTTTCCATTACCATTATTCATAACCAACGTAATCCAAGCCATCTTATCTCACATAAACTATTAGGTTAGCCTCATTGGTCTATGATCATCCATTCTTTTCCACATTAAATCCATTCTCCCCAGTCTGGGCAACATAGTGAGAGCCCAACTCTACAAAAAATTTAAAATAAATTAGCTGGATGTGGTGGCCTGTGCCTATAGTCCCAGGTACTTGGGAGGCTGAGGCAAGAGAATCGCTGGAGCCCAAGAGTTTGAGATTACAGTGAGCTATGATTGTGCCACTGCATTCCAGCCTGGGTGACAGAATGAGACTCTGTCTCTGAAAATAATAATGGTAATAACAATGATACTACTACTACTATTACTACTAATCCCTTCTTGTTAAAACCCAGATTCAGCTTTATTCTTTTAACTGGCATCCTGCTGGATTTACTAGTGCTTTCCATTTATCCCCTCTGTAAAATATACAATCCATGCGCACTGCATAGTGACTGCTCATTGCTAGTAGATGACTCTTCGGGATGCTCACATATTTCTGTTCCTACCTGTGAAGCTGTGTGTTTACTAAGAATCCCTAACCTGTTTTTGTCCCTTTTTGAAATAATTACATAATTTAATGAACCGTTACATAAGTTGATGAAACATGAACACATTCATATTTCAGAGAGGGAGGTTTTTTTTTCCTATAAAAATTAGATTGAATGCTTTGGGAAGACTCAGTAAAGGCAGGTTGCTATAAAAATTGCTGTTTAATTAGGTATAAGTGATAAAGCTGCAAAATATATCAGAAAATAAAACTCTAGGAGGATTCTGCACTCAGAATGCTTGCAAATGTATTTTAGTTCTTTCTTTAAAAAATTGAAATGGAAAATTGTAGAAAACACCGTATAGATAAGAAACAGGCCAAGGAAAGACATTCGTCTAACCCACATTTAAATTATTAAGTTCAGCGTATGATATGATGATATGTAATCCATACAGATAATTAAACAGTTGGTTTGAAAAGCTCCATAAAATAAGAATCATTAAAAATTATACATGAAGACCTTTACCATTTTATTCAAAATGTGCATCCATTCACCAATCTTTCCATGCAGATCCCAGACTTTGTGGTTTGTTGTTGTTTGTTGTTCGTTTGTTTGTTTGTTTTGTTTTCGAGACACAGTCTCACTCTGTCACCCAGGTTGGAGTGCAGTGGCACAATCTGCACTCTCAGATCATTCCCTGATCTTCCTGAGTAGGTCAGATCTCTGTGGTGTTTGCTCTTGTCACATCACTTAACTCTCTATCATAGCTTTCAGCTCAATTGCAATTTTACGTTTATTTTGTATTTGACTCATATCTTCTGTACTAGTTTCCTAGGGCTGCCATAACAAATTATCACAAACTTGGTTTAGAACAACATAAATTTATTCTGTCACCATCCTGGAGGCCAGAGGTCTGAATCAAGGTGTCAGCAAGGCCATGCTCCCTCCAAGGGCTCTAGGGAAATGTCCTTCCTTGCCTCTTCCAGCTTCTGGTGGCTCCTTGTATTCCTTGGCTTGTGGCAGCATCACTGCATTCTCTGCCTTTGTCTTCACGTGGTCTTTTCCCCTGTGTCTCTTAGTCTTTTTCTTCTGTCTCCTATAAGGACACTTACTGGATTGAGGGCCCACCCTCATTCAGGATGATCTCATTTCAAGAAACTTACCTTAATTATATCTGCAAAGACCCTTTTCCAAATAAAGTTATATTCATAAGTTTTGAGTGTGCATATCTTTTGGGGGGCAACTATTCAACCCACTAGGTCTACCTACCCCAATAGACTCTCAGTTCCACAATGGCAAGAATTATATTAGTCTTTGCCTATTACACTGCCTGACACATAGTAGGTGCTCAACAAATATTTATTCCTTGAATGAATAAATGGATCATCTTTTGAAGTGTCTAAACTTACTAAAATTATTAATCAATTAAATGGAAGTATTGGACTACTGAAATGCTGATGTAGGTATGGTGATCACATTTTTAAAGCAAACAGAATTCATTAATTTTTATAAAATAAAAAATTCTCTTCCTCTACAAAGCAAGTACCTGCTATTTTTTAAGTGTACCAAGCCCTCCTTTCCCTCCTTCAATTGACCACTTATTTCACAATCCTTTAGAATAAAACTTGAAGGTCTAAGATCTAATTCCTTCTGGTTTATTATCATTTATCTAAAATTTAAAACATGGTCTACTGATACTAGCCCAGTGAACATTTAGTGATGAAGACATAACTATGGGCATAATAGGAGAGAAGGAATGACAGGAGACCATGCAAAGAGTTAGGACTCATACTCTCTGTCTCATAAATGTAAGCACTTCAAAGTAAGTGTCCTTTAAATATAGCATCTTGAAGTCATGCATTTCTTGACAGCGTTATTGCTGTTTATGACTATTACAGCTTCTAATAATAGTGAAGATTTCACCTAGAGACAAAGGACACAAATTCTCAACAAACCCAAAGCATATCCATCTCCCAAATGTTTGAAGCTCAGGCTGCCCATTTTATTTAAATTTTTGCCTGGAGTCAAATGTGGCACAGCCAGTGTGGTTTCAGCATCGGATGCACACATCCTACAATTATAGAAAAGTATATTTATATTATGAGCTACTGGGCAGAAGCTGTGCCTAGGTTTCCAGACATTATTTGGCATTCTGGAATGTAAGAAAACAATGAGAGGCAGCACAAATGATAATGGTTGTAGAGGTGTCACTATTGACCCCCTTCATGAAACAGTTCCCTGTTAGGAGAGATTAAGGCTGACTAAAAGTAAGTCACTGGATCAAGAGGTCCTGTCTTCTTCCTGATGAGAAACAATTATCAATTTCTATGAAGTCTTCTTTTAGCTGATGAATATGGGAGTGGGCTGTTAGCTTTATTTTCATTCCCAAGAGCTACAGAGAGGAGGAGTTTGAATGCCAACCAGGAAAGGCTGCCATGTGCATTGGCAGATAATTGCAATAGCAATTTATCATTTGTTAAGTGTCTAGAAGGTCCCAAGCATTTTTCCTATATTATAGCAAATCCTCACAACAACCTGGTATGGTAGAGATTCCTAGCTTCAATTTATAGACAAAGAAATCAAGGCTCAGAGAGGCTAAAAAAAATTGGCCTTTAGTCACACAGCTAATAAATATCTCCTAGAATTGGAACCCAGACTGTCTGGCTCCAGACCCCATATATTTTCCACTTTGCCAAGGTGCCTTCCAGAGTTTGCTCTCTAAAGAGAAGAGCCAGTCCTTTGGTGACTTATTGCTAAGAGGGTCTTAGATGGCACTTGGATTTTTTGCTTTTCAAACTGAGATATTCACACCAGCAGGTGTATGACAGGCCAGGGTAAGCAAAACCACAGAATAAACTTGATGCATCTTTCACGTGAAATCATCTATGAGGTCTATTTTATATGAAAATAAACTTTTTAAGATGAAACAAAAGATTGAAAATATATTTCCTGCTTTTGGAAACTGCTTTGGGCTAAACCATCAGATGCCAGATGTGGGGAAAATAGAAATCACATTCATCCTTCTCTACCTTGAGAAGGGCTTCTATAGGAAAGTTCGAGAAATAGTGCAATAACATGGGAAACTTCAGTTGTGTGAGTATATCAGTCAGTGCTCAGTTAGGAAAACAGAACTAGTCTAGGTATTTCAGAGGGAATTTGATATAGGAAATTGTTTACAAAAGAATTGGCAAAGTGCAAGGAGCAAAAAGGGGAAGTTAGGTACCACAGAGAGTAGCCACTGCAAGAAGCTACCCTAGGGACTGGAGGAACCATTACTAGGACTGGAGGAACAAAAGGTAAGAGGTGATGTTTTCAGAGCTCAGAAGCATATTCGTCACTGAAATTAACCACTGCTGCAGCTTTTGGAATCTTGTCACTCTTGAAAACACCAAAGGCCACTGGAGTCTGCAGCTGCCCATCATGTCAAGATCTGCTAATGTCACTGTAGCACCCAGTGGCTGGCAGCCACCAGCAATTGCCCATCACCACAGCTGCTGGAAAAATAGAAGGCCATCTGCTGAGTCAGAGATGCCACCAGAAGGAGGAGAAAAATGTCTTCTGCCTTCCTTCCACCTTCCTGTCTCCCCTCATTCCTTCCCATTGGCAGATCCTAACCCGAGGCCAACAGGCCAGGGAGTCTGGGAAATGTAGTTTGCAGGTTTCTAGTCCCCTCCAACAAACAGATGAGTAAAGAAGGATAGGAATGGTGCAGTCAGGCAATTGACTCACTGTAGCCTATTATGTGTTTAGTAACATATTTCCATAAAGGTTTACCTTATATTCCCCATCCCCCCAGGAAGTTAAGAAATGTGTATCTCATTTGAGAGAAGTATATACAAGTATTCTATGCTTTCCCAAATCTATTTGGTTCCTGAGTTCAGATAGCGAGAGTTTGTATAACAAGTTCAGATAGTGAAGAATACTTTTTTTCTTTTTCTAAAGCAACAAGCCTTTATTATGTGCACCAGTGTCAGGCCTCACATATAGAATCATGGAAGTGCTGAAGGCATCCAATGGATTCACTTCTTGATCCAGCAAGCAATCATATGATGACCTTACTGAGAATAACTTCCTCAGGGAAGGGTTCAGAGTAGTTGCACATTATGCTGCATGGTTAATACGTATTCTGCAAAATGTAAAGCTTTTATATGCCAATATTTTCTTTTTGGCAAACGATGTATACTACAGCCTCCTTTTTTATAGCTTTGCAATGCCTACATACATTGGAGGCTTTGAGCAGTTCTGTAGGTGACAACCCAATTTAATCTCATCTTATTTGATCTTGGAAGTCTCTTTTTACTGACTGCCTTCAGGGCCCTATGACCTGCTGCCACAGGGAACCACCATCAGGGCTGTCAGCCAACGTGTGAAACATGTCCAATTTTTTCTTTCAGGAAAGTGTAATGTAAACTCTGAACTTAATTCTTTGGCTCTAGCTTTCCTTGCTTTGTAACTTTGACAAATTGTTTTTCACCCTCCAAGCCTTCATTTCTTTATCTACAAAATGGGGTAGTAGGGGGGCAGGGGGGTGTGATGGCTCACGCCTCTAATCTCACCACTTTGGGAGGCTGAGGTGGGCAGATCACTTGAGCCCAGGAGTTTGAGACTAGCCTGGGCAACATGGTGAAACCCCATCTTTACAAAAAATACAAAAATTAGCCGAGTGTGGTGGTGTGTACTTGTGGTCCCAGCTACTCAGGAGGCTGAGGTGAGAGGATTGATTGCGCCTGGGAGGCAGAGGCTGCAGTAAGCAGTGATCACGCCACTGCCCTCCAGCCTGAGTGACAGAATGAGACCCTGTCTCAAAACAAAACCAAACAAACAAAAAATGAAAAACAAAATAGAGCAGGTGATATCTATTCCACAGGCTTCTTCTAAAGACAAAATGAGATTATATGCATGCTCTATGGCAAACTGTAAAGTATCTCACCAACCCAAGGATTCTAGGCTTCTCTAAGGTCTACTTGAGGTCCCCAACCCTTAGGGCTGGTCATGATGCCTCTCTGCAGTGTGTCCTCTTGAACAAAATCTCAGTTCTGGAGCCCTTTCTCCTCCTTCCTGCGATTCAATACTTATCTGGGGCTTGTCACAGTCTTCTGGCTCCAGCTCTCAGGTGAATCCTGGAAGTCATAACTGATAAATTTGGCCTTCTGTGTCCCCCTGTAAACCATCCTAGACTCTGTTTCCAGAGATATCATTCTGAAACAGATTTCTGATCTTTTTACTCTCATATTTAAAATAAAACAAAACAAAATTTTCATTAACTCCCCTTCGCTTACCATATCAAATTCAACCCTTCTTAGGTAGATAGTCCCTTTTCTAATCTTATCTGCCCCTCACCTGTAGCATCAAATTTCCTAGTCATCCAGTACACCCCTTGCTCTCTACTAAAACACTAAGAGAGCTGGGTGCCAATTCTGGCAGAGCTACTTATTAGCTGTGTGACCTTGGACATGTTACTTAAACTTTCTGTGCCTCAGTTTTCCTCCTTGGTAAACGGGGATAATAATAATACTTATTTTATGGGATTCCTTTTTAGGATTACATGAGGTAATGTGTATTAAGTTGTTAGTACTGTATGTGGCATTATTAAGTGGGCAAATAATGTCATTTTTTTTTTTACTATTCATACTCTTGTTACTATCAGACCCTCATAATTTCCTTTCTCTTCTCCAGCTCTTTCTTCATCCAGGGATGACTTTCATCTTAGCTTCATCACTTAAAATCTTACTCATTTGTTTTTAATGTAACTTGGACAAATTATTTTAGCGCTCTCAGCCTTTGTTTCTTCATCTATAAAATAGATAAAGTCATATATACCTCATAGGCCTTTTCTATGGGATAAATGAGATTATATGAAAGCTCTATGGCAAATTGCAAAGTATCTTGCAAGCTTTCTCTATAAGCATTCTTTGACTATTTTCTGACTACTTATCTTCACTTTGATATCCCCTGAAAATGATATCCTCATAGGATTTTTGTACTTTATTTTTGGTATTTGTCATATCACAGCCTTGCTATAATTTGCCTTGTTATTTATATACATATATAGATTGAATACTTCTTAAAGTTAAGATTGATGTCTACAGCTGATGCAGTACAAGGCAGCAAAGTAAGTTTGCTTAATTGAATTGAAACCCAAATTTATAATACAGCTTTAGTTGCTTTGGTCGATAACATGGGTTTGCAAATTTTATTTGCACATTTCTTTACCCCAGGAAAGGGATCTCCAAAGGTGGGATTTCAGCCTTCACTGAATAGGCTATTAGTATAGAACAGTGCTATTCCAAGGGTGGTTTCCAGACCAGCAGCAGTAGCATCAGCAACTGGGTGCCTGTTAGAGCTGCAGAACCTTGGGGTCCACACCAGTCCTACTGAATCATATTCTCCGGGGCTGGGTAGGAATCTGTGTTTTAACAACCTGCTAAATTCTTATGCATGCTAAAGTATCAGAAGCATTGGCATAGACAGTATGCATGAAGAAAATTTTAATTTTCTTCATTTGGCATTTTATAGAGGAGTGCCTATTTGTAACAGTCGTCTGTTTGATCAAAGGCAATTTATTTTAGCAAAATGTACCATGTTTTCAAATAAGCAAAATTTCTTAGAATTTAACAGAATTTCCTCTAGTTCCTCAACGTATGAGTAGTAATTTTTATTGGTTTATCATATCTATGGCAAATTTTAATTTCAAAAAGACAGAGAAAAAAGACTAAGAGGTAAAAGGGCACCGACTGGTACTTATTAATCAAGTCTATAAAATTGTGACTTGTTTTTGCAAGAATGTGAGACTGTTGATCGTATCCTTCTTAGAAGGGCTATCCCAGACTGTTAAATGGAAAAAAATAAAAACATCTTAAGTGCTCTCTTTTTACACTTTGAAGGCCTTATCCTTCCATACTGAAAAATGGGGATTCTATATTGCAAAGAGTAATGGGTCATGGCTGGAACCTGTTATAAATGTCGTCTTCCTGGCTGTGGGAATAAACACTTCAGAGCTTAGATAGTAATTATTGTCACATGAAAAGCAGGGAGGCATATTATAACTTCTCAACTGTCAGAAAGCCCTCTTCTTGCAAATGGCAGCACTTCACAGGGACTTTTACACTGTACCGTTTATAATTTTCATGGCTGACCTGTTATTTTAAAATACCAACAGGAAGATTAAGAATGTTGACAGGAAAGCAGTACCAACCAATGCCCTTTGGTCCTCCTAAACTTGAACCAGAAAGCTCCCTTGCCTTTTAAGGAAGATTATAATCTGCTAAAATAGAAAAAGGAATGACAAAAGGATTATGTCCTATAATAAGTTTAGGACAATCCAGAATTTTCCTTAAGTAATTGCAGACTGCAGTGTGATTGTTTACATGTGTTTGTTCTGACTGGGCAATTTGGGCATAGATTGTTTCTAGTACAAGAGTAGGACAAAGGATGGAAGAGATTTTTGCCTGAAAGTTTGATCCGTTCCTGAACTCTGGACTGTTTCAGGACCTCATCCTTTGGTAGATTGCCAATGAAATAAATCATACAAGACTTTTGTGAAACATGTATTACCTCAGGACATTGGGACTTCTAAGCAGATAGAACTAAATGGGATTAAGTAAATTAATACTTGTAAAGCACATTGCATAATGCCTGGCACAGGGCAACTGCTATATAAATGTTTGCTAAATGGGACATTCTACTCTGAACAAAGAGAAGTTCTATCTGTATTTCTAGGAATATTTTGGATTAGAAAATGAATGCATCTTGAAAGAAGGGTATCCTAGGGTTCAGGCTGTAGAACCCCACAATGCAGTTGGCACCAATTATCTTTTTAGCTGGTGACTGCCATATATGCCAAATTTCTACTTAGGATTCCTTGTGGCAATGCAGAGTTGCAGAAAGCACATTGCATTTGGGGTCTCATTCTAGACATAGCATGGCCACCTATTAGGTAAGAACCCTGGGCAAGTCCCTTCACTGCTCCCTGATCCTCATTTTCCTTAGATGTAGAGGCTCACATTAAATACGTCTAAGAACTTTATAACTTGAAAGCATTATTCACATGGATGGTTTTATCCTCAGATATTTACTTGTGGTATAACCGTGGAGTTGGGGCAGCTTACATATTTGGTGAGTCACCAGGGATGAATAGCTGAGTTGACATATTTTCCAGAGGAATGGCGGGATGCTACAGCAGGAATGTCAGGAAACTCCTTTTGAATGAAATGGCATGGTGGGGGAAGGAAGAGAATCCCTCAGTTGCTGCCACAAAAACTGTCAGAAATTAATGGAAAACATTTATTGTAATTGTCACAGCTTCTTGCCTATCTAGCATGCATTCTGCCTTATTTTCTAACAGAACTGTGCATTTTTTTTTTCAGCCATGTGTCCTGGGGGAAGCTAATCTCATCCACCTCTTCAGGGATGCCTGATTGACTTAAGTTTATTCCTATTGTCCTTAAATGGACACGTGATCAACTCTGGCCAATGAGACTGAAGAAAGCTGCTGAGGGGACTTCTGGGAAAAGTTTCTTCACCCCCAAGAGGGAGCCACAAAAAGAAATAGTCTCTCTTTTACTTGTGAGCTAAAACCAGCCATCCCAACTGACATGGGACTTCCCATAGATTATCTTATCAATCATCACAGCAGTCTTTGGGATAGGTGGTGTTGTCCCCACTACATGGAATGAGGAAACCAAGAGGTTAAGTTGCTCAGGGTCACCCAACATCTAGGTGGAAGATTTAGAACCCAAATTGATGTCTGTTCAACTTCAAAGGCTGTGCTCAAGTTGTTGTTGTGGTCTAAACTTTGCCTCAGATGAAAACTTGTCAAGAGGCAGTATATTTACTGTGCTGTGGCCATGAAGCTAGCAGAAACTGGGAGCTGGATGGTCTAAGGGTTTTTCTTTCTTTCTTCCTTTTTTTTTTTTTTTTTTTTGATGTTGGCTTTGCTGTCCAGCATTTGACCTTTCTGGACCTCCATTTCATCATGTGTAAGACAGTTGGACCAGATGTTTATTGAGGTTCTTTTTGGCTTTGAGATCTTTCGAAATGATGCTTGGTAAACAACAGGGAGGGATAAGAGAAAATGAAAAAACATACATTTGGTATCTTGAGAAAGGGCACCAGGCAGGATTTCCCCTTTCAGCCTGAGGTTCAGGGTTACAATGCATCAGTGATGTTGCTGAAGAACAGCAGAAAGTTCCGCATGGCATTCAATGGAACAAACCAAACCAGCTAAGATCCTTGCTACAATAAGAGGAACAGAGCTAAAAAGAGGCCAGATAAGGGATATTTTCTGTAGGATCCTCCTCATCAATCCAGCCAGCTTGATGGCTGAGTTCCTGAAGAGGGAGTTAGGCTCTGAGGAGCATTTGTGCTTTCACTTCCTTCCATTCCCAGAGTGCTTAAAACAGGGTGGGGCAGGGGTATATGAGGCATTTTTCAATACTTGACTTCTGTTTGCTTCCTATTGCTGGAAAAGTTTCTGTGATGTTATCACCAGAGATAGCAATAGTGCTTAGAGATTCTTCAGCCCTGAATCATGAAGGAAGGGCCCCTTGCAGGAGACACTGCAGCTCTCATTTGGGGCCAAGAAAGGAGTGGAGACTCTTCTAGATAGCATGAGTCCATTAAGCCCCTTTCTGATCGATGTTAGTTTTCTAGGGCTGCCATCGCAAAGTATCACAAACTGGGTGGCTGAAAACCACAGTTTATTGTCTCACAATTTTGAAGGCTACAAGTTAAAAATCAAGGTGTCAGCAAGGTCATGCTCCCTCTGAAACCTGTAGGGGAGAATCCTCCTTGGCTGCCTCCTAGCTTCTGGTGGTTGCTGGCAAACCTTGGCGTTCCTTGGCTTGTAGGTACATCACTCCAGTCTCCGCCTCCATCATCACATGGCCGTCTTCTCCCTGTGTATCTCTTCTCTTCTTATAAGGATACTAGTCATATTGAACTAAGTGTGCACATAAGGTTATATTCTGAGGAATTTGGGGCTAGGAATTCAATATATATTTTAGGGGGACATAATTCAACCATGCACCCTTCTAGGTAAACTTCTACCCATACCTAATTGAGTTCTTGCTATATGAGGCAGTGAGTTTGTCTATTTGGGGTTGCTTTTCAAAGCCAGTCTTTATGTTTGTTGAAAAATGATTCTATCTTCAAGAAATTGTATGGGATGAAGGAGGAGCTGGATGTTCCTGGAGCAGCAGCCAAAGGATGTGGTCCCCCAGATCAGAGCTTCTCAAATGTAGTAGGCACACAAATCCCTGAAGATCTTGTTAGAAAGCAGATTCTGATGCAGTAGGTCTAAGGTGAGACCTGAGATTCTGTCTTTCTGATGAGCTCCCAGGTGATGCTGATGCTGCTGGTTCCTGGAGTAGCAAGGGTCTAGATCTAGAATAGATGGTGGTCACATCTGTTTATGCAGAACAACTAAAATGTATCATTCTTGGGAAGTTTCAAAACTTCAGCTGTATACTAGCCAGAAAAATTCCCAGTAAACTAAGTCAAAATATCCCAAAATGGGAAAGAGCAATTCAATTATTTTTTTTCATGTGAGAATGAAGTCAGAAACATCTGTGTACATTCATCTGGATGGATACAGTGATTTCTAACTTCTGGACCACGCTGAATATTTGAGACGTGCATGTCAGAAAGATTGTTAGGAAGAGACCGACTTCAAGATTTAGGGCAACCAAGCAACTTTTACCTCGGTGTGCTAGGAAAACATCATTTGGAGAAGCTTCAGGCCAGTGTTGACAGGGACTGACTACCTCCTTCTTTGAGAAGTCAAACAGCCAGATTTCTTTGGGTTCAAATCCTGTTGGGGTCTCAGTCTCAGGGCCCACCCAGATGATCTCTGAAGACTGCAGCTGTGGCTTTGCTCCCACCCACACCCATAACCCTCCTTGCTTGCCACTTCCCTTAGCCCCTCAATGATTCCCAGATGCTCCCCATCCATGCTAGTCAGAGGCTGGACCAGCATGTAGAAGGACCAGGTGGCGGAGCCAGGGTGTATCCCTTGGAGGGTCCAGCCTCTGGATGAACTTCTGCAGAGCAGGTTCCAGAGAAGAGAAATCCTTTTGTGATGTCAGAGGCTGGCAATTTGGTTTTCCAAGTTCAAGAATGACCTGATTATTTCCAGCTCGAAAACACCCATGCACTATTGGATATCTTACAATACTTAGTTGGAAGTTTCTAGGAAGATAGTTGTCTGAGTGTTTGGCACGTTGCATCTTTTGGGTCAGAATGTTAGTTTGTTTCCATGGTCAGTACTGTGACTATAGGATTTGTAATGAAATCCAACTGTGTCAGACTACAAATCCCTGTAATGTCTTCTCATAGTTGAAAGAATGGGGAGAAAGAGAACAGCACAGAGAGTTTTGGTTACCTATTGCTGTGGAACAAACTACCCTAAAACTTAGTGGTTTAAAGCAACTACTATTTTAGCTGCTCATGATTTTGTAGGTCAAGTATCTGGAGAGGCACGGTGAGGGTGGCTTGCCTCTGCTTCACAATGTCTGGGTCCTTGGCTTCGGTGGCTTGAATGGTTGGGAATTGGTTGAGATGGCTCACTTGGGGTCATATGCTCGGGTCTCAGTTCTTTGCCATGTGACTTCTTTATGTGGCTAGCTGGGCCTTACCATGGTGGTCTCAGGATATTTAGGCTTCTTATAATCAGACAGTGGAAGCTTCCAGGTTTCTCTGAGGCTTGGCGCTCAAAGGCTTGGCTCAGAGCAAGCACATTGTCATTTCTGTCATATTCTATGGGTCAAAGCAAGTCACAGGGCATGCCCAGATTCAAGGGGAGGGAAAATAGACTCCAGCTTTTGATGGGAGGAGTGGCAAAGAATTGGTGGACACTTTTAAGCTACACAGAGACAGAAGTGGAAAGAAACATTTTTGTTCATGTTCTATCCAGGTTCTGATCAGATTAGTTCAGCTCAAGCAGTCAACAGAGTCCCCTGTGATTCCCGGCCTCAGATTTCTAGTGGCCAATTTTTAACTTTAGGGTAGAGTCAGCAAGTGGCCTTTGAACCTTCAGCTACACACACTCACTTGGTCTTTTCATTTTTATTTTTCAAAACTTCCCTTTTGCTTTTCTGCCTTCCAATAGCAAGTCCTTTCTAGATGAAGGCTTTGTTCAAAAAAATTCTTTTATTATGTATTTTTGTTGTTTTATAAAAATCATCTAAGCAATACATAAATACCTTTTCATTTGCAAAATTATGATGATGTGGCAGTACACATAGTAAAATGTAAAAGTGCCTCTTCACTTTGTCTGTCCATCTACTCACCTTCCCAGAAGCAACAACTGCAGTTTCTTGTCTCCCTTTATACCTTTCTCTATACATATATATTCAAGTACATGTACATATGCTCATACACAGCCTTTTTTCTTAAATAAGATCTACACTGAATTATTCTGCAAGTTACTTTTTCCATGTACTACTATGTCATGGTGATTGTTCTGTATTAATATAGCCATGCACTTCTTTCTTTTAAATGGCTTCATATTATTCTATTGAATTGATATGGTATAATTTATGTAATGACTCCCCTGAGAATGGACCTTTAATTGTAATTTTTTTAAAAAAATGGCAATCGAAGTATTTTTGCATCTCTATGTTTTTGTACATGTGCATATATTTCTATACTTCTATGCGATAGATGCCTGGAGGTGTAATAGCTGGGTCAGATAGCATGGGCATTTTCACTTTCAATAGATACAGACAATTGATCCTCAAAATCTGGAATACCAAATAATACTCCTCCAATCCATTCTCTCAACAGTGAGAAATGTCACCCTTGACAACAGTGAGTATTACTAATATTTTCAATTCTTCCAGGTTGATTGATGAGTAAATATATCTCACCATTGCACTTCTTTCCTGTAATTATTGGTTATTTATATTTTTACTCTGAAATATCCTCTGTCATTTGCGAAGTTAAATAGTATGCTCTTTTTATTTTTGCTAAATATTTATGGGAGCTTTTTATGTATTAATCCTTTGTTAATTCCTAAAATGAAATTCCCAGGTGTGAAATTGCTGGGCTAAGGGAAGGCTTTTGACATTTCCTAGTTGAGTTTTAGGGAACCTTCTCAAGTCTTCCTTCAGATTACACTCTTGAAAGGGGGTAATCCCATCTCATTGAAGAGTTGAGTCTCATTTCTTGACAGTATACAAGCTTTCTGTATCAAAGAAATAAAGCTGTGAACTGTACACTACTATATTCTAAGGCTGTTGAGGGCCAACTGTGATTAGCTACTTTGCAAATAATTGGCAAACTTCTTGAATGTAGCTGAGCTGATGGGGGCTCATTAGTCACTACCAGAGCCAAGGAAGATCTTTCATTCAACGGTAGTATAATTTTTCTTGTTCCTGAAGATTTATGAGGAGAATCTAGACTCTGGTTAGTTGCTGAGCTATTTTTTTTGAATACCTACTATGATCTAGGCACTGTTGTAGGCCCTGTTGCTTATTCTTATGATCTAGAATCTCCAAGGAAGAGGTCAATTTCTGAATATGGCAGTACAGTTTGAAAAGGCCATTTGCAGTTCCAGATTTTTCTTTTTCTTTTTTGGTGATTTGAATTTTATGTTTTGTGAGGCTGAGTTACAGAACTGTATCATTTAGCCACTAAATTTAGCTGACCACTTAGCCTCTGAACCTCAACATGGTTCCTGTGTTCTCTATTCACGTCAGGTACAAAGCAGTTAAAAATGTTTCTTTGTTAGACACAGCCATAAGTGAAAGAGAAAACACTGGTAGAAGTTGAAAAGGCAGATAACTTGTGGTGTGTGGACATGCACAGGAAATAAGCTACTCTTAAAGGAAATATGATTTAGGAGATAGCCAGGAGCTTGCACAAACATTTGTTATTTGAGAGTTTAGAAATTTGCAAAGGTTGCAGGCTATACCTTAGCAGTCTTCTGCACATAATACAGTTTAAACACATTTCATTAAAAAGTGGTGCTACAGAAACAATTGTGGTTAATTTGTGTTTCAGTTATTTGAAGACTTTAAAATCCAGAACACTAAATTGTGTGCCATGAGTGACTGAAGAGTTGTAACTCTGGGAGGTGATTTTCATTGTTGTTTGTTCGTTGGATAGACTAGTGACCAGTTGAAACCTTTGAAGCAAATGTGGGTACTTTGCACATGCATAGCATGGGTGTGTTGGCTGTCGGTGCTCTCATTAATTAGAGGATCACAGCTAATCGTAGTGTGATGCAGGCACATTGGATTTAAAGTATGAAGATTTTATTTGAGTCCTAGCTCTCTTCCTAATTGACTCTGTCAGCTTTGGGAAGTCACCTAATCTCAGTGCTCCATTTTCTTGTCTGCACAACTAAATATGCTGGTCACAGAATTTTGTAAAAACAACCTTTAGATGGGACCCCAACAACCTTTGGAAGGGAAGGTAGTTCACAAACATAAAAAGGCTCTTTCGGCTGGGTGCGGTGGCTCACGCCTGTAATCCTAACACTTTGGGAGGCCGAGACAGGTGGATCAGCTGAGGTCAGGAGTTCGAGACCAGCCTGGCCAACATGGTGAAACCCCATCTCTACTAAAAATACAAAAAATTAGCCAGGTGTGGTGGTGGGCACCTGTAATCCCAGCTACTTGGGAGGTTGAGGCAGGAGAATCGCTTGAACCCAGGAGGTGGAGGTTGCAGTGAGCCAAGACCGCGCCATTGCACTCCAGCCTGGGCAACAAGAGGGATACTCTGTCTCAAAAAAAAAAAAAAAAAAAAAAAAAAAGCTCTTTCAATGTGAGTTTATTATTTTGTCATAATAAAAAGAGGGGAATTGTATGCATGCATGCATTTATTCATCCATTTTTCCATTAACAGTTTCTGATTACCTGCCATGAGCCAGGCATTGTGCTAAGTGCTGGAATAACAAAATAAACAAGACCTGGTTTCTGCCTAGTAGGAGTTTACAGGCCAGTGGAGATGGTTGTCAAGATAATGTCTAGTCCAGTCAGTGCTGTGCTGGAGCTGGCTCATTCAGGCTTACAAGAGCTGACTGTTAAATTTTTAGAAATTCTGTCAGTGGGTTGTTAAACATGGCCATTACTAAAAATTAAGTTATACGGTAGTTGACTCCTATTATTTGTGGATTCCATATTTGTGAATTCACTTACTCACTAAAATTTATTCGTAACCCCCAAATCAATACTTGTGGTCATCTGTGGACATGTGCGTGTGCAGAGTTGCGAAAAATTTGAGTTGCCCGACGTGCACGTTCCCAGCTGAGGTTGAACAAGGGCTTCTTGTTTCAGCTTTCATACTATAAACAAGCGTCCTTTTCGTGGTATATTTAGTGCCAGGTTTTTCACATTTTTCTGCTTTTTGAGGGTGATTTCACTGTTTAAAATGGCCTCCAATTACAGTGCTGAAGTGCTGTCTAATGTTCCCAAGCACAAGAAGGCTGTGATGTGCTTTATGGGGAAAACATACGTGTTAGAGGAGCTTCATTCAGGCATAAGCTGCAGTGCTGTGGGCCATGATTTTGGTGTTAATGAATCGGCAATAAGACATCTTAAATAGAAACACATATAAAATATAGTTGGTTGACGAAAATGCTTTGACCAGAGGTTCACAGGAACCCAACTCTGTATGTCTTCTAGAAATGTTGATTTGATATTTGCTGATTTAGTGTTTGCAGCAACTTTGTAGAACAAAAGTACCATGAATAATGAGAATTGACTGTATAAACTTACAATAAAATAAATTATATTATACGAAAGGTAATAAATACTAAAAACTCTTCACTTCCTAATTATTTTGCTACATACTACTATTATCCATGATCTTGAGATTATTTCTATTTTATCTGTAGGGTAGAAATACTATATAATGGGGGGTGCTACTGTGCATTTCTTCCCAAACCCCCATGTTCAGTGACATCAAATCAGTAGTTTGACATTGGCCAAGGTGGGAGTATTTTACATCATGGAAATGGGTAATGGCTACAAATCAAGGCTTTTTCTCCCAGCTCCCACCCAGTTGTTAAACATTTACCAGTACACAACTGCCTTCAGTTTTTTTTTTTTTTTTTTTCAGACAACTGTCCTTTGGCTCTTGGAGCCAACTTTCACGCACTAGGAGAAAACCTAAAGTTATAGGGAGTTTATCTCCTTGTACGTCCACCTCAGGTCCATTAGCCAATGACTGACTGGTGTTCTCATGCCTCAGGGTGGGATTCACACTTCAGAGCATTCCTTGGGATCCAGATGAGTTGTGAGCCCCAAATGCTTGAGATCATACCCTTGTTTGGCTTCCTCCTCTTCCCTGCCTTGCTGTTTTCTTATTCTTACTGGTTTCTCCTGGGAGCTCTTCCTTGATAAATCACTTGCACGCAAATCCAAGTCTAGGGTCTGCTCTTGAAGCACCCCATCTAAGACAGTACTCTAGCAAACCTGGGAAGGAAGTCGTGGGGTCTGCAACCTGGGTGTGTGTGGCTCAGGTTGGCCCCAAAGATTGACTGATAGATCTCGATTTTCTGGTTCTAACTCTTCCTTAAGAAGCCTTTGCTTTCTGATTTTATCCTTCAATTTAAATGTTTAAATGACTTTTAACAGGCATGAATTCAAAGTTTTTCAACTTTTGTAGTTGCCACTTATGTGCTCAAGACATTCACATTTTGATAAAATATGAAAGATTACTGGGATATTCTTTACTCAGCTTAGCTTCTTGGTGGGTTTTCCTCTGCTGAGCTCAGCCAGTGGCCTTGAACTCTGACATGCAATAACAAATCAAGTTTTCATCAAATTCTTCTTAGCCTGTTCAGAAACAAAAACTCATAAGCAATGCTGCAATAACTTCCTTTGAAATTCTAATTGGCTCCACTTTGATAAAAATGTGATAAGCACTCAAGAAGCCCACTGTGCTGTTGTATACAACTGGAATATGATTCTCTTCATAGTTTTTTAAAAAAATTTTAAATTATTCTTGCTATAGAGTTAGCAAGTGCCAGTTTGGATGCATGGTCTTGGTAATTGTGCAGTAATTAAATGCTTGCCTGGGAAAACAATTTTAGAACACTGAATTGCTTTATTGCATTTTAAAAGGCTGAAAGGGGCATTCAATCAGGTGGAGACAATGTGTTTGTCTTCTAAACAAGACTTATCATAAATTATTCACATGGGCAAAGACTGAATTTGAAAAGGAAGAAACTTGGGGACATAGGGCAATTATTGCTCCAACAGTCATTGTAGAGTTTAGTAGGCCTCATAAAAGGAGGCCTGTCTCAAAGATTCCAGGCAAGGTTTTGAGGATGAGGAAGAAGTGCTTCCTTAACTAATCTGATTTTTTTAAACTGAGACTGCTGGGAGATTTTGCTTACTCTCCTGGATGCCCCTGTGGCTCAAACAGCTCTGTAGAAGAAAGAGTTACCGTCAACTTCTGTTCAATTATATAATTCAGAGGAAAGCATAAAAATATGACTTTGCAAAGTGTGACATGGGTGAGAGAAACATTAGTATAAACACTGGGCATCAGATGCTTCACAGGGGCTTTTAGCTATATTTATAATTTTGTATTTGCCCTGGAATTCTTTTTATTAAGGAATAATTTACCTACAGTAAAATGCATAAATCTTAAGTGTATAGTTTGATGAATTTTTATCTATACACTCATGTAACTACCACGCAAATAGATACAGAACAATTTCATCACCCCAGAACATTTCCTCATTCTCGTTCCCCAATAACATCCTCTCCCAGAGGTAACTACTATTCTGAATTTTAAGATACAGATTAGTCTCATCTGTTTTTGAAATTCATATAAATAGATGCACTCTATTTTTTGGTCTGGCTTCTTTCACTTATCATAATATATTTGAGATTCATCCATGTTGTAGTGTGCATCAATAGTTCATTTTTTTTTATTGCTAGGTAGTATCCAGTTGCATGGATGTACCATAGTTTGCTTATCCAATCTCTAATTGATGAATTTTTCCTCAGTTTTTACTTGCAATGAGTTAAACTGCTATGGAACACAGTTTTATACACAGTGTACACAACAGGGCTGTTTGGGTACTTCTTTTAGATATATACCCAAGAGTGGCATTACTGGGTCTGCCTTTGAAATTTACTATAAAGAAAAAGAAAAAAAAAGGATACCAATAGGAAGAGTGCAGAAAAAAATGATTGTCTTTCCAAAATCTGTTCTTAGCAAAGTGAGAAAGAAATCTTGTACTACCTGGTGGCATTGTTTCAGCATTTAGACTTGGACTATCTCAAGTTATTGCTTAGCCATGGGGGATTAGAGAAACAGAATTCAGGTTCTTTCTTGATGAGATACAGGCATTGTATGTCTGAATGGATGGAAGTGTTCAAGAGCCCGTGCAATGGAATGCTTGGTACCTTGGAGAATTGGATTAATTTGAGACTTGTCACCTGGAAACAGGACTGTCTGGTTCACCTTGGGATCACCTTTGGCCACGGATAATCAAACTGTTGAGGGGAAAGAGTGGATTACGAAACCTCAGTGCAGCCAAAGTGCCATGGGGCCACCAGAGGTGACCTAGTTGGTCCCCAGGTGATCACATTTGAGATTTATTCTTTACAGCAACCCTCATAATGGAACAGGGCTGCAGACCAGCCTAACCACACACAGAACAAAGGGCTGACAGACTTGTGAACAAAGGGCTGACAGACTTGTGAAGGGGTTATGGCGCCCCCTGGGGGACACTGAAATGTTCCTCTTGTAGACCTAACTTTCCGGTCTGGGGTCAAGTTCAACTTGTATTGATTGAGTAACCTGTAAGACATCACCACTTCAGTAATCCTCTTCAAAGGTTTCAGAATAAAGTATTTGCAATTTTATTGGGAGCAACTCAATTCAGGGGAAGCTGAAGAGGAATACATGTGATGTGTAAGTTCTCACAAGATGGGAGGGGGAATCTTTTCCGGTTTATTTTGTATTGTTTCTGGTAGAAAGGCTCTACATGATTGGGTAATTTCTAATATTTACTTTGTTAATGAAGGTGATAGGATAAGATGACAACTCCATCTGCAAAGTTCTGCAGGCAAAATGCCTCTCCAAAATGGTTGTGAGCCTTTTGTGTCTTGCTTGCTCAGGGTGTAAAATGAGCGATTCTCAACCCAAATCAGTACCACTCTCCCAGTGAGCAGTTGGAAGTGTGTGGGAGCATTTTTGATTGTCAGAGTGACTGGGGTACAGGGGGGTGGTGCACTACTTCCATTTGCTGAGATGGAGGAGGGAGAGAAAACTTCTAGTATGAAGGAGAGTTGTCCTATCCTAAATGCCAATAGGGTCCTTGTTGAGAAATACTTTACCCCCCGTCAGGTGATCTGGAGACAGTTATGTGCAATTCATATTCAGAAGGTTTAACTACACAAACAAAATATGTCAAGCAAGTGAAAGCAGATTTAAGGAGCGTATTCAGAAAGAAGTGTAGTTAAGCCTGTTTTTGGACATTTAGAGAGCATGATCACTTTGCCCAAAACCGAAAAGGAGCACTGGCCTTAAGTGGAATACGGAGGTGGAGGAATTTGTTTTCCAGGCTCCCCAGCATTTCTTTCTTCATCCTCTTCCAAACAATCACTGATCCTGCTCCCCTTCTCCCTTGCTTCTTGGGATGACGAAGCAGCTGACAAATCCATTAAGTCGTGAGAATTTTCTCTTACTCCTCCCAGCAGGATATCAGGAAGAGAAGACTCTCAAATGTTGAAATTTCAAATGTGGGCGAGGAAGGTAGGTGTCTTTTGGCTGTGGGATCTTTCTAGAACTTCTTAAATTATTCCTGGGCAAGTAATAACTCATTTTCTTGTTGGGCTGGCTTTAGATGTGGAAACCAAAGTGTTAGCGTTTGCTGTAACCATGGCAAGGAGAGGGAAGAAGGATTGGATACCTTTGTAAATTTATCGGCAAATGAATGAGCTGAACAAGAATCCTTTGGAGTATATAGTTTGGAATGTGCTGTGTGTGACATTGCTTTGTAAACTTTAAAGTACTATGCAATTTTGATGTATTTTCATCATGCCAACACTTCCTTGAATTTCTCAAAACACTAAACTCAGAATCTTACACAAAATATCCGTTCAGTAAATGTGTCCCAAATGAAACAAATATTAGGTATAAGGAGCGGCAGTGGAGGTTATGGAACAGGGTCTCATGTTGCCATATCTATCAAGGGCTAACATGCCTCTACTTGGATGGGGCTATTCACTGATAAGGAAATCTTGCTACAGTATTCTTTTTGCTTCCATTAAACATTTCATGGGAGGGAATTCTCACTATTCCTTTGTGAACAAGATTGATGATAGATCTCCCTCAGGCTTCTGAATAACATGAAATTATTCTGTATCTGTTTAATGTACAAAGGGAGGACCAGGGGGGACTACCCATAGTGTCATCATTATCCATGAGAATCCAATTATAGGAGCCCCTGGGATTGTTGAACTCAAGATTGCAGGATCCAAATGTTAGGGATATCCTGGTCACTTCCTTCCTCACTTGGGAGAGAATTAGAAATGACAAGATCTTAAACATCTTCCTACATTTATTGAGCAACCATTGTGCCAGCCACTATACTATGCACCAGGGACATGAAAGTGAGTATGACACAGTCACTGCCTTCATGGTGCTCACAGTCTGGGGAGGGTGCTGGCCAGGGAGTCTCAAACTTGGTTGGAGATTATAGTCTCCCTTAAAAATTCCCATACCCAAGTCACACTCCCAGTTCAATAAAATCAGAATCTCTGGGGGTAGAACCCAGACTTCAATATTTTTTAGCGCTCCCCAGGTGGTTACAAAGTGCAGTCAAGGTTGAGAAACATCGAGAAAGGAACAAATCTGTATTGGGAAATTTTAGATTAAAACATGACAAGTGCTTGGTGGAGATAAAAACAAAGTGCAGCTGGAGGAGCACAGAGAAGAAACTATTGCACCCAAGAAAAGCTCTCCGTGTATGTCATCAAGAGAATTAGAAGAGCACTAGAAAGTGGTGAATTCTGGACGTAAGAGTAAGGGTGGCATCCGAATCATTTTCTGGTGGAACAAATTCCCCTTTGCATATTAATCATTATTCATGGTGGTGGGGGGCTGTGTGAAAGCAAGGGTTGATAATTCATGCACTATACTTCCCACTCCTTTCTTCTTTCTGTCTCCCTGCCCTTTCTTTATTATAACCTGTGGCACATATGTGGTACACTGAATGCTAGGTAAAGGTTAGTGGTTGCTAATATATTAAAAGAAAAAGGGAAAATGAAAGCTTACTGTTTCTCTCTGCTTGTGAGAAAAGCACACGAATACACTATGTGGTGTAGTCATGTGGCTAAGCCTAGACCTCAAAATAATAATCAAAGGCCTTAACATATTAAATTGATAACTCTAAATATATTAACTGTGGTCTTCACAACACCCCTCTAAGAGAAGTATCTCTGGTTCATGGGTGATGAAACTGAGGCCCAGAGAGGTTGATTAACTTGCCAAAGCCCATGTCTATTTGGTGGCACACATGAGATTAAAATCCATGTCAGTCTGACTTGAAAGGGCTGCTTCTCAATTTGCATGTGAGCTTGTTATGGCATGTGGGCATGTTGATGGATTTGTGGGATATATCTTAATATCACAGTGAAATAATAGAGCTGGTGGCTAATTTAGTGTTTTTACCAATACCACTATCACCACCTCCATCACTGAGCGTGTGGATCTGTTGGATGAACTCTTGAATAAATCAAAATGGAAAGGGGAAATATCTAGGAGGGAAAAGTGATTTGAGGGTTCACTGGGGTGTAAGATTACAAAAATCATGAGAGTTATAGAGTATCTAATGGAGTTTTTAGTAAAAAGCATGGGACAGCATTTAATTGTGCATTTTAGAGGAACAAGCTTCTGAAATGTGAGACCAATTGGCTACAAAGTAGAGACTCAATGCCACAAGATCCTTAAAGTGATCTGAGTGTCTGAAAAATAAAAACAGAATGAAAAGCCAACTAGACTCTAAAAAACAAAAGACAGAAGCCTGGGGATTACCCCATTTCCCCCTGTCTCTTGAAGAAAACTAGAGAATGTAGTTTTGATAGTTTTGTTTTAAATTCTTGTAGGGGAGTAATATTTAGATGGTAACCCCTGCATGATCCATCCACAGGAATTCATTTACTTCTCTTTCTTGCACCATTCAGGCAGCAGTGAAACCTTTCTCTACAGATTGCTCCCAAGGTAGGGTAGTTATAGCAGGAAAATAGAAAGAAATGACTTTTCACAGCTTTTGAGCTTCTAAATAAATTTTTAAGGTTTTGAGCTTTACTGGCATAGTTTTAACACTATCAGAGCCAAAATTTCTGCTATAAACCAGTAGTTCTCAATCCTCTCCTTGCATTAGAATCACCTGAGGATGTTGTAAAGCCTAACAGTGTCTGGACTCCACCTGCAAAGACTCAGTTTTAATTGATTTTTGGTGGACATTCACATATATATATATATATACTTCCCAGAGGATGCATTGTGCAACTAGGGTGGAGAGCCAGTATCTTAAACACTTGTTTCCAAACTTTGTTGCACATTAGAATTGCCTGGCAGCTTTTAAAATCCCCAGTGGCAAGGCTACACCTGTACCAAATCCCCAATGCCAAGGTTGTTCCCAGACCAATTAAGTTAGAATGTGTGGGAGGTGAGAGCTAGGTGCCTTAAACAATATATTTGGGAAATATTTCTGATGAGAGTTGTACTTTGACATTTCCAGAGGCTGGCAAGTGAGAGGAAGGTAGAAAGGAGAGAGAGAGAGAGTAGCTTAGACATTGGTGTGTCCTTAAGAAGGGGCTCAGTGACCCCCGCACAACTCCCTGTCCCGGTCAAGTTAAGATGTTGGCACAGGCAGTGATGTGCTGGCAAATGTTTAAAAGATGGTTCTTCAAGGGGAAAAAAAATCCCCTAATTTGCAGTTCGTCAATTTTTGGTGTAAATACTCCCACTATGGCCAGTTTCAAGTTACCAGTGTGACATCATTGATTGTGAAGTTGGAAAGAGATGCACACAATTTGCTCTAGGAAGCCCGTATGAGCTGGCTCCAGCATGCTACTGGGTATGAGCATGATAAACCCCTCAGATAGGTTTGGGGATCTGAGGGTAGAGAGAATCTTGTGCTTTATTTTTGGGCATGGACAGAAAAGGGATGAAAAAGTCTAAGTTCTCCCCACAATGTATCATCTAGAGTGGAAGTGGGGGCACATCTAGGAGAGTCTAGGTAGGAAGGGCATGAGACCAACTCTCAAGTCTCTTGTTGCTTTCCAGTGGTATCAGAGAAGATCCAGATTTTTCTGTACCCCTGGGAGCATTATGGAAGTGGCTAGGCATAGGTTGGGAGAATTCAAGGGGCCTTGAGGTTAGAATGAGAAAGTCATGAAGAGTTGTGGACGATTGGCTACAGATGCAAATGTTGGAGGGTAACAACAAGGATAAAAGCCAATAGCAGCTGAGAATCAGATGCTGCCTCTTGATGGCATGATGCTACTAACCTCTATGACCCTTAGAGAAGTGACAGAAAGGTCTGAGGAAACAGAAGAGATGGTGGCTGTTATTCATTGCACTAATTAGAGGTTATTACAGGGACTGCAGCCAGAATCTCTCTCTCCCTCTCTCTTTTGTTATTCCTGGTAGAAGCCAAAATTTCGTCTTGTTAGAGCTATTGAAATAATGCAGTAGGATATTTTTCTTCTTTCTTGTTTCGGGAAGAAAGAACTGGCAATATTTTGCAAATTCACTTTGAAAAAGAACAGCATGTCCCAAGTTCACTGAGGCGACCTTCCTGAAGGTTAATATAAGTAGGACAAGATGGAACACCTTATAAAAGTGCACATGCAAACATACCGCTTAGGATAGGGGTGTCACAGGAGACTCTTTGTCCTCTCTTTGGGGTGTGCATTGCTGAACCTCTCTTCTACAATTTGTGGATGCCTAATGGGTAGTGCCCATTGGGAGCCTAGTGATGTTTACACTAGTTCTGGCCTTATGCACAGTGATTCTCACATACTCTCGGTGGTAGGGCCAATATTATTAGGAGAGACTGAACAGCAGAATGAACACCAGAGTGGGGATCAGGAGATCTAAATTCTCATCCTGGTTCTATACCAGTTATGTGATCATGAGCAAATCCTTAACCTGTCTGAGCCACTTATTATATTATCAATGATCCCTTACTGTGATGTGCTTATTGAAAGAGCACATAAACCTGCTACTTTATTTCCTATTTTCTAGGTTTTCTTTTGATCATTCATCTCATTCCAGGTACTTCCCCATTTCTGCACTCACCTTTGCTACAAAATTCCTTGAGAGAGTAATGTCTATAATTGGTGTCTTCACTTCCTCACTTGACAGTTTCTCTTGGGCTAGCCTTGTTCTCCTCTGCTCCACTGAAACCATCTCGTGGAGGTCATCAATAACTTTGATGTTGCCAAATCCATTGGTTAATAGGCCTCATCTTGTCATCTCAGCACCTTTGACTCAGGTGTTGACTCCTCCTTTCTTGAAACATCTTTTTGTCTGGTTTGTGTAACACCACACTCTCCTGGTTTTCTTTCTACCTCACTGGTGGTTTCCTCTTCTGTTGCTGGTTCTTCCTCCTCTTCCAAACCTTTTAGTGGCACACTGCTATAAAGATACTACCTGAGACTGGGTAATTTATAAACAAAGAAGCTTTAATCACAGTTCCTCATGGCTAAGGAAGCCTCAGGAAACTTACAATCATGATGGAAGGTGAAGGAGAAGCAGACACCTTCTTCACAAGGTGGCAGAGAGAGAGAGAGCGAGCAGGGGAAACTGCCACTTTGAAACCATCAGATCTTGTGAGGACTCCCTCACTATCATGAGAACAGCATGTAGAAAGCCGCCCCCATGATCCAATCACCTTCCACAAGGTCCCTCCCTTGACACGTGGGGATTGCAAGTTGAGATTAGATTTGGGTGGAAACACAGAGCCAAACCATATCAAGTGTCCTCAGAGCCCGGTCCTCAGACTTCATTTCTTTTCTAACTAATCTCCCACCCCAGGTGCTCTCAATCAGTCCCATGATTTTAAACACTATCTATGCTCATTATTGTCAAATGATATCTGCCTCCAGGCCTCTTTCCTGAACTCTGGATTCATATATCCAACCTCTTACCAATTACTTCTACTCAAACAGTCAAATTTGCACCTCAAATCTAACATCTCCAAAATGAACGCTCGATTTTCCCTCAGTTGCAGATGGTATTGTCGTTCCCAATTATTCACTGCTTTCCCTGTGAGAGAATTTGATACTCCTGCCCATTGCCATCTGACTTGCAGGCCGTCCCCATGGAATGAGTATATCTCCCTGTCTTGTTGTTGGCTGGTTTGCCTATGTGACTTTCTTTGCCTAAGGAAATGTGACATATACCATGTCTGAGTATCTCCTTTAAAACACATTGCATAGTTCTACAATTGCTCTTTTTCTTTTGCCACTAGACAGGAGTTGTTCCTTCAGCTGGGTTCTGGAATAAAAAAGACATGGAGCGTAACTGATGTTGTTCTGCAGCCAACATATACATGAGCAAGAAAGAAAAGTTTGTTGTTGTAAGCCACTCAGACTTTGGGTCATTTGTTATCACAGCATAACCTAATGAAAGCTTACTGACACACCTCACTTCAGCATCTATTGCTGAGTAAAAATCCGCCCCCCAAAACTTAGTGGTTTAACACAGCAACAATTATTTATTTGCTTACAATATTTAAAGTTGGGTAAGGCTTAAGCCAGGCGCTGTGGCTCATGCCTGTCATCCCAGCACTTTGGGAGGCCGAGGCCAGTGGATCACTTGAGGTCAGGAGTTTGAGACCAGCCTGGCCAACATGGCGAAACCCCATCTCTACCAAAAATACAAAACTTAGCCAAGCATGATGGTACATGCCTGTAGTCCCAGCTACTTGGAAGGCTGAGGCAGGAGAATCACTTGAACCCGGGAGGTGGAGGCTGCAGTGAGCTGAGATCACGCCACTGCATTCCAGCCTGGGGGACAGAGCCAAACTCCGTCCGTCTCTCTCTCTCTCTCTCTCTCTCTCTCTCCGTCCATCTCTCTCTGTCTCTCTCTCTCTCTATCTATCTATCTATCTATATATATATAATAAAGTTGGGTAGGGCTTTATGAAGACATCTCATCTTTGTTCTATATGGCATCAGCTAAGGTGGCTAATGCAGCTGGGGGTACTACTTCCAAGATGGCTCATTCATACACTGGCCACTTGATGCTGGCTATTGGCTGTGAGCTCAGCTAGGACTCTCGGCTAGAGTTCTCAATCATTCTCCTTGCAGCCCTCTTCGCTGGGTGCTTCAGCTTCCTTGCAGCATGATAACTAGGTTCTCAAGTATGAGCATTCTAGAGATAAAGGCAGAAGCTTCACGGCTTCTTATAACCTACTCTTGGAAGGCATACAGCCCTACTTCTGCCTCATTTCATGGGCCGAGTAAGTCAAAAGGCCAGCCTAGATTCAAAGGAAGGGCAAATAGACTCTACCTCTTCAATTGAAGAGGGCATGGCAAAGTCATATTACAAAAAAGCATGTAGTATATTGTTGTGGCCATCTTTGGAAACACAATCTGCCATAGGCCACCTACACCCCATCTTGAATATCCTGCAGGCTTTTTCATCTAAGCCAGGTGTAGGCAAACTACCTGTTTTTGTAAATAAAGTTTTATTCGAACACGGCCATGCCCATCCATTTGCTTTTTATCTGTGGCTGTTTTTGTACTACAATAGCAGAGTTGAGTAGTTACAGTAGAGATTGTGTGGGCTGTAAAGTCAAAGATACTTACCATCTGGCCTTTTACAGAAAAGTCGGCTGACGCCTGATCTAAGTTAATGGGACTATAATCCACTCAACTATTCAGGTCACAAACTGGAGTCACCCCTGATTACTCTCTTTCTCTCATACTTCTAAATCCAATTTTTCGGGAATCCTCTCAGCTCTCTCTTAGAAAAATATTTGAATTCTGATGTCTTCTCACCATAATCCACTGGTCCAAGCTACCATCATCTCTCTGCTTTTCATTATCTTCTCTTGCCTGGACCATTATCCCTGCTTTTACTTTTGCTTTGTTTACAGTCTTTTCTCAACACAGTAGGTGGGCTGATCCTTTACAAACAGTTCGATTATGTCACTGCCTTGTCTAAAATCTACAAAGGTTTCATGTAGTATTTTTTTTTTTTTTGAGACGGAGTCTCGCTCTGTCGCCCAGGCTGGAGTGCAGTGGTGCGATCTTGGCTCACTGCAAGCTCTGCCTCCCGGGTTCACACCATTCTCCTGCCTCAGCCTCCTGAGTAGCTGGGACTACAGGTGTCTGCCACCGCGCCGGGCTAATTTTTTGTATTTTTAGTAGAAACGGGGTTTCACCATGTTAACCAGGGTGGTCTCAATCTCCTGACCCTGTGATCCGCCCACCTCGGCCTCCCAAAGTGCTGGGATTACAGGTGTGAGCCACCGCACCCGGCCTGGTTTCACGTAGTATTTTAAATGAAATTGAGAACTCATATCATGGCCTCCAAGTCCCTATGTAATCTCCCCTGCCCGCAGCCTGCCCATCCCCACTATGTGACTGACTTCATCTCCTTCCACTCTTCCCTTCCTTCTCCCCGCCTCAGCCACACTGGCCTCCCTGCTGCTTAACTCTCCAAATATGTTCTTGCCTCAGAATCTTGGCACTTGCTGCTCCATCTACCCAGAATATTCTTGTCCTGAGTATCCATGGGCTGACTCCTTCATTGCATTCAGGTATCTGCTTGAGTGGCATCTTGGAGAAGACTCCCTTGACTGCTCTATCTAAAATAGCACCCCTGTCCCCCTCTTTGCTTACCCTGCTTTTTCTTCAGAGCAATTATCTATTGGTTATTGTCTAATTCCCTTGTAAGAATGCAACTCTAGATACAGTATCCCAAGTACAGTGTTCAATAAATGTTTGTCTAGTGAATTTGTTGAGTGAATGGGCCTCAGTTTCCTCATGTGTAAAATGAAGGAGAGGGCCATCTGGCTGGAGCATCTGTTACTGAACTGGTTGCCAGGATTGTTTCCACTGATCTGACTGGCTAAGTGGGTGTTCCTTTTCTCCTTATATCCATCCCTCCCTAAGCCTACGGGTGCAATGGAGTCTTCCTTTTCTTTGGGCAAGGTTATCTGAGTCCTGATGCTTGCTTGCTGGAACCTCAAAACAAGTTCTTTTCTCACGAGGGACCACCACAATAATGCCTTTTCTGCCTCTTTTGTAAGTATTGTGAAAATCAAATGGAATAATAGATTTGGAACTGTAAACCTCTATGTAAGTGAAAAGAAAGATAATGTAAAATGGATAAGGACTGATTCTAGCATCACCCACAATCCCCTCTTCTCCCTAGGGCCTGCCCACTCCCCTGACCTAGGGACCGATTTAACAGTGGATGTGAGACACAGAAAAGAAGCTGACAACAAAATAGAGCAGCCTTGGGAACTTCAGGTCAATAAGATATGTATTAAATTCGTAAAGAAAAAATTAAAGAAGGAAACCCAAATGTTTCTAGCTTCAGGATGTGACTAATCTCTCTACCTTACCGGGCTCTAGAACTGAAACAAAAAAAACCTCCCTCCCAGAACAAAACAAAACAAAAACAAAACCACTTTCATCAGTTTAGGATTCTTACAAAAGAAGTTTACTTGTAATTTACACACTTAAATAGTAGTAACTCAAAAGCCCAGAATTCTCACACGATATTTAGATTATTGGAACACCACATTCACATCTCAGTTGTTAATCACTCAAAGGTAACTTTGACTTGCTCCTTAGCTGTCTTTTTCCAGATGTACCTCATGGTAATGATGAAGGCTTGTCTCTGGGTTTTGCAGGTGAGCCAAAGAGGCAACTGAGTAAAAATATTGGTGCATTTTCAGCCGAGCTTTCTGGTTTTCAGCTGGTGCAGGCAGCTAATAATCATTTAACTCAGGCATTTTTCACCTAGGCAACAGTAATGTATGTTTTGGATCATATTTTTTGGCTTTATTTCTGTCCTAATGAGAATAAAAGACTGAGTATTTTCAGTATCTAATGGAATGGAGCTGACTGAAAGCTATTTTGGGTTCACTTCTGACGTGAGCTGTATTCAGAAACAATGAAGAGACACTAATAATTGGGAATGAAAATGCCACTTGTTTGATAGACAGGGTAACTGTGAAAAGATCAAGAGTTGTGGCCTTCCACAAGGTTTTGGGTCCTCAGTTTTTTGAGGTCTTGGTTTTTGTTGCTTTCTCTCTAGATACAAATCCATATGAGGAAGGATTGTGGGAAACACATCACTGAAAAATTCCGGTCACAATATGATTCTATCTTCATCTTGAACTTCATAGCATGGTGATGAAGCGCATGAGCTGTGGAATCAGACAGATGCATGAAATTCAGCTCTGCCACTTTATGAATTTATATAAGGCACTGAATTTCCCTAAGCTTCAGTTTTCTAATCTGTAGAATGGGGGACATTTAGAATTATCTAACTTATAGGATAATTTGCAGATTAAATTAGATCATTGCATGTAAAACACTTAGTCCAGTGCCTTGTACATAGTAATCACTTGATAAATGTGAACTAATACCTATCGTAATATTATTCATTTTAAATTTAGAATAAGAGGTTTGTCCAGTATATTAGTTTCCTGGGGCTGCTGTAACGAAGTGCCACAAACTTGGTGGCTTAAAGCAACAGAAATGTATTCCCACAGTTCTGGAGGCTAGAAGTCCCAAATCAAGATGTTAGCAGAGCTCTGAGGGCTCTAGGGGAGGATCCTTTCTTGCCTCTTCCTAGTTTCTGGCAGTTGCTGGCAATTCTTAAGTGTTCCTTGGCTTATAAAGGCATCATTTGAATCTCTGCCTCCATCATTCCATGGGGTTCTCTCTGTGTGTGTCTGTGTCTAAATTCCCCTCTTCCTCTAAGGACCCCAGTCACTGGATTAGGGCCCAACCTGCTCCACTACGACCTCATCTTAACTTGATTACATCTGTAATTACTCTATTTCCAAATAAGGTCACATTCTGAGGCTCTGGGTGAACATGAATTTTAGGACACTGTTTAAACCAGTACACCCCGTATGGAAGGTGTTAAGTGCTGGAAAAGATTAAGAGTGGACTTGTCGAGCTCACTACGAGCTAAGCAGAACTGGGCAGGAAGGGAAGGGATGTGACAGAAATGAGTCACAGAGGGCACTGTCTCCCTCACCCCCAGAAGAATTGTGCATATTTAATGGGTGACTGCTTTATTCCACTGAGTGCAATACCACCTCTTATGACCAGACTCCCCTGCTCAACTCTGGAACTGAAAATTGGGAGCAGCTAGAGGTTGAGTCCTGTGGGCTCAGAGGCTAGGTCCCAATCCATTTTGGGGTGGAATAAAGTATATCAGTGCACTGAGGGATGGGGGACAGAAGCAATTGACATTCCTGTCACATTCTTCAGTGGTTTCCCATATAGGAAGACACATGCTTAACAGCACTTCTCAAACTACAGTGTGCAGAAGAGTCACCTGGGTATCTTGTTTAAATGTAGATTCTGATTCAGTAGGTCTGGGGTGGGGGTTGAGACTTTGCATTTTTAACAAGCCCCTGATGATGCTGTTGTTGCTGGACCATGGACCACACTTAATTCTAGGCTTGGCTTATGCTGCACACCACTCTAAAGAAGCTACTAAGTATGCACCTTTTAAAAATATCTTGGGCAAAATAACATTATCCCTCTTAAAATTATACTCACTTAGTATTATTTAATATCCAGTCAATAATCAAATTTCCCCAATTGTTTCCAAAATGAATGAATGAATCATTATTGAATCAAAATCCACTCTAGGACCACCCATTGCATGTCATTATTTCCCTTACATCTCTTTTATTCCAAAACAGTCTCTTATTCATGACTTTGACTTACTGGTGGACAAGCTGCCCACAAAAATATTTCACCTTCTGGATTTGCATGGTTGCTTCCTTGTGGTGTCACTTTGGTGTATTTAGCTGTATTTCTTGTAAACCGGAAGTTGGCTCTAAAAGCTTGATGAGTACACGTTAAATATTTGTGGCCAGAATTCATCACAGAGGATGGGTACATTATAATGCATCATGTCAGGTGACACGTGATATCTGCTTGTCTTACCATTAGTGATGCAAAGATTGAGCCCTGAATTAGGGTGATGACAGCTTGATCCTTCAGTCATACACTTAAGTTTTACTCTTTGAGACCAGAGAGTAATCTTCTTTATTTTTCTTTGGCACTATATGAATGCCTTGATCCTCATGAATCATTCCCCTAATAGTTTTTTTTTATTTTGAAAAACAAAACATTCCCACCAGCAATATATAAACATTCTCTTTTCTTCAACCTTGCCAGCATCTGTTATTTTTGACTTTTTAGTAATAGCCATTCTGACTAGTGTGAGACAGTATCTCATTGTGGTTTTGATTTGCATTTCTCTAATGATCAGTGATGATGAGCATTTTTTCATATGCCTGTTGGCTGCGTGTAACATCTTCTTTTGAACAGTGTCTGTTCATGTCCTTTGCTTTTTAGGACATATCAATGCAGAACCAGAAAACATACACACATATGTATATGTGTGTGTCTAATGACTTCATATCGATATATTCAATTTGCTTTAACATTACAATTTTAAATTAATTTCTTTGACTTTATAATTCTTTTACTCTGAAAATCTTGATTCTTAACATAATTACTTGTTTTATTTATATTAAAAATAGTTTTTGAATAAGAATACCACTATTACATATAACAGTAACATTACTGAATAACTTAAAATTTCTTTATGACTCTCTGGCCTGAGATGAAATTACCCTCTTTCACCAATTTCCTTAAAGCTAAGAACTGAGTCTTGATTAGATATTAGAAACTCTGTAAATGTTACTTGAATGAATAGTTTGAGTTCTGGTTCCTAAATATTTCATGTGACAGAACAAAAATGTGTTGGGAACATAGGATGAGTTATGAAGTGAATTCTTTAAAGTTCATTTGGGAAGTAATCAGTAGCTATCTGAAATTCATAAGCCTGTTTTCCTAAAATTTTCATTTCTTATTTCGAATATATTGAACCAATTTAAGAAGATGGCTTATACAGAGTCCTGAGTTTGGACTGAATTCTCTTTAATAGTACTAGATTGGAACTTTTTCCTTCCTCTTCTCTATTCTTATTGAAAGACATGAAGAAAAGAGCAAGGAATCAAGGGAGGTTGTGAAAGACCTAGGCAAGTTTCATCCCCTCAAAGTATGAGGCATGGTGAATGATGTGCAGCCTGCATATTCTTCGGTTGTCCATTTCTAACTTCATGAATGAGTTAATTCTTGTCTTACTTCTACTATAAAATGATGCCAATATAGTTAGGATTTGTGTCCCCACCCAAACCTCATCTTGACTTGTAATCCCCAGGTGTTCAGGGAAAGACCAAGTGGAGGTACTTGAATCATGGAGCTGGTTTCCCCCATGCTGTTCTTGTGATAGTGAGTGAGTTCTCATGACATCTGTTGGTTTTATAAGGGGCTCTTCACTCTTCACTTGGTACTTCTCCTTCCTGCTGCCTTGTGAAGTTGGTGCCTTGCTTCCCCTTCACCTTCTGCCATGATTTTAAGTTTCGAGAGGCCTCCCCAGCCATGCAGAACTGTGAGCCAATTAAACCTCTTTCCTTTATAAATTACCCAGTCTCAGGTATGTCTTTATTAGTAGTGTGAGAATGGACTAATACAGAAGCTCAAGCATTTCAACATTGGTCTGATATAGAAATATTAGCTCTCATATGATAGAGGAGAAGAAAGGAGATAGCTCTTTCTTCTGGCCCATAAGGATCTCCAGGAGTCCTAATATTGTCGAGGTGTCAGATATTTTTCTTCCTGTATATAAGAGGTCAATACTCTAAAATTTGTTTTTTATTTTACTCTGCTCTGACTCAGGAAGGATTTTCATAGTCATATCATTCATGCTTCATTTAGCAATAAGGTTCAAGAAAGGAATGCCAGTTTAAACATGTAATTTACCTCTCTTTTCCTGACAATAACCAATGAGTGCAATTTATTCATCACACATCAATACTCCTAACTCATAACAACAGGAAGGTTACTGAAGACAGTCATTTGAGAATTAAAGGAGTCTATACATGCTGACAGAACAAGCAGCTTGAAGCATTTTCTGTCAATTTACCATTGACCCAATGGTTCTTTTGAAAATCCCCTACTCAGCAAGAGAAAATTGGAAGATGTGAAAAAGAAATTGTGGAGGCAATATAGAAGCCCTTTCACACTGAAAGGTTTTGAGTGGATTTACTGGGCTTGAGGCATCTATACCCCTTTCCAAATTTATATTTTCTTTGCTTCCTTTCATAAGTATAACCTGAAGTGGGTGGAGTCACGAGCTGTGCTGCTAATTAGAGTAAGAATTCATTTTATGTATCCCAGCATAAATGTTAGAGCCTGACCAGGATAAAAATATACTGCACTCCAAAAATTTTCTTTTTTTAAAAAATAAAAACAATGTTTTTATTGTGTCTTGGGTTGTTGCTGTTTAAGTACATTGCCTGAAAAAGGCAGGAACTCTGCCTGTTTCCCATGCTTTCAGAGTCCTTAGCATGATGATAGGTCATGTAGTCAATATTCAGGCACTGAAAGGTTCAAAAGTGAGAAGTATATCTTGAAATTTAAGGTCAGAAAGAGCAAGTGCTCCCTTTTCTTGAGACAAATGTCCATCCAAGTTGAGATTTCTTATTTCTAAAACTCCTTCCCTAGGAAACATTCCTACAGTGAGATTTGGAGATAGCTTACTGCTGGGAATCCAGCATTTCATTATAGGCATTGTGACTATATTTCCTAAGCTAAAAATCAGCACTGGGATCTGGCAAGATGATAAAATATTTGAAATCAGGACCATTATAGGGACCATCCACATATGGCTGCCATACCTTGATGTCTTGAGAAAACCCTCCCTTAATTTGTGTTTGATGGCATCTGGGTATCATATGATATCTTACTGTTTGAATCCCTCAAAAGGAAATTTGGCTTTAAAAAATTTGAGTGTTAACCACCATCATATAGAACTCACAAACTCACAATAAATAGAATATGTACATCTGTAGTGTCCTTAAATTATTTAATTTTAGTTTTTTTGGGTATATTTGTTTTACATATTCAATTATCTTAAACTTCTTTTGGACATGCTGTAGCAGAAAGGTAGACTTTACTGTTTGCTGACATAATACATATACTTCTCAGTACCTACCCTATATCCCCAAATGCTCAGTGACCAGAATTTCTAGCCAGAACTGTGTTTTAGGGCATCAACCCCTTCTGATATAACTTCACTATAACATAAATGCAAACAGCTTATAGAGCTTATTCTAATAAGGTGGCTTTTAAGAGCAGGCTGAAACATAGCTCCTTTTAGAGGAAAGAGTCTCTGCGTAGATTAGGCCTTTGGGGCAGCTCGTCTTTGAATAAATGTCCTTGTCACCCTAGCAAATGTATTGTGCTTATAATAATGCATAGATGGAAGAAATGGGATAGAGCTGTTAGTCATCCATTTGGTGCTTTAGGCAGTTAGCAGCAACTGTTGGTACAAGACTTTTCTATTAGGTGTTTTGAAATGTCAGACACAGATGGAAGGCAAGGTGTGGCACACCTGCCTCCATTTATGCTTGACAATATTCATTGCTTTCTTTCTTTACAAGAAACTGAACAAGAAGTGAAGACAGCGGCATAATGTGCCTTTGTGCTGATGTTTTGAGCCTGGATGGGACAGGAGATGAGAGGTGGGAGTCAAATGTTTGAAAAATCCAAGTGTCTGTGATGCAAGAAAGAAGCTTCAGCATGTGCAGGAAGAATTCATATGAGCCTGATGAATGGCAATTTAATGTTTTTATTAAACCTTCACTGAAAGAGATGTACTTGGGTTTAGTTTACCTCCTATTCCTTGTGTCTTGGATTATGCAGAGAATTTGCTAGTCTACATTCAGGTTAATGGGAATTCAGCATTGCCCAATTGAGGACAGCTGGAGCTTTGGGAGAGTGAACTGATGAGGATAAGAAAGGGGGTACAGAAGATGTTTGGGGGTGTCATTAGATTTGTTTGGGTTCTGTTCTACAGTGAAAAAAGAAAGTGAAAACTAATAGATTTTTTTCTGGCTATTATATTGAAAATTTAAAAATTCATGTTTTTTAAACTTTCAGGAGACATGAAAATACTCATCATCTCACTGCCCCTTCCCAGAGATGGACTCCTCAACCTCAACAGACAGGCACATTTTCTTTGCTTTTCCCTGAGTTGGGTGACATTTCAATGGAGAACACTGATTGATCTTTGTGTGATCTTGAGAAAGCAACGTGGGTTTTATTTGCCCCATAAAAAGTACCAAATGTGGAAAATGTACTTAGCATATGCGGATGAGCATGTAGTCCTGCAGCAACTTGGTTTTTCAGTCTGAGCAACTGTATTTAGCTGCTTCCTGTGGTTGATCAGTAGCTTCATCTGTGAAGTCAAGAAATCCAACCAGACCCCCAGCCACATCACACATGTGTTGGAAAAACCTTGAGTGATTAAAAGTTATTTCAGGGAAAGGTGGTATGTAAATGAGGTAATGGAAAAATTTCGAGTATTATTAGAACATGTAGAGCAGAGTTTCTCCACCTCAGTGCTATTGACATTTGGGGCTGGATCATTCTTTTTCATGGGGGCTGTCTTCTGCCTTGGGGGATGTTTAGCAGCACTGGAGACCTAACTGCTCCTGGTTGACAACCACTGATTTAGAATTAGATATGGAACAAATGGATGGTTTCAAAGGCAAGTGCCTCACCTGAGAGACTTAAAGTTTAGAAGGCTTGTTTAATTGATGATTACCATTTGGCTTTGCCAAAACCAGCCTCTTGCTAAGCATAAGTAAATAGATGGATAATTTTCTTTCAAAGGCTGAGAGTTGACAAGAGGATGTAGGATGCATTAATCAGGGGCAAAACATCATTTGGTTAGGCAGATGACCTTGACACTACCTTTGAGGGAGAGCAGACTCATCTCTGCCTTGTGCTTAAGGTGAGAGGCAATACTCACCGTGGCATTGCTTATGGAAACACATTCGTTTTTAGTTTGCTTATCCCTCTCACCTTTTAAGTCAGCTCTCTCTTCTTCCCGGCCTCTATTTCCTTTCTTTTCTTTTCAGTAGAGATGAGGTCTTGCTATGTTGCCCAGGCTGTTCTTGAACTCCTGGAGTCAAGTGATCCTTCTGCCTTGGCCTCTCAAAGTGCTGGCATTACAGGCATGAACCACCGTGCCTGGCCTCTAGCATCTATTTCTTGAACAAAAGTTGGGGCTATGTAATTTGCTTTAAAAGTGTCATTTCACCTGCTTAACTTTTGGAATTGCTGCTGTTAATGGTTCTGAGTCTCAGAGTTGTTCCTTGGGCAAAATTTGATGTCAGAAAACTCCATGTTTTCCCAGACTTCATTTTCTTTGCACTTTACCCTCCCCTCACTCATGCCTTTCTTTCACCACGTGTTACCTCCTCTGCAAATCCACCTCCAGGTGCCCAAAATGCCTTAATTTTTCTTCCGTCTTGCTTTATATAAATCACATTTTTTTTCTGGGGTGTCGGTGGGGGGGGATCTGATTGCCCTTCTACATTATAGCTAAATACACATCTCTTTTATTTTTGAAACTGGCATGCATTGTCTTTTTAAACATTTTAAATTGACATATCATAAAATTGTTTCTCTTGGTACCCAGTTCTATGAGTTTTAACACAGGCATGTTTGTGTAATCACTACCACAATTAGGATACAGAACAGTTCCATCACTAAAAAAACTAAAAAGCCAAAATAAACCTTTGGGCTGCCCCTTTGCAGAACTCTCCTCTCCACTTCCAAATGCTGGCAACTGCCCATCTGTTCTCCATCTCTACAGTTTTGCCTTTTCCAGGAAGCCATGTAAATGGAAGCAAACAGAATGTAACCTTTGGGAGTGTCTTCTTTCACTCAGCACAATGCCTTTGAGATTCATCCACGTTGTTGTTTGCATTGATATTTCATTCCTTTTCTTGCTGGGTAGTATTCTGTGGTATTGACAGCCACAGTGTGTTTATTCACCCATTGGAGGACATCTGGGTAGTTTTCAGTTCTTGGCAATTATAAGTAGAGCTGCTATTAAGCACTCCTGTACCAGTCTCTGTGGGAATGTAAATTTTCATTTCTCTAGGGGTGGAATTTCTGGATCATATGGTAAGTATGTCTTTTTGTTTTCCAGAGGAATTTTTACTTCAATTGGGCCCAGAAATGAATTCAACACTTAAACTGTAATGATTCCTTAAGTGTGGAATTTCAGACTGGGTTTTTGAGATTTGGAGTAAGGTTGTGTGTATGAGTGTTGTTGTGTGTGTGTGGTTGTGCTGGGAGTGTTAAGAGTTGGGAGCCCTGAAATCACTGCAGCTCAAATGGGTGGCCTATTTTTGCCCACCTCATGCTTGTGGGTCAACATGCCAATTTTTCTCTCACTTCTTTAATCCTGACCTATGGTGTCAGTACAGGAAGAGCCATTTAAAATGGGTGAATGTTTGACAAACAAACGTCTGTTCCTGATGAGTGGATTTCCTTCCATCTCTAAATCCCATGACTATGACTGTGACTCTTATGCTTGAATCATTCTCTAGCTACATCAATTTCATGGTTGTCAGCAATGCCTAATCCATCTTCCATAGTCTGGAACCACTCAGGCGGCAGACTCCCTTGAGGTGGGAGTGCTCCTTGTACTCACTTGTGTTCCTGCCATCCTCGGGGTGCCTACAGTTAGTATGTGTCCAGAATTATTTCATTTTAATTTTGGCTACCAGAAAAGCCTTTAGTGAAAGAAATATGAGCAGTGCATTAAACAATTCTATTGATATCACTTCCCTGTCTTTTAAAAAATGGCTGTTTTCATTGTCTGAGGTTTTGTTCTAAAGTTCCAAAATTCAGATTTTGCATATACAACTATACTTCCTCATATCAAATACCATTGTCATGCATGGCTTACAAACATTTCAGTAAATGTTTGTTGAACTGAATGAGTAAAGAAAATAATTTGGCGAGAAACAATAAGATCTATATAATTTTCTTCCTTTATCATTATTTATACTATATCAATCACTCTCTTTTTTCTGAGCAAGACTTAGCTTTAGATGCCAAAAATATTTATTACCTATGATTTTTGATTAGGTATTTTATATTGGAAGCTTCAGAGCTCACTTGCCTGGGAAAATAGTGACCCCTCTGAGTATGGAAAAATGGATCCATTGATTATTTTATAAATTTGAATATTGATTTAATAAATTAAATATAAATATCCCAGAGTTACCAGGCAATGCACACGCCTCTGCCTTTAAACTCCATATAAAATGCCATCTTCTCAATGAAATTTTCCCAAACCATCCTATGCAAAATTATTCTGTTTTCCATACACCACAGCTCTATTAAAATTTATTTGATTTCAGGTCCTTCTCTTCCAGGGGTCTGTGAGCAACTTGAGGGTGGGACACATGTCTCATTCTCCTTCGTGATCTTAGTGTTTAGCACAGTTTCTGGCCCATTTGTGCTAAATAAATTATTTGTCATACCAAATACAATTCCTGAGGTATGATGATAACCTTGCCCAATATTTTAGTTTTTGCACGTATTTATATATGTATATATGTATATGTGATACACACACACATATTTTTAGAAACTGATAGATGGTGGAACTGAATGAAAACAGCCCTTTTCTGGAGTTGTATAGACTGGGTGGGTGAATTTTTTAAAAAACGGAGCTGATAAATCAGCAATAAGAACAGTGAGTCTTAGAGCAGTTTGTTATTATAGAGGGTAAGTAGGTCTTCTTTGATCACTTTGGAAAGAGAAGGGCCACAGTTTATCCTGCCAATTCAATTTCAAAAACTCATTGAGCATATCTTGAGTCAAAATTTCTTCATGAAATGGCTTTTTAAATTGCAAAAATAATTCTGTGGCCCTAACTCAAAACCACTCTGAAAAATGATGAAAAAGTTAGCTACCCGGAAATCTTTGCACAAAAACTGTGGACCTCGGGTTAGCAGTGCAAATTGTCTTTCTCTCAGCTTTATTTTACAGCTTCAGTTCACAAAATTCCTTATGAGATAATAGGTCTAAGGGCTACATCAAATTATTTCAGCTGAAATGAAGTGGGAGCAGTAACAATTTAGTCCAACACCTGCATATTATTGCTTTTTATTCTAAATGGAGATTTAGCTTTTAGCACTAGCCTTTCCCAGGTGGCTTGCTATGATGCAGATGTCTGTCTGATATGACCTTGGACTGGCATTGAGGCTGACTGGGTACTTATGCCAGGCAGCTGGCCAAATCATCTTGGAAAGAAGTGGTCTGGTCAGATTCCTTCTGAAGGAGAAGACCACACACAAAAAAAGCATATTTATTTTTTCTTACTGGAGGATGACTTTTGGTAGCATGCTGTAGCAGGCTGTTGGTGCCCTTATTGGGCTGTGGCAGTATACTGTGAAAGTTGGCTGCTTATCAGCCCATAGTTGTACTCTTCTCTGGAGAATTATACTCAGCCAGTTGGAGCTCCTTGTGGGATCAAGCTGGGCTAGACTTCAGCTACACTACATCTCTACTGCTTTTGTCCTATTCTGCTCCCTCCCTTCCTTACTCCAGAGTGCTCCTGAGAGCACTTCTTCAATAAACTGCTTGTAGAGGAATCTTCGTTTCAGTTTCTATTGCTACAGAAACTGACACAAGTAAGACACATGCCTCTGCCTAAATGACCTGGCACAACAAGGTACTAGAAGGATCGTCTTCACAGATACTGAAACTTCCAAGAATCATGACAGGAGCACGTTGGAGAGAAAAACAGTGATATTGGTGTTAAAAATTATTGAGGATGAGGCAGAGACCTGGGGAAAAAGGACTCTGCCTACCCCACATTTGCACTGAGAAGCTTAATGTGGTTGGAGAAAAACCCATACCTATGCCAATGAGTTGTGCTTTGAGTTAGTGATTATAAAAGTCTTGCGAGTTCTAGATGCAGCCTGGTCATCATAGTATATTTCCCAGTCAAACTGCTGTCCAGATTGTCTGTAATCATTAATTAACATTATTCTAGTTACTGAAAAGATCAAGTTCAATATCAGTGACTTAGTACAGTAAAAGTTTCCTTCTTCTCTTGCAAATTCTCAAATAATGTTTCCAATTTTCAGGCTGTTATACTCCATGTGATTCAGAGATTCGAGGTTCTTACCCTTTTGTGGTTTTGCCATCTTTAGCTCATAGTTTCCAAGGTTCCATCTTGGAGAAGGAGCATGGAGAATCACACATAGAAGGATTTTATGGGTGTACATCATTCTCACATTTTGTTGGCTAGATAATGACTACATACCAGATCTTCCACTGACTGCATGATGGTATATAAGTCTCCCATATATTTGATGCAACTCTGGAGAAGGGATGGTGCAGAAGTGACTGGAATTAATTTTCCACCATTAAATAAATAGAGATGGGAAAAGGAAATTAAGTTTAGCCACGGAAAATAAATTAAATGGCTTGGCAACCTGGGTTTGTGGCCTGAGATTCATATGTGCTGCATGTGTTTAAAATGATATCTGGAAGGGCGAATTTGTAGTCAAGGGGGATAAATGAAGTAGAGAGCATGGAATTGAAGAACATGATAAAGTTTAAAATTGTATCTACTGGATGGACCATGACACAGTAGTAGCTTTTGAACCCTTTCCTGGTGAATCTTGAACAAGGTTCTACTAACCCATGTAATGCTTTTGTTAGAAAAAGGACACACTCCATGCCAGGGTGCATGGCTTTGGGGAGTGGAGTGTGGCTGTATTCCAGCTTCCACCCTCCCTTTCACCCGATGTTGTTGTGGAGGATACACCTGCACATCAATATGCGGTAATGCTGATCTCAAAGCAACTGCTTCTGCTCCTCTCTTGTTGTGGATTGACTTAACGACCCAAACTTTTTAAAAACTCCTTTCTATATCCATACCCCTTGCCATATGACTTTGTAGTTCCTCCCACTAAAGAGGTGGACTGTATTTCTCTGATGCTTGACTCTGGCCATGTGATGAGCTTTGTTAACAAGGGTGACATGAACAAAAGTAGAAGCATGTGCATGATTTGGCTTGCCCCCTTATACTTCTGCCAATGCCTTGAGATGCACACGCCCAGGCTAGCCTCTTGAGTCCAGAAAGAGCATGAGAGCTATGCAGAGCAGAGCCAAGTCACTCAAGCCAAGCCCAGACCAGATCCATTGATCTCCAGTCGACCCCACATCTACATGAATAAACCCAGCAGAGATCAGCAGTCACTCAGCCAAAGCCCAGTCTAGATCCCCTCAACCTCTGTTGACTTGTACACTCATGTGCCAAATAAATGCCTATTGTTGTTTGCCACTGAGATTTCGTGGTTGCTTGTTATACAGCATTTTTGCAGCCACAGTTAATAGGTACACCTCTTTCTCCTCAAAGCCCTAGGAGTATGGAACATACAGATTGTTGCTTCTACCATGACTGCTTTATGCCATTAGGAATTTGCATTCCTTTTCAGAATCAATCTCTTTTCACCTTTCCATCAGCATTGTTTAAAAGCACACGTTAGAAAAGATTTTGGGATGCTCCATTGAAATGGCTCTGATGAGAAATCATCAAAGCTAGCACTAGGTCCTAGGCCTGGAGGGAGATTATGGTTAGACAATTTAGATAAAATAAGTGTGGGTGGTGGAAAGTAGGTGGAGGGGAAATAGGTTAACCTCTTTCTTCTTGGTAATGAAGATTTCTCAGTGCAGTAGCATGTCAATTCATAGCTCTCCTTCTCCTCTTTATAATTCCATTCATATAGGATTTGGATAAACAGTATAAATTTCACAGGCCATAATTTTAAAAATATAGATAGGAGATGTCCTTTTTCACCTTGGTAGCGTATGGGAAATGAATATATCTAAAATCCCTATACATAATGAAGAAAAGTAAAGGAACCCAATAATTTTTGATGTGTGCTGCATTAAGATGTTTTTATTTTCTATTTTCTCTGCTTGCCTACACTTGCAAATAAAAGTTAATAACATTTTTTGTCACTGTTCACATTAAAATACATCTCTATCTTTCTATCTAGTGACACTGAATAATTTTATTAGCTAAATAAACATTTTAGTCATCAGGGAAACTGTTCCAGCAGCAGATAAGCTAGATTAAATTGTTAGGTCAAAAGAGTGCACACTGTAATAGCTGTCATCACTACAGAAAATTTCAAATAATGACTATTTTTTCTTTTTTTAATCTTGAATGCTTTGGGGACCAAGCAGCAAGTCCACCCACAGCTATTGTCAAGCATATTTCTTTCTTCATCAGTAATAAGGAGTGATCCTTCCCATGCCTAAATTTAGTCATCTTAGAAAAAGATCTAGAGATTCGTGTTGCAATGTTGAATTCCTGGTGTTTTATTTTCTCCTCTTTGAAGTCTCATATTCCTAATCTGGTCAGAACCTCTAATTCTAACATTAAATGGGAATGTTTAGACCTTCTAAATGTTTACTACATTGAATTTTTTTCAATGTTTACTACATTGAATTTCCTTTCCTATAAGATTTGCTTGTTGAGATATGTCTTAAAAATTCCCAGTTTTCCCAGCTTTCCTGCTTATCAGCCAGCATAGCTCATGAGAAGTGATGGTTATGTCCATAAAGAACAGTGTGCTCTTCTTGGCTAGCAGGTATCTTAGATTAAATCTCCCTGAGTCTAAAGTCTGACCACACTCAGATGGAATCATATTTAAGCTGAATGAGTGTAAATATTTTTATTTCCTTACGCTAAGTGATATAATGCATAGCAACGCCATTGCAAGTTGGGTTTCCTGGGAAGCATACAATGAGATGGAATTTAGTGGGTGAGATATTTATTAAGTAGTGCCCTTGGGATCATCACATTGCCACTCCATTTCCCTCTCTGTCTGATTTTGCTTCCTTCCCCTCCTTAGCATTCATATTTCATTAGCTTATATAATATTTAAAATTAAATAACATGCCTACCATTATAAATGGAATAAACAGATTTGAGAACAAAAACCCAATAGTTGGTTTTTTTAAAAGCATACACCTTAAAAGATGGGAACTGAGCTGTGGGGGTGGATTAGCAAGGACCCTGCCAGCTGTAGGCATTCTGAATGCCATGAACTGGGGTCACTTTGCTTTACAGAGTGAATGAAAGGGTCAGTCAAGTGGAAGACTTGTCAGGGGACTTCTACCTTACTGTCACTTCAGAGGCAGGCTGTGTCATGGTCTTCAGCCATACTTATGCTTGGGTACAATACAAGGCACTCATAACACAATCTTACCAGTTTCAAAAATTAATTTTTGTAACTGTTGAATTGAAATTCTTGAGTCAAGGAGGATTGTAGCATCTGACGGGGCCATAGACTGGAAATAAAAGGGAAGGAGCAAGACCTTTCATGGAAAAAAGCAGAATGGGGTAGCTTGGTGAATTGGCTATGCCCAAACGTTCAGGTGGAGTTGAGTAGCAAGGCGGAGACATGTAGGATCTTAGAGCTGGAAGAATCTTGATGAGGATGTAGGCGAGTGTTGTGTTTATAGGTGTGTGAGTGGAGAGGTGGGTTGTAGGGGGAGAGAATTTAATTTTTTAATTTCATTCACGTCTAAATTGTTTGAGACTTGTAGGAATGATCTGCATTAATTTTCTAATTAAAGCTAATTAAACAGTCCCCATGTTTAATTAAACTGAGTAAAAAATATGCATTGACTGTGAGCTCACCAAACCAAGAGTGTGGGATAGAATCATTGCATTGACAATGTCAGCTTAGGCATGACAGTGTCAGCTTAGGCAATTGACAAGAAAGCACAAATGGTGGCCATAACGGCATTCTGAATACATGTGATTTAATTTGTTAAGTGCATTCTCTCAAACATGCATTTAAATTAAATGATTATGAATACAATCATTTTAGTACTGAACTATTATCTTCGAGATTGGTTTTCACAAGAAGCAAAAGCCTGAGAAAACATAAAATTCCCTTAAAGGGATTTCCTGATATCAAGGAAATCTTCATATTTCATAGACAAGCAAATACTTTTCCAATTAAGAATTAGAAATAACACAGAGGTCAAATGCTCTCTCTCCTGAAACTGCAGCAATGATGCTTGTCAGCGAGATGGGGAGGGAAAAGCTGTATTGTATTTGTATTCTGAGAGAGCTGCTTTCAACAGCTCTTTCCCTTAGAGCTTTCCTACTCACTTAGTGCCCTTTGAGTCACCTTTTTTTCCAGGTGGCAAAGCTGCGAGTATTAGCATAGCCTTTCCTCTCTACTTAGTAAAGGTGTGTTTTTGATGAGTTTATTTATCCTCCTCTTCAGCAGAGAGAAGCAGTAAAGTCACCGGAGGCAAAATGTAAAGGGTGCGGAGAGCAGCAGAGGGCCTGGGATAGGGGAAATAGGGCGTGGGGTAGGTAGACATGGAGGGGAAAAATAATACTCTGTGCTTAACTACTCACCCCAGGGACAGGCATTGCATTTACTTTGCCTCATTTAATCTGCCCAAGAATCTTGTGATCTAAGTATTATCTCCATTTTACAAATGAGGAAAATGAGCCTCAGAGTGTTTAAGCAACTTGTCTAGGTGCACAGGAAGCATCATCATAATCTGCTGCAGATCAAAAATTCTAAGCCAGATGGATCTGGTCTCCAGCACATCCTCTTACTACAGTGAGATGCTCTGGGGGAGAAATGAAGCGGGGCAGCCAGATAACACGTATATATGTGGGGCTGGGCATTTGACTAGGCCTCACCTAAAGTAATTTAAAGTCTAATGTTTTAAAAACACCATGAAGATTAAACTGAACACATCTGCAGAGCTGAATTCGCACCAAGAATTAGCATGCAACTTCTGCAAATAAGGCTTAAAAGAAAAATTATACAGTAAATGCTAAGTTCACTACTTCTTATCTTAAGCTATTTAAGGAACAGGATGGGGAAAGGGGTAAATAAATACTGGGAAAATGAGAGAAGGCAGCTTTCACATTATAGAAATTATTTAGGGCAGAATATCTTGTCATATTTTGAACACACATTCAGTGATATTATACAGGCTAATGGAAAAGGGGTGACAATTTCCAAGTCACTGTCAATGGCTCTCTTATTTCTGAGACCATTTGATATAACAAAGTTTAAGTAAAAAATGGTTTTGACCTATGGAACTTGTTGTAGTGAATGTGACTTATACCAACCAGGGTTACTCAAAGTGTGGTCCCTGGACCAGCCCAAGTCCACAAACGGTTACTGGTCTGTGATAAGTACAGGGATTGAGAATAAGCACGTGGAAACTTCTATAGCAATTTGACATTACTGCATTTTGTAATTGGGTTTGCATTTTGTAAGCTTTTTAATATTTTTCTTATAATTTATTTTCATTGTATTTTATAAAATTATCGATCTGTGAAAATAATAGTTTGAGAAGCACTGGCCTATGTGACATTTGAATGAAGAGGATATTAATTAATTTTTAATCCAGTGCATACGAAGCCACATGAAGATGCATGGCTTCTGTCTCTGATTTTTAAATTCTTTATTCTTTTATTTTTATTCTTTAAAGAAAAAATGAGTACTGTTAGGAACATCAACTCTTGGCCGGGCACTGTGGCTCATGCCTGTAATCCCAGCACTTTTGGAGGCCGAGGTGGGAGGATCACCTGGTTCGAGACCAGCCTGGCCCACATGGCGAAACCTGGTCTCTACTAAAAATACAAAAATTAGCCAGGCATGGTGGCACGTGTCTGTAATCCCAGCTACTTGGGAGACTGAGGCATGAGAATCACTTAAACCCAGGAGGCAGAGGTTGTGGTGAGCTGAGATCAGGCCACTGCACTCCAGCCTGGGTGACAGAGTGAGATTCTGTCTCAAAAAAAACCAAAAAATAAAAAGAAGTCTTTTTTCTATTGACTGATTCAGTCTCCAGTGTGATAATACAAAGTACAGCCATGATGGCACACCACCAGCAAATATGGCAGGTAAATTGGTTCAGTGTATTTCAGAATAGAGAAATGACAGCTATATGCATACCCTAACAACCATAATCGTGGTAGCCTGAATTTAAAAAATATGATAACAATGGAATAGTCTAACTCTTAAACAGTTTTTTGTTAAGTGCCTTGAATGGTTCTTGTGTTTCCCTTATGTTTTTAAAAGGAATTTTATTTTTATTTTGAGTCTGCCTGGAATAAATACTTTATATTTACTTCTCTAATTTCATATATATCAATGCATGATTTCAATATCCATAAATAAAGCCCTTTGCTGTTCAATTGTAACACAGAATTAGGTGATTTCAAATGATTATTTGAATTCATAGCTAAGTGGTCCCCAATTATGTTAAAAAGTGTATACCTTAAATATACACAATAAAATTTATTTTAAAGAAATCTCAGAAGTTGTTCTAAATTATGCCTGCACCATTGACGGGCCTAGCACCAACCATTTCTCGTCTCATAAAATTCTAGAACTATTGGCTAATGTGCTGTTCTGGCAGGAAGAGGGGTGATCCAGGGCTGGGGCAGAGGAAGATGGCTCACCCAGTGGTCACTGGGTCACAGCAACCTCTTTGGTGGCTCTTCTCCAGCTAGAAAGATGCCCAGAATGGTCATGGAGCAACCACTAGTCCTACCTCTGGGCCACTTCTAAGGGACACCATGTATTACTACTTTTATTTTATTTTTTCCCTGAAGCCTTTGTTTCATGTATAAAGCTAGCACATTCTTGAGAGGTCTCTACCAAACTGGTTAAGGGCTTAGGTGGGGTCTCCTCAGCTTCCCACCTTCTTGTTGTTCTTGAAAGTAAGTGGTCTGGTTCTTCACACTTTAAGGGTCTTACTTGTCCCAGGACTCATTGCAAAGCGTTACCCAGAAGCTGTAATGTCCCCCTGTTCATCCCCTAATTACCCCTTCTGGTCTTCTGGTCTGGGGGGACCTCTTCCTCTGTAAACCTCCTATTAGCGCCTTTGATTTGTATATTTTCTAACCAAAAATAATTTTGATGTTTGATTGATACTGAATCTGTCTGGATCAATGATAATAACATTATATATATAATATATATAATATATCTATATATACTGAAAGCAGTCTACTGTTTATTTTTTGTTTCTTATAAACAATAACAGTATATTTTAATTTTATTTTGCATGGTATCTGTTTTCATAGTAATTATGTCTAACCAGCTTTCTAGTCTCTATTAACTTTTTAATGCAATCATGATATATTTATAAGATAGGAACAGATGAACAAACACTGTGGTACTTGCAGTATTTTTTAAGTGGCTGTAACTGTTAAGAATCAATGGGTATATTTAAAAAAATTCTCTGGAAGGGAATTATATGATACCTGATTATACATTGAACTCTGTTGACCCATCAGAGTAAAGGACACAATTGTACCAAAGATATGTGTTAATCATGGGTTCTATCTTTAGAAGTCAGGGCACCCTGGTAAAACAGTTTCTGACCTTCAGATTGTCATGTTTTATTTACAAGATCAGAGTGTGGCATACTTAGCTGTTATTGCTTCAGGGACTTTGGGGCCTGAACACATGAAGACATAACACAAAGGACCTTTTCTTTTAACCAGTGATCTTTGTATCCTTAGTAAGCATGCCCAGTGCTCAAAGCCATTGCAATTTCTCTGGAATCTGTAAAACAAATCAATTCCATAATTTAATTCAGTGAAGAAGAAAAATGTGTGTTTAACATGTAGTGATTCAAGTCAGATTAGAACGTTAATCTTTGGGGAAGAGCTCAGAGTTATATCTTTTCCCCTCACATTGAAAGGCCCAGGATTTTAAAATCTAAATTCCTGAGTTTCCTTGAACAATTGTTATATATAGTATAAATAATGGATTTCAAGGATTTATACAGCTAGTTAGATGACATATTCTATGAGGTAAACCGATGTGCATTATTCAGGTATTTCAGAGGTCTTAAAGTAAATCCAACAGATGATATGAAAATACAGCTTTTTTTCAGAACAGAAAATATCAAAGTTGTTACTCAAGTATTTGTCAGCAGAAGTAATTGATAACAGGATTATTTTTTATCTTGGCCTTTTCAAGGAGCTGCATTTTGTGATCACTCTTAAAAGCTTCTGCCATGAGCATTGTTACTTTAAATGGTCTGCTTGCTATGTTTAGCTACAAGATGGCTGACAAAGAACAGTGCACATGCTTGATAAACTCTTCATAAATTTATTATGAAGCAACATCCATTTGTCAGCTCTTGAGTCATTACTTTTGACATCAAGCAAAGATACAAATGGAAGGCGAACATAAAGCCCCTTCAATTATTTTAAATGACTAATATATATCATAAGGAGGGGTTGTTAATGAGGGTAAATGAAATAACATTTGCTGGCAATATGATGATTCCTTTTATAAAACCAAGAAGGGGTGGTTAAAATGTGAAGTTGATTAGAGTCTGCTAAACTACAGGTGATGAAATTATGTCAAAATAAATCTAGATTAAAAACCATTTTCACTGTGATTTTTTTCTAAATATCATTATGTATCTTTTATATACAATTTAATCAAATTCCTCATTTGCAGCTTCTGCTAAAATTACACTCAAATAATATCCACTGACTAGGCTTGTGCTAGGCATTGCTAAGGATATGATCTAATGCTCAGCAAACAGAATTTGGAATATATGGTTGTGATCATATGTTTAGTGATCTAGGGAAGGACCTGAATTCCTATTAAAATTCAACTCCCATTAAGATCAGATTTTGTGGTTTCAATAAATCACTTTACAGATTATTGAGCTAATGTGGCCACATCATATATTATCCACGTCCATTGGTCTCTGCCCTCCAGGATCTTAAATGTAATTGGGAAGACAAGATATACAGATATGAAAACTTAAATAATCGTTCGAGACAGTGATATAAGAGCTATCACAAGGCAATACATGATTGAGTACCAAATGATGCCTTCTGTCTCTGAACCAGTGACATTTATTACCGCACACAGAAGAGAATGAGCCAAGAGGTGCTGCAGGAGTTCAGAGGCAAGAGAGAGGAATGTGGCCTGATATGCACAGAAGACTTCATGAAGGAGGTAGGGCTGGAGATGGTCCTTTAGGGTGGGTGAACTTTGCAAAAGGAGAGAAAGGCTAAGTGTGTCCAGTAGCTCTGTGGTTTGACCCCAGGATCTAATTTACATTTCTTCTTGATTTTGTTCTTATCCTGTTACTATTCTGTCTATTCCTGTAGAACAGTCTGCTGACTGCTTAGCAAAATCCACATTCTCCTCTTCTTTCTGGGCTAGACTACATTCCCCAGCCTCCTTTGAAATCATGTGAGACTGTGGCTGATTTCTATCCAATGAAATGGGTGGAAATCTGTGAATTATCTATTGCTGCATAACTGATTACCCTGAAACTTGGTGGTTTAAAGCAACAAACATCTATTATCTCATAGTTTGAGGGCCAGGCATTCAGGAGCATATTAATTAGGTCAGTCTGGCTCAGAGTCTCTTATAAAGCTGCAGTTGAGGTGTGGGCTGGAACTACAGTCATCTGCAGACTTGCTAAAGGCTGAAGGCCCCACTCCTAAGATGGCCCACTCACATGGTTGTTGGTGGGTGGGAGGCCTTATGGGTCTCTCCATGGGATTGCTTGAATGTCCTCATGATATGGCAACTGGCTTCCCTTAGAGCAAGTGATTCAAGAGACTAAGACTCAGCCTTGGAAGTCACACACTGTCATTTCTGCAATATCTTATCTGTTATACAGGTCAGCCCCATTTGCTGTGGGAGGGGGACTATATGTGATCATGAATACCAGGAGGCAGGATTCACTGGGGCCATCTTGAAAGCTGGCTACCATAGGATGTGCCATCTGCTATTTCATGCTTGGGCCATAAAAACCTCTCATGTGCTCCTTCAATCTCCTTTCCTGTTCTAGCTGGCTGAAATGCAATGATTCCCAGGGAAACTTGGAACCCATGTGTTGAAGGTGGTAGCACTTCCATCAGCCTGGGTCCTGAATGCCTGCAGGAGAATATCCTTTTGATCCATGTACCTGCCGAGGACTGGTAAGTGAGCAAGAGATAAGCTTCTACTGTTTTTGAGTCATTGTACAGTTTCAGGTCTATTTGGTTCAGTAGTTAGTCCACCCCGACCAGTATAACTTTGATGCAGGGAATCTTTACAATGTCCTCCACTGAAGCAAAGTCAAGTGCTCTAGAATGTTGAGGTAATGAGTGACTATCTGTATTGCCTCCATTTCTTCTTTTTCTTATGGTTTTCTTTTTCAACAAGTATCTATTGAGTGCTGATATAGTTTGGGTATTTGTCCGCACCCAAAGCTCAATTCAACATGATTTGAGATGAAAAGTAATGGCAAAACCAGCAATTACCTTTGCACCGACCTAATAATCCCCAGTGTTGGAGGTGGGGCTTGGTGGGAGGTGTTTGGATCATGGAGGTGGGTCCCTCATGAATGGTTTGCGCTATCCCCTTAGTGATGAGTGAGCTCTCACTCTGAGTTCACATAAGAATCCGGTATTTTAAAGCTTGTGGCACCCCACCTCCCCACTCTCTATCTTGTTCCTGCTTTTGCTTTATGATGTGCCTGTTCCTGCTTCACCTTCTGCCATGAGTAAAACTCTCTGAGGCCTCCCCAGAAGCTGAGCAGGTGCTGGTGTCATGGTGCTTGTACAGCCTGCAGAACCGTGAGCCAATTAAACCTCTTTTCTTCATAAACTACCCGGTCTCAGGTATTTCTTTATAGCAATGGCCTAACACACATGCCTACCATATATCAGGCCTTGTTCTAGTTGCAAGGGGCACAGCTGTAACAAGACAAAGTCCCTGCTTTATGGAGCTCACATGTGTAGTAGATGCCTCTTGATGAATGTACCCCAAATTTTAACTACCAAGTTACCCCTGAATATGAACACCAGCAAACTGGTTATTCAGCAACAAACTTATTACTTACTTACTTGTTACTGAATAACCAGTTTGCTGATGTTATTTTTCAGGGGTTCCAAAACCACAAAGGCATTAGCTGAATCTTCTGACTCCATGAGAGTCTAATAGATTTGTGTTTCCCTACTTGTGCTCTAAGCCAGCACCCACACTTCTAAAACTCTAATGTGCACACAAATCAACTGGAGATCTTGTTAAAATGGAAAATCTGATCAGCAGGACTGGGGTGTTGCTTGAGACTCTGCATTTCTAACAAGCTCCCAGGTGGGACTGATGCTGCTGGTCCATCACTTTGTGCAGCAAGGCTCTAAGGAACATTAGTTACTGGATGGTAAAGAAATCCTATGTGAAAGGGATTTCGAGTTCAAATAAATGAGAACATATAGCCAAAGGGAGAGGCCAGGTCCAGTTGCCCTGGTTCCTGATCACTCTCTAATTTCTGGTGGCAGTCCTACCAGAAGCCTAACATTACTTTTTTTTTTTTTTTTTTTTTTTTTTTTTTTTTGAGATGGAGTCTCACTCTTGTTGCCGAGGCTGCAGTGCAATGGCATGGTCTCGGCTCACTGCAAACTCTGCCTCCTGGGTTCAAGTGATTCTCCTGCCTCAGCCTCCCGAGTAGCTGGGATTATAGGCATGCACCACCACGCCCTGCTAATTTTGTATTTTTAGTAGAGATGGGGTTTCTCCATGTTGGTCAGGCTGGTCTTGAACTCCCAACCTTGGGTGATCCGCCTGCCTCGGCCTCCCAAAGTGCAGGGATTACAGGTGTGAGCCACTGCGCCTGGCCAACATTACTTTCTACCATGGGTTCTGTGAGATAACCCTCTTCCCTTATAATAAATTTACTTTTTAAAATTTAACGAATTTAAGAGGGCTTCTGTAATTTGTACCCCTCCCCACCCGTAAGAAAAAAGAACCTAGAGTAAAAAGAACCAGGCACAGGGAATGAAGGAGAAACATAGCTATGCTGCAGAGCTGAGGACAAGGTCAAGAACAATCAAGCTGTGAAGGTAACATGAGGCAGATGCCCCAGGAGCCCGGAATGCCTTACACACTTCTGCCCCTACTAAGCCTTAGTTTCTTCATTGATAACAAAGGATTTTCTGTGAGAATCAAATGGAATAATGTTCTTGGATTACATAGCAGTGGTACTTTATGAATGTGGCCATTATATTTTTCTTCTGTAAAATATTACCTGCATGCTAGGGGTTTGTGAGGATAAAGTGGGATAATGACCATAAAGCAATTAGCAATTGGTTGGACACTCAACAAATGTTATCTACTGGAAACCAAGGTGGAATTAAAGGAGAAGAATTAAATGTTTTTTTTTCCCCAGATAGAAGAGAGCTGTCATGTTTGAAAACAGAAGTGAAGATATCCCTGGAGAGTTAGTGAAGGTCATTGATGGAAGCTCCAGGAGAGAGTGGGGATAATGGAAGGAATAAAGTTATCCACATCTCATCTTAAAGCTAGCATCTTTAATACAGTATAACCAAGATGATTCCTGAAGGAATACTCCACCTGAACTCAAGAGTAGTTGCTTACCAAGAAGAAGCAGTTCAATTGTTCCTAAAACATATAATTTGTCTATCTGTATAGTTCGACTTTTAGATAAGGATTATAATTTTCAAATATTAACTATTTTCCATTTATGTATCTAGAAGGAACAGCTGAACTAATATAAAAGCATATGTTTTGTGGACATTGTCACATAATAGTTTGCCTATCCACTACAGCTCAAATTTCCAGGAAAAGATTGTTTCAGTTTTCAACCATTAACTTTATCTTCCATGCCTATGTATCTTAGCATCTCCAAATCTTAAGCAAAGAGAGAAAATTAAAAAGGATGTAAGTTGTTCTCAAGGACATAATCCTTAGGGTGATGGAAATGTTCTGTGTCTTGATTGTAGTGGGGGTTATACAACTATATGTGTATGTCAAAATTCATAGAGCTGTACAACTAAAAAGGGTGAAATTTACTGCCTGCAAAGGATGCCTCAATAAACCTGACGTAAATCAAAGCCAAAAAAACCCAAAATTCTTGAACACCTCCTCTGACATTGTGGTAGGGTACGTAAGCACATAAAAAAACAGATTTCAGTCTTAAAGACTGAAATATGAAAGTAAAGTTCCAGTGTTATCATCTAAATTACCATAGAAAAATTTTCCTAGGACACTTCGTTTCTGTTGTGCCTTATCAGTGACAGCTCTTTGAACCCTTCGACCTGACCAGTTAGGAAAAGTACAAAGGAAGGGCCCTATCTTTTAGCCATCTTGTTGACTGGATGCAGAAGGAATACTTCCTTTAACCACTGGGGCAACAGTTAAGTTTGCTCAGATACAATCTCATGCAGCATGATGTTTTTAAGATAGTCTCTGTGATTTTCCAGACTCTAGGTTGTGCTCGACAGAAACTCAGCTCCTGCCCAGACCCTTGCCTAGCTTGCATCCTTGCTTCATTCAGGTCTCTGCTCAAATGTCCCTTGGCAGAAAGGCCTCCTTATCAGCCCTATTGCAAATGACCATATTTGTGAATTGGCTGCCTCTCTCACTAGACTGGAAGTTCCATGAAGGCTTCATCTTTTCTCTTAAGTTCCATAGCCCCAGCACTAGAGCAGTGTTTGGCATACAGTAGGTGTTCGCGAACCATTTAAAGTGAAGAGGAGAATCGATTGGCCTCTGAATCTAAACCACAGTAAAAGGGAGGAATAATTAGAACTAGGGACTTGAATGCACGCAGAGTTCACTTTGGTCATTCACCTGCCATTCTCTCTGGTGTCTCCTTCCTACTCTCAATGATCCACATAGTGGCTGCCTTGGAACCTCCAGGCTTATCATATCACAACTCCACAATCAGAGGGGAAACAGTCTTTCTCGCTCAGCTCCAGGTTGCATAACCCCGGGAAATGTTCTGATTGGCCTGTCTCCCAGTGACATACAGAGGAGGCCAGGACTGAGCCACAGTGTATCTGCTCTTTTCCTCATTTCTCACTCTCCAATCCTGCCTGCTCCATCTATTTTGGTGATGTTGCCCCAGTTTTAATAATGATGCTTTACAGCCCATTGCAGATGCTGTTAGAACTCTGCCATTATCCCCCTGGATCCCTTTAGTATTTTTGCTCACACCTGCTTCCTGCATGACATGCATTCGCTCTCAACAGCAACACCTGCCGATCCTTGCTGGCGGGCTGCCCTAGGCTACTAGCACCTGCTTTGCCTGTGCAATAAGAGAGTTCGAAGTGCCTCTAGGGGTAGCCCTTGACTGATGACTGACAGCCTAGGAGTATAAACGCTGCAGTCCCTTTACTCATGATGGAAACAACTCTGAGATGTGACCTCCACATGTCCCCAGAACTCCCTCAGCATGGAGCCTAAGTTACCCTCCATGGGGATTTGCTGGATGCTGCACCCTTGCTTGGCCTCCTTCCCATCCCAGTCCCACTTCCCATTCTCTACTTGGGAATATCTACTAAATAAATAACTTTCACATGAATTTGCAGTCTTCATCCGGAGAACCCCACCTACAACAAGCTCCATCTTTGCCCCTAGCTCTCCACCTATTTGTCATAAGATTTTTTTTGAGGGCAGGTACCTTGGCATAGTTTCCTGCCTCCCCTCCACACATATGCACTACAGAAATGTTTACTTATTTGCTTTTAATATGTTCCTATCCTTAGAGTTCCTTCCTATTTTCCAGGTTTCCCTGTTTCAACTATCATTGCTTCTCAGATATGCTAATTTTCTTGCTTTGCTTATTACTGATGGCTTGTCTATCTGCCCTCTCTAATTCAACATGTTAAACATTCCTAAGTCATAAGTCAAATACCATATGTTCTCACCTATAGGTGGGAGCTAAGCTCTGGGTATGCATAGACATACAGAGTAGTATAATGGACATTGGAGACTCAGAAGGGAAGGGTGGGAGGGGGACGAGGGATAAAAACTATATATTGGGTACAATGTACACTATTCTGGTGACAGGTACAATCAAATCTCAGACTTCACCGCTATACAATGCATCTATGTAACCAAAACCCCCTTGCACCTCAAAAGCTATTGAAATTAAAACAAAAAAACTATTACTAACATGGAGACAAACTAATTTCTTTGAAAAATGTAAACCATTTAAAAGGCAAATATTACCAAATCTATTCACCATCTTCCTTATCTGGCCTTGAAGGACTATTTATGCACTATTTAACCCAGTTGACCTGACCAGTGGACCTGGTTTTCCACAGAAGTGGCTAGATTCTTTGAAGTTAATGTTGGACTTGATTTTTTAAAAGCAGGCCCTGAAAAATTTTAAAGGACTATATGTCCAGAATATTATAAAATCAACAAAAAGAAACATTCCTTGTATTTTCCTCTTATTTTCTATACCTTTCTTCTATGTTTTGCATTAGGTGCTTGCTCAAGATCTCAGTCATGCTTTGACTCAGTTTAACAGTCAAATCATTACTAATCGTACTACCTTTTCATAGTTCACACTTCTAAAATATTAACTTGTAAAAGAAGGAATGCGATAAAGCCATCAGAACACCAAGTGGTGTCTTTATTTCTTAATCATTTTCTAAAACATTACTTAATTCAGTTGAATTCAGAGAAACTTTTAGTAATTCTTATCAGATGAATTTATATACATACCATTGTGGAAAATAAAATAACTTGTGAGCATCTTTGATACAGCCTCAATCAACATTGATGTTGAAACCAGAGGCTGTAAGTTTCAAATAGCAGTTTATGAGAAAACATGGAGAGAAATTTTAAGATGTTGGCGTGAACACTTCTGACAATGTAAAACACTCGGCTAACCATTGCCCTTTGCTTCGACAGATAAGAAGTTTAGCAAATATTTACATACCAGTTTTCACAACATTTAAGCTAAATTTTTACTTCTATGTATTGTCATTATAAGGTTTAACTTCTAAGACTGTTTACTAAAAAGGGCAAAGAGCATTTTTATAATATTGCAAGGTCTGTCTTAATAACTCCAAAGACTGCTGACTTGTAACCCTGAGACTGAATGTTTATTACAGGAAGCTGCATGTTAGAATGTTTGAGGTAGAAAATTGTGCTTGTTTGCTTCAACTTGTAAACTACGTTTTTCATAAAAGGTTGATTTGACTCACCAACTCTTTGATAATTGTCCTACCATTTTTGACCTCACTGATCCAGCTCTAATTAACTCAACAAATAAAAGAGAATGTGCAGATTAGTTTGGAATTAAGGACATAGCTGAAGGCATTCCTTGGGAAAAGTGATTTTGCCAACAAAATAAATACTCTAACAAAAGAATGTTAAAACACCAATACAGATCACATCACTCTTCATAAAACCCCCAAACTGGAAGCTATCCAAATACTGCCTGACAATAGTAGGTTGGATAAATATACTGTGGTATATTTATAGAATGGAATATTATAAAGAAATGAGAATGCTCTGCAATCAGGCACAATGACATAGATGGCTCTCATAAACAAAATGTTGAGCGAAAGAAGCCAGACACAAATGAGAACATACCATATGCTTTCATTCATTAAAAGTTCAAAAACAGACAAAAGTAATTTATGGTATTGTGTTGGGATAATGCTTATCTTGGGGTAGTAAGGCCTGAAAGGAGGCATAATGGGGGATTCTGGAGAGCTGATATGGTTCTATTTCTTGAGTTACATATTTATTTGAGTATTTTTCTATATGTTATCCTTCAATAAATGCTATTAAAACCCCCATGCTATACAGAACCTTTATTTTCAATGGCGTTATCTACTTTCCAAAAGAATTTGAGTAGTCTTTCAGATCGAGGAAGGGTGCTAGATGCTGCTGTGAACGTTGATAAAAGCAGGCTCGGTCCTTAAAGACCTTGTGGTATGATGGGAGAGTGGCTTCAACATAAGGTGAATAAAGTAAGCAGAAGCTGCTCAGGTGGCGCAAAGGCGGTGCCTTACTTAGTCTGCGGATAGGAAGGGTCATGGAGGTCTTCCAGTAAGAGATGATGCTTGAGCCATGTCTTAAAGGTTATGTAGGCGTGAGCCAGGCAGAAAAGGAAGCAAAGGAGGAATTTCAGAGGGAGGAATTGTGAATGGGCGAATTATCGCAGGACATATCTACAACTGGATATGGCATGAGTGTTGCATACAAATAAAGAAGCAAAAAAGGTTAGCAAGGGCTTGGTCCAGAAGAAAACTGTGCTCATGAGCTAAGGGGGTTTGGACTTTACTCTGGGATCAATGGGAAATTATTGAAAGGTTTTAAGCAGAGGAATGCTGTGGTCCTACTGGCATTTTTGAATGATCCTTCTGGTTGTGAGGAACCTGGTGGGTTCTTCTAGGTGGGTGGGTGAACTTGAACAGATACAACAGCACTCAAACAAGAATAAAAACAGAAGATCTGAGATATAACATGTTATGTGGGGTGAGGCAGGGAAACATTGGAAACACTTATTGAGAGTCTTATGTGATTAAAAAAAAAAAAAAAAAACTACTCTAGGTCCCTGTGAAAGATATTAGCAGTCCAGGTAAGCCTACTGGTGGTCACTCAAAACAGCAGTGTTGCAATAGTCTTTTGTTCTAGTTTTGCCCTAAGCTTATATCATTTACTTAAATATATCCATGGAAGCCCTCATTGCACAATTGTCCCGTGAGTACATCCAAAAATTCTGACCAGCAGAGCTGTGAATAATTACAGTTGTCTCCAGTGTCTTCACTTGTTTCAGGTTCCCAGCCCATGACCCTGTGATTCAGTATAGAGATGCTTCAAGCACCTCAGGAAACAGCAGAAGCATGTCATCAAGTACTTTTCCACCCTCTAAATCAGTGGGTGAAATGTTAACCCACCAAGCTGGGGCCGTGAGTCCAGGAGGCTTGGTCTAATTATTTGTCCCAATAGTACTTAGCAAGTTATCTGTCAAAAAATAAATCTAGATGAAGATGATTCCTGTCTCAAATATGAGGGAGGGTGAAATACAGAACAACTTTTTACCCAAAGGCAATGTTAGAATTTACAGTTGGGTGCTCTCATCATCATATTTAGCAAAGGTTATTATTATTTTTTAACAGCAAAAGAAAGACTAATCCACAGGGTTTTAGCTAGGCATGATAAAGCAAAACAGAAATTGTGGTTTTGAAATCCAAGGCAAATAATGTGTTGATTTTAATGCTTTTGCTTACTTCTACAAACAAAAAAGTTTGCTGAGAAGTTAGTGATGAAAAACTTCCTTAGGTGTTAGGGTAGGAATAACATAGCTCTTCTCAGGTGCTTTGTTCCTCTCAAAACCAGGCACTCTATAGCCTATCTAGGCTAAGAAATTCTGCCCATTCTTATATACCAAAAAGCAAAATCTGCATGGAGAAGTGTGACATGAATCAATGTATTTTTGCTAAGGAGCATCTACCCCATGAAGTCATTTTTTAATTAAGCTTTGAATGTAGTCAGTGTTTAGTATGCAGAATGAGAAGGAATCAATGACTTACAAAAGTTGATTTGCAGCATGGCATTTTGACAATAGCTGTCAGTGGTTTAAAGATAATTGAGTCAACCTTCTCATTTCCTGATAAGAACACTGAGGCCCAGAGAGGTTATGTCACATGGGCCCAAGTTAACAGCAGTCATGGGGGAGCCTGGACCCTAGTGAAGTGGCTGCTGGACCCTGGGTTATTAGGTATGTAAGAGTGTTATAAATATTGAAGCAAGCAAGACAGAATTTCCCCTGCTTCCCTTTCCCTTCCCCTTCCCCTTCCCTTCCCTAACCGTTTCTAACCTAATCTTCCTAACCTTCTCTTCCCTAACCGTTTCTAACCTAATCTTCCTAACCTTCCCTAACTTCCCTCCCCTCCCCTCCCCTAACTTCCCTCTCCTCCCCTCCCCTCCCCTAACTTCCCTCTCCTCCCCTCCCCTCCCCTAACTTCCCTCGCCTTCTCTCCCCTTGCCTCCCATCCCTTCGCCTCCCCTCCTCTTTTTTCCATAACAGCTTTGTTGAGATATAATCCACATACCATACAATCAACTTATTTAAAGTGTACGATTCAATGGTGGTTAATATTTTCATACAGCTGTGCAGCCATTGCCACAATCAATTCCAGAACTTCTTCATCATTCAAAAGGAGACCCTGAACACATTGGCAGTCACTCTCCATTTTCCCCGCTCCCCAGCCCTTGGAAGCTATTAATTTCATTTCCATCTCTTTATAGATTTGCCTATTCTGGACATTTAATATAAATGGAATTATACACTATGTGGTCCTTTGTGATGGTCTTCTTTCACTTAGCATAATGTTTTCAAAGGTCATGCACATTGCAGTCTGTATCAGTACTTCATTGCTTTTAATGAATTAATAATATTCCATTGTATGGGCATACCACATTTTATGGACTCTTTTATCAGTTGATGGACATCTGGGCTTGTTTCCATTTTTTGGCTATTATGAATAATAATGCTACAAACATTTGTGTACAAGTTTTTTTCGTAAACATAGGCTTACAATTCTCTTGGGTATATCCTAGGTGTAGAATGTCTGGATTGTATGGTAACTCTATATTTAAACTTTTGAGGCATTGCCAGATTGTTTTCCAAGGTGGCTGCACCATTTTGCATTTCCAGTAGTACAGTATGAGGGTTCCAATTTCTCTACATCCTCTCCAACACTTATTATTATCTGTCTTTTTGGTAGGTGTGAAGTGGTATCTCATTGGAGTTTTGATTTGCATTTACCTGATGTGTAATGAGGTTGAGCATCTTTTTATATGCTTATCAGTCATTGGTATATCTTTTTAGGAGAAATGTTTATTCAGATCTTTTACCCATTTAAAAATTGTATTATTTGTCTTTTATTATTGAATTATAAGATTTCTTTATATATTCCAGATACAAGTTCATTATCAGATATATGATTTGCAAAAATTTCCTCCCATTTTATGGGTGGACTTTTCACTTTCTTGATGATATCCCTTGAAGCACAAAAATTTTTAGTTCTGATAAAGTCCAGTTTATCTATTTTTTCTTTTGTTTCTTGTGATTTTGTTGTCACAACTAAGAACCCATTGCTAAATCCAAGGTTATGAAGATTTGCCCCTAGATTTTCTTCTAAGAGTTCTATAATATTACCTCTTACATTTAGGTCTTTGATCCATTTTCAGTTAATTCTTATATGTAGTGTGAGGTAGAGGTCCAACTATTCTTTTGCATGTGCATATTCAGTCATCTCCGAACCACTTGTTGAAGACTCTTCTTTCTCCATTGAATTGTCTTGGTATTCTTCTTAATCCCCTGCATCTTGATTATGCCTTAGGGTCCTGGGAACTTGTGAACACCCTATGCAAAGTGATTCCCCAGGATCCTGTTAAGAGTCTAAGTCATTAAGTGATGGGGAGGGGGTTTGCTCCCAGCAGTATTGAGAGAAGACCCTTCCTGGTGTGATTACCCGGGATGGGTTAGAATGCAGCTTTTTGGGGTTCATCATTTATTGATAACCTGATGTTACTAGCATCTGGACTACCCCCAATGTGCCCCAGTACAGATAGTGCACTCATTGAATTAATAAGTGACTGTCTTCAGTATTTCCCAGTGGTCATCTTAGACTGCTCCCTTATCTCACCACCTGCATCTAATTAGTGACTAATTCAGGTGATTCTGTATACTAAATCTTTTTAAATTCCATTTTGCCTCTCTATCATAGCCACTATTTTGGTTTAGACATTCATAATTTATCCCTGAATTACTACAATCCTTTTAATATATCTTTCTATAAGAATTCTCTCCTCCATCCAATCCATTCTTCACACTTCAGCAAGAGCTTGCTTTCTATAATTCATACATTTAGTAATAAAATTATATCAAAATAGCTGTTATTTATTAGTTGCTTACTAGGTGCTAAGCCTTAATGCTAAGAACATTATGTACATTTTCTTGTATAATCCTCACTTCAACTCTTTGAGTTAGGTATTATCATTCCCATTTTACAGATAAGGAAACTGAAATAGCCCTACCTCTTTGATCACAATCAATCAGATACGCTGTATTCAGGACTAATTTTAAGAGCTAAGCTAAAAAAGAAGGAAACTGAAGGAGTAATAGTAAAGTGTAAAGAGTAAAGTGGTGACTGCTTTAAGTACATTTTCACAGAACTCATTTGAATAACTCTCTAAATTGGGCTTGAGACTAAGTGACCTCAGTGATTGGCTCAATGGTCTTCGTGGAGATAAGATTAGTTGTGAAAGTGACAGTGGAATCACCAGCCTCTGGGCTCCCCTCTAGGAGAGGCAAGCAGGAATGAAAGCCAGAACATTGGCACTACATAGGCCCTTGGTCAGCTCATCCCTGGCTCCAACAACCTCTAAAGCAGGAGGATCTTGTTAAAAATGCATATTCCTGGGCCTCACTCTAAATCTGTTGAACCTAGAGTTCCTGGGAGATGGGGACTAGGAATCTGCAATTTAACAAGCTGCTCAGATAATTATTTCCCCCATCAAAGTTTGAGAACTATGGCTCCAGAGTCTCTACAACCCTTACAGGATCAGTAGAACAGGTAGAAGCAGAAACTGACAGTCACAGGGCCAATGCCACTGCTTGTTATTAGGATGTCACCTTCTCCCACCCCCATCCCTGTGTGCCAAACCTCATTGTATCATGCCAAAATTGGGCTTATAACTTAAATACGTAATCCCATTTGGCAAAGTGTTAACTATGTAACTGGAATTTTAATGTCTGTGTAATTGTTTTGTCTCTCATGAACTCATCTTCTAAATTCATTTCTCCTTACAAAATGGAAATATTTGATGTTTCTAAACTCTTCAAAAGATGATGCTGAAGATTAAAAGTTGACATTTCGTACAATCCTTTCGTTGCAAGACATTTTCTTCTTCCTTTCTTTATTTACCTTTCATAGCCCTCTTGCACACATTTTCTTCTTGATCGTTGATCATTGAAAAATAAAAGCATCAATGAACCAATCTATCTGAGCAGAGTAATGTCCCCTATGGTGTGCACCGAGGCTGGAATGCAGGATTGTGGCACCTGGCACATTGTAGGCACAAAAACTGTAAAGTATTCCAGCCTCCTTCATACCCAAGTGAGCACAGTGATTCTTCATGAAATAGGTTCAGGGTCCTGGTTTCATAGATCCATGTGAGGATCTATGCATACAAGGATAAAAAGATAGCAATATCTTTTTTTGCTTGTTTTTGAGACAGTATCTCGCTGTGTTGCCCAGGCTGGAGTACAGTGGCATAATCTCAGCTCACTGCAACCTCTGCTTCCTAGGCTTAACTCAAGTGATTGTCCCCCTTCAGCCTCCCCAGTAGCTGTTACTACAGGCACATGCCATCATGCCCGGCTAATTTTTATACTTTTTGCAGAGACAGGGTTTCGCCACGTTGCTCAGGTTGGTCTCAAACTCTTGGGCCCAAGCGGGCCTCCAGCCTTGGCCTCTGAAATGCAGGGATTACAGGCATGAGCTACTGTGCCTGGCCTAGCAATATCTTTTGCTGGTTGGCCTGGCATGTACCTGTGTGTATGCTAGGGAATGGGTCTGCCTCAGTATGGGCAGAGAAGTTTTATTCTCTTCTTCCAGGAGCAAGCCACAGTTTATCACCCTGTCTTTAACAAATGGAGTTAAAAAATGGAAGCAATCCCAGTTTTATAAGTGACAGAGAGGATTTTTTTTCCCACCAAGATTAAAAGTGTGCAGAGGGCAACAAGCAGCTGAGGAAACTGCTACAGCTTAGGATCATAATCTTAGAGCCAAAAGATGGTGGTTCAAGGTAAGGGAAAACTGGAGGCAGAAAACCAAGGTGGGGGTGAGGGTGGGGAGTGCACTACAGTTGGGAAACTGTAGGAAGTGGAGGTATTTACAGGACGGGGTTTGTGGGGATCTGTTTCCTTAGACAACTTGCAGATTTAATGTTTATGATATTACTGTCTGTTAATTAAATCTCTCTCTCTAACTTTGAGCTGAAGAGGCATTTTCTAGGAGCTGGGTACCTGCCTGAAAAAAAGTGAAGCATAAGCTAGACTCCCTCTTCCACAAAAATAACCCAGACCTTTGGTGCCAGAGGATTGTTGAAGCCAAGGTTACCCTGGTAAACAGTCTCAGCCCTTGAGTTCTGAATTTTAATTCTTTTCTTAAACCAGATGCACTATTTCTAAAAGTCATTCCCAGCTTTACTATTTGACCTAAATCAATCTTTTGGTTTTTGGGGATCTCGGCCATTCTCTTCATCCATATGACAGACTCATGGCTCATTTTGAAGAGATTCAGACTGGATGAATAATTGCCTTGAAAAAAACCAGAAGTGGTGACTCATCATTCTAAAAATCCATACTGCTTGGCATTTACAGCACTCCTACTCTGTATCATAGGAGATGAAAAAAGAATTTGCTGTTCATGCCCTCTGAAGAATGAGTCTTCTTCCTATCTCTGGGAAAGTAGATGCATTATCAATGGAGCAGGTCATTTCAGAGAAAAGCTCTAGTCCTCTCAAGGACATTGGGAGCAGGAAGTGTTAATACATGGTACTACAGGCTTGAGGCCTTGAGCATCTCAAGACCTGCATTTGTGCCTTTGTGTATACGATGTTACGGACCCAGCAATGTCTCTGGAGGCAGTGCCATGATTCAGATCCACATCTTTTGCCTTCTGCTCCTTAACACTGGCCTGACTTCAGAATCTTCTCAGAAACTAGAGGGATTAGCAGAATTTTAAAAATCAAGAGAATAAAAATAGAGGTTAGAACCTGGAGTTCGCTGGGGAAACATTGCCCTAGCCAGAAGGGTCATAAGGGCTTCTCCATACCTCAGCTGTGGTAGAGAAAGGTCAGTAGGGAAGAAGAAAATAGATGGACCTCAAATGGCATTTGTGGCAGAAACTGACTAGCCCATTTCAAAAAACCCTTTTCTTTGCACCTGACTAGACTACATTTATTAGCCTCCTTTGCAGTTAGGTGATGTCACATGACTGAGTTCTGGCCAATGGAAAAAAAAATGTGGATAGAAAAGCCACATATGCCACTTCCAGGCTTGGCCCCTTTGAAATCTCCTATGCAAGCAGTTCCTCTTACTCTTTTTCTCTCTCCATTTCATCCCTCCCTGCCATCTGCTGACTGAATCCATGCTCAGAGTAATCTTGGAAGCCACATATTGAAGATTTTAGAGCTTCTTCAGCCTGTGGTCCTGAATAACTGTGGGAACAGAGGCCCCCAGCCCCAACTCCCTGTACCAACTGTACTTTTTATGATTGAGAAATAAACTACTTCGTTAAGCCAAGGTTATGGGGTTTATGTATTATAATAGCTTCCTTTACCTTCACTAATACAAGACGTAACATCATACAAGTGCTACAGTCTGAATGCTTATGTCTTCCCCAAATGTATATGTTGAAACCTAATCACCAATGTTATGGTATTAGGAGGTGGAGCCTTTGGAAGGTGATTAGATCATGAGGGTAGAGACCTCATAAAAAAGGCCCTAGAAAGCCTTGGCCCTTCCATCGTGTGAGGACACAGCAAGAAGACACCTTCTATGAACTAGGAAACAGGCATTCACCAGACACTGAATCTGCCAGTGCCTTGCTCTTGGACTTTCCAGCCTCCAGAACTCTGAGAAATAAATTTCTGTTCTTTAAAAGCCACCCAGTCTATGGCAATTTGTTATGGCAGCCCAAATGGACTAAGACAACATAAACACTTTTGTATTGTTGTTGAAATTATTGTTTGCACCTACTTAAACCTGTTTACATGTTTTTTAATATAGTTTTCTACTGTGATGACATAGTTCTAGATATGTATGACTCCCCAGGAGTAAGGGATTTCAGACCCAGGCTACATCCAAAGCCTTAGCACCTGGAGGATGGGCACATTTCTTTGAATATAGTCACATGCCACAAAGAAAGAAGATAGGAGGTCACCTCATTTCTCCTGATTACAGAGATGCAGGAAGAAAGGGTGGTAACCCCTTGAAATTTTTAAAAAGATTATTCCCAACTGAAACAGCCTATATTTAGAAAGTTTGAAAAGTATATATTTTAAATGAGGGTTTGAAAAAACTGACATAATTAGGAACATATGATTCTGACAGATTCTCCTCAAAAATTAAGCTGATATTCAGTATTGAGGTTTTGTATTGAATTTCCAGAGACTTGTGGGTATACAGTATGTTTCTCTCTCTCTCTCTTTTTTTTTTTTTTTTTTTTAGACAGAGTCTCACTCTGTCACCCAGGTTGGAGTGCAGTGGCGCGATCTCCGCTCACTGAAACCTCCGCCTCCCGGGTTCAAGCGATTCTTCTGCCTCAGCCTTCTGAGTAGCTGGGATTACAGGTGTCCACCACCACACCCGGCTAATGCATTTTTAGTAGAGATGGGGTTTCACCATCTTGGCCAGGCTGGTCTTGAACTCCTGACCTCGTGATCCACCTGCCTCAGCCTCCCAAAGTGCTGGGATTACAGGTGTGAGCCACCGTGCCCAGCCATGTTTCTCTCTTTCATGCCGTCAATTAGAAGCTGGGCTCTGCTGGTCCAAATTGTCAAAATCACACTCATTTGTCTATCTTGCTTCAAGGTGCCTGCATATCAAAGCCAGACCATAAGAACTACCTCAGAAGCTACCCAAGGCAGCCTGTTTGGGACTTCTTCAGGCCACCTAGAATGGTCTATCCATTCACATCACTTTTCCTGGTTTCTCGGCCACTTTTTAATTTAGTTTCTCAATTCTCCTTTCTGCCTAGCTTTCTTGGGTCAGTCATCTAATAGTGTACTTGCCTGGCCTCTGGAGTGAGCCTAAAACAAAGTTCAATTGTCAACCAATGTCCAATTGTCAAAGCCAGAACATGGGGTGGGCCAGTGGCGATATTTCCATGTGGTCATAGCAGGACATGTGGCAGCAGTGCTGGTTAAAATGAACTAGAAGACCACAGTCAGGTTGTGATACTCCAGGCATATCTCAGTGTAAAGAGCACTAGTCATTTACAGAGATGCCCAAGCCCCAACTCTGGCCATTAACTTTATCCAACAGCTATCACCAGCCTTTTAGCAATGCTATTACAGGGGAGTAGAGCCGCTACTTTAGTTTCTGGTGTTAAACCTTTCAGTCCTCACTGTAACAGATGCTATCAGTACCCTGCCCATATCTCCTTGGCATTACTGCTATTTACTGTGACCACATGTGATTCTCTGCCCGAGGATGTTTTTCATGGTTGCAAAGAAAACTTAGTCTGAAGCACTGAAGAGTAAATGCCTCCAGAAGTAGCCCTTAGCCAAGAACCAACGGGAAGTTGGTGCATAAGTATCCTAGCTTCCTCAACCCTCAGGTGGAATAACTTGGAGGTAAGTCTACATAGTTTCCTAGAGTAGGATTGAGCTCCAGTTGCCCATACTGATAATTGTCTTGCTAACATGCGGTTTGTTTTTTTTTATACTTTAAGTTCTAGGGTACATGTGCACAACGTGCAGGTTTGTTACATATGTATACATGTGCCATGTTGGTGTGCTGCACCCATTAACTCGTCATTTACATTAGGTATATCTCCTAATGCTATCCCTCCCCCTTCCCCCCACCCCACAACAGGCCCCGGTGTGTGATGTTCCCCATCCTGTCTCCAAGTGTTCTCATTGTTCAATTCCCACCTATGAGTGAGAACATGCGGTGTTTGGTTTTCTGTCCTTGCGATAGTTTGCTGAGAATGATGGTTTCCAGCTTCATCCATGTCCCTAGACCTAAAACCATAAAAACCCTAGAAGAAAACCTAGGCAATACCATTCAGGACATAGGCATGGGCAAGGACTTCATGACTAAAACACCAAAAGCAATGGCAACAAAAGCCAAAATTGACAAATGGGATCTAATTAAACTAAAGAGCTTCTGCACAGCAAAAGAAAATACCATCAGAGTGAACAGGCAACCTACAGAATGGGAGAAAATTTTTACAATCTACCCATCTGACAAAGGGCTAATATCCAGAATCTACAAAGAACTTAAATTTACAAGAAAAAATCAAACAACCCCATCAAAAAGTAGGCGAAGGATATGAACAGACACTTCTCAAAAGAAGACATTTATGCAGTTAACAGACACATGAAAAAAAGCTCATCATCACTGGCCATCAGAGAAATGCAAATCAAAACCACAATGAGATACCAGCTAACATGCTGTTAATTGGCTTTCTTCCCTTCTCTATCTCAGTTCCCCAACTCCCCTACTGATGCTTCTTGGGATCATCTTCCAAATAAACCACTTGCATCCAAATCCTTGTCTCAGGCTTTGCTTACAGAGGTACTCAAACTAAGAAACCTATTCTCTTCTGATTGTAAAATGAAGCAGAGAAATGACCCCTAAAAAGTTAGCAAAAGAAGGAGGAAGCAATGGCAGAGTTCTAAATATTCCTCAGAACAAAAAAAAAAATGGAGCCCCTTGATAGGGACTATTTGTTAGTCTAGATTTGTGCTGTCCAGTATGGTAGCCACTAGCCACAATGTGGCCATTGAGCACTTCAAATGTGGCTAGAACACATGAGGAAATAGATTTTTAATTTTATTTAATTTTAATTGGTTTAATTTTAAATAGCCATGTGTGGCTAGTGGCTACTGTATTGAACAACACAGAATATGGAACATGTCCATCATTGCAGAAATAATTTCTATTGGACAGCACTGGAAGAAGGGGAGGAAAATTTCTTCAACAAAGGGCCAGATAGTAAATATTTTAGGCTTTGTGGGCCATATGATCTCTATTGCAATGACTCAACTCCGCTGTTGTAGTGTGAAAGTAGCCATAGATAGTAGGTAGGTAAATGAATGAGTATGGCTATGTCCCAATGAAAGTACATGGACACTGAAATTTTAATTCATATAATTTTGATATGTCACCAAATGTCTTTTGTTTTTTAAATCCATCCAATTGAAAATGTACAGCCATTCTTAGCTCATGAGACTGTACAAAGACAAGTGGTGGGCCATTGTTTGCTGACCCCTGTTCTAGACTAACATCATCATGAATCATTACTAAGGGGATCATTATTAAGATGCCCTAGTGATCCAATGCAGATTGTGACACCAGTGACCAAAGTAGCAAGTGAGCTGTTTATTCAAAAGGAAATCAACTTTTGGAGACAGAAAGCTTTGTTTAGAGTGTGGATTACTCATTTTTTGTTTGTTTTTTAGATGGGGTCTTGTTCTGTCGCCCAGGCTGGAGTGTAGTGGCTCGACTGGCTCACTGCAACCTTCGTCTCCTGAGCTCAAGTGATCCTCCTACCTCAGCCTCTTGAGTAGCTGGGACTACAGGTAGGTGCCACCATGCCTGGCTATTTTTTTTTTTTTTTTTTTTTTGTGGTAGAGACGGGGTTTTGACATGTTGCCCAGGCTGATCAGAGTGTGGATTACTCTTAACCAAAGTTGGCAAGGGGAAATTTTTCTCTGATGTTTACAATGTTCCTTCCATGGCGGTCACTGAGAATCGTTAGGGCTGCTCTTGAGAAAATCATCGAAGCCTAGAATGTTCTGTTATCCCTACCCTGATCCATTTGGCACCTCACAACAGCATTCTCCTCGCATAGAGAAACCCAGGAGTGTCCTCTAACTTCTGGATTCCTATTTGTTTGCCCTGCCTGCTACATTTTTTTCTCCATCTCCTTCCCTTGCCACAAAGATCAATACTTAGGCCTGGCAGAGATTCACTCAAAGCTTTCAAATGGCTCCTAGCATGCTAAAAGGTTGGTTTTCAAAAAACACAGTGTTCTCAGAACATGAGGCCATCAAAATAGCTAATTTAATTTTGGGACACCAGGAATTAAAGAAGTGTTATCTATGTGACACAGAGAATTCTTTATTTTTGAGATCTGTTTCAGAGCCAGCTCAAAGCAAAATGGGGAGGGGCTGGAAGTAGGGCTGGGAATGTTTCCAGTTGGACAATTCAACATGACAGATCTCTACTGCAACTCAACAGAGAATTGGCCACATCAAGCTAAAGGATCAAAAATGAGGTACCTGGCAGGGATCAATAAAGCAGTAGGGGAGAGTCATTTCTGGAAAAGACTGAGCTATCAGCTCAGTTAGTTCTCAAGGGCTCCCCAAAGAAATGATGGGCACTGACGTTTTGTCAGCTTTGCCAACAGAACCCAGAGAACCAGCTGGTGTCTCTGATGCAAGCTCTTGCAGCAGTCAAAGGTCTTGAGGCAGTGGAGAAGCAGGCTTTTTTCCTTCCCTTTAAAAAAATGATGCATGGTGTTTCAGCAAAAAAAAATTGTAAAGGTAATATCCTCTTCAGCTGGGGTTTAAAACAGCCACTGAAAGCTCTTTGTAATCAATAATATAGATCTCATTATGGGCCCTACATTAAAGAGGTAGGAGCTATGTTAACTTCACAACTTCCTTGTGGGAAGAACAAGCAGAGATTGACCATGTGTGTTTTTATGTTTCTCAAACCAAATGCACATACTACAACAGAAGCAGCGCATTGCACCTGTGCTTTACCCTTTATTATGTTATCATTTGATTCTCACAACAACACCATGCTTATTTCTCTTAGAGGTAGGAAACAGAGCCTCGATGAGGTCGATTTGGCCAAGTCTCTCAATGAATGAATGAGGGAGTCAGGCTGCCATCCAAGTCTTGTATCTAATTCCAAAGCCAGTGCCTTGTTTTCTCTTTCATGCCGGCTGAGAGATTTTGTTGAGGGCAACAGTGAAGGCAGGGCCTAACTTAGGCGCAGGTGCTGGTGAAATGACACAGGCTTGCCTAGAGAGCCTGGCCTGGATGCTCCTCAGCTAAGCCCTCAGAGGGTTACAACGAATTCCATAAACAACTGAAAAAAAGTTTTTGAAGCCCATAGCAAGGCCAGATGTCCAGAGTGACCACTCTGTTCATTGCCGGCCAACTAGTTTAACCTCATAAATGTGTAACAAGAATCCCTATTCCCAGGCTAACTGCAGGTTTTCCCTCCCGCTGTCCCCGTCTCTTATAAATACCGTTTTGGCTTTGACTCAGTCCATCAACTGATTCCATCACACGCAAAGAAACAATTTGCATAAAAATTAAATATCTTTGAGTTGTTCTTCAACATAGCTAAACCACGTTGGGGCACCAGGATTATACACACTCTAAAATTAGGTACTGTTTAAATTTTTTTTCCCATTGAGCATGTGTTCCTTTTTTTAATTTTTTATTTATTTTTATTTTTATTATTATTATTATACTTTAGGTTTTAGGGTACATGTGCACAATGTGCAGGTTAGTTACATATGTATACATGTGCCATGCTGGTGTACTGCACCCATTAACTCGTCATTTAGCATTAGGTGTATCTCCTAATGCTATCCCTCCCCCCTCCCCCTCCCCCCACCCCACAACAGTCCCCAGAGTGTGATGTTCCCCTTCCTGTGTCCATGCGTTCTCATTGTTCAATTCCCAGCTATGAGTGAGAACATGCGGTGTTTGGTTTTTTGTTCTTGCAATAGTTTACTGAGAATGATGATTTCCAATTTCATCCATGTCCCTACAAAGGACATGAACTCATCATTTTTTATGGCTGCATAGTATTCCATGGTGTATATGTGCCACATTTTCTTAATCCAGTCTATCGTTGTTGGACATTTGGGTTGGTTCCAAGTCTTTGCTATTGTGAATAGTGCCGCAATAAACATATGTGTGCATATGTCTTCATAGCAGCATGATTTATAGTGGTATATATCCTTTTTTTTAAATGAAACTTTTATTTTGAGGTAATTGTAGACTCACTCACATACAGTTGTAAGAAATAATAAAGAGCTCCCTTGTGCCCTTTACCTAGTTTTCCCTGATGGTACCATCCTGCAAATGTAGAGTTCAATTGTATTTACTTTCATAATAAATGAAAAATTGTTGCATTGCTAAGGGGAGGAAATAAATAAGGAGGCAGCTGGAGATGAATGCGCAGTCAGGGGAATGGATCTGTTGATTAATTTAAAGGTAAGAGATAGTTGAGCAAATGTAAATGATGACAGGGAGTAAAGAGAGGTGAGAGAGGCAACTGAGTCCCCTAGGCCAGCTTGCTGGGCTCTGGTCAGACACTTTTCTGCCACTGTGTATATTCTGCACTTGCTCTGCTCAAATTGCAAAGAAAAGTAGGGTATTTTATTTCATTCCTTTTTGGGAAAAGAGAGATTTCCTGATTAGGAAGTCTGTAAAGAAATTCCCCTTTGGAGAGAAACATGGATGGGATACCACTTCCAGTGTGCTACTGTCCACATCTCTCTTTTCTGTCCTCCTCCCTTGACATTTCAGCTCATAGGTGAGTTTATTCACCCACATCATGCCCAAGTAGGTGACATATGGTGGACCAACTTTATACCACTGAGTTTCTAACTACTCCTAGTTGTCTTCTAAATTATATCTCAATAAAAAAAAGTAAAAGAACAGGCCAACTTTCTGAAATTTTCTTTTCTCCTTCACCTTCACACAGAATATTTCATTAACTCTTTTATTCTTGTGATATAAGAACATACAAGGGGACTACACCAATTTTCAGGAGAGACTTGATTATGTGTTTCATTTCTTCATCTTTAGTCCTAAAGCAAGACAGACCATAATGAACAACTTCTTACTTTCAGAGGCTACTTTAATGATTACTCATTTCTTACAGCATTTTCTTGTTTATAAAGCATGTAAATATCCCCTCTGGGTATATAAATATTCTGAATAAATACTCCCTCTCACAGGAGGGTCACACTGGATAAGAGTCACTCGGGAAACTTTATTCCGATCTATTTTTGTGGATTTCTTCTACATATTCTACACTCATTTTAATGTGACAATTCCCCTGTGGTTTAAAATAGGATATGCCTATTCTTCCTAGAATTGAAGGACACTAAAATAAATTTGACTTAAATAGTTCTACCTGAAAAAAATGCACCGAGATATCCAGGGATAGTTGTATAGGAACAAGATTTTGAAGCAAATCATAGTATATACCTTTTATTTCTTCCAAAATTCAATACAGATGAAATCTAGATGACATCCAGATCATTCCACCCCAGGCTCTGGAAACACCACCCTCTGCTCGATAACTATGAGTACAAGAACCCACTTCCCTCTCTTCACCCCTCATCTCATTTCGCCTTTCCTTAGCTCAGTCACATGGTCACCCATAGCACTGGGGTGGTGGGAGGCAAGATTGGATTTAGGGGTGAAGGGTAAAGGAGAAGCACAAGACCCAGGGCAAGTACCTTAATTTACAGTATACCACGAATTAGGGGTCCCCAACCCCTGGGCCTTGGACTGGTACTGGTCTGTGGCCTGTTAGGAACTGGGGTGCAAAGCAGGAGGTAAGCGGTGGGGTGAGCGAGCATTACCGTCTGAGCTCTGCTTTCCATCAGATCAGTGAGGGCATTAGATTCTTACAGGAGCATGAACCCTATTGTGAACTGCACATGCGAGATATATAGGTTGCAAGCTCCTTATGAAAATCCTTAAGAAACAAATGCCTGATGATTTGAGGTGAAACAGTTGCATCCCGAAACCACCTACCCTCTTACTGTCTACGGAAAAATTGTCTTCCATGTAACTGGTCCCTGTTGCCAAAAAGGTTGGGGACTGCTGCCATGAATAACTCTGTTGTGAATTCCCAAATGAAAGCTTCAAATCCACTCTTCTTAACCTTGGATTTGATAGACAGATTGAAGGGAAACAAGGGAAAAACAATTGTATCAGTTAGGATTTCATTGGCTTGCATGTAGTAGTAACTTCTTATAATGTGAGAAAAATAAGAAGTCTAGAGGTAGCAGTGCTACTAGGGACACAGATCAGATTTATTTCATCTTTCCATTCTGCCATCGTTGGGCTATGGCTTTCATCTTGAAGGCTGCAAGATGGCTGCTTCACCTCTAGGCTTCATGCCCACATTCCAGGGAGGAAGAAGGTAAAGGGTAAAAGGGAAGGTGAAGCTGGTTTGCTTCCTTCTGTCAGGAGGGCAATAGCTATTGGGAAGCTTTACCCAGTGGATATCTGTTTACATTTCATTGGACAAAACTGGGTCACATGGACACTAAGCTATAAGGGACTCTGGGAGGTATTTTTTTTCTTTTTAAAATTCATTTTTAATTGACAAATAAAAATTATATATACTTATATACAACAGGATATATATACTTATATACAACAGAATATATATATATATATATATATATATATATATATATATATAGTAGAATGGCTAAATTGAGATAATTAACATATGCATTACCGCACATACTTTTTTTTGTGGTGAGAATACTGAAAATCTATTATCTTAGGGATTTCCAAGAATACAACGCATTGTTACTATATAGGCACCATGTTGTACAATAGATCTCTTGAACTTATTTCTAACTGAAATTTTGTATCCTTTGACCAACATCTCCCCAACCTTTCCCCCTATCAGCCCCTGGTAACTACCATTCTACTCTCTGCTGCTGGGAGTTTAACTTTTTTAGATTGTACATATCCGCAAGATTATGTGGTATTTATCTTTCTGTGCCTGGCTTATGTCACTTAGCATAACATCCTCCAGGTTCATCCATGTCATCGAGAATGACAGAATTTTCTTCTTTTTAAAGGCTGAATAGTATTCCATTGTGCATATATACCATATTTTCTTTATCCATTCATCTACTGATGAACACTTAGGTTGATTCAATATCTTGGCTATTGGGAATAGTGCTGCAATAAACACGGGAGTGCAGATATCTCTTTGATATACAGATTTCATTTCCTTTGGGTATATACCCACAGCAGTGGGATTGCCAGACCATATGGTAGTTCTATTTTTAGCTTTTTTGAGGAACTTTGGGGAGGTATTTTTAATGGGACACATTGCAGCCCTGAACAATGATAGGCTCTTGTCAGTAGAAAAGGAGGGGGAATGTAGTGGTAACCATCAGTATTCAGTAAAACAGTTAACGTAAATATCTGTCCTTATATCTACAAATTTGTAGGGTCAAATAGAGACCTTGCACTGATTCACTACAACTTCTGGGAGACATGGGGAGCAGTAAAATGCATAGTGTCTAGAACTAAGACTTTAGACTCCAGAACAGGTGTATTTGAATCTTAGGTGTTATCAACTGTGACCTTGAATAGATCACTTTATTTTCTCACAAGTACATTTCTTATGCCCACATTACAGGGCCACTTAAGGATAAAATGAAATCACATTTTCATGATGCCCTTCCCACTATTCCCCTACATTACAATGTCCAGCACACAGACCCCAGCAGGCCCACTCATAACTTCAAAGAGGAGAACAAAATTATTAGCAGCCCATAAACAAGAGGAGAGTTAGATAAAGTAATTTAGCCCTTAGGTTACATCGTCACATAGTGTGAAGTCAAGTAATGAGACATTGTGAAATGACAACAGCATCTATCTCACAAGGTCTAGTCTCTGTGTGTTTTGATGCTGTGCGGAAAATGTTTAGCTGAGGATGATTTCTAACAAAACTTTTTCTAACAAATATTATGACATGATATAGTGCCCAGCTTAAGGGAACAAACATTCCTCATCAACTTCCATGCACTTTTTGAGAATGACATTGGATGAGCTGATAGAGGAACACTTACCAGGAAAACCAAAAAACTGACATGAGTTCTTGAAATGTCCTCAATGTCTTTGTTCCTCAGTAACACATTATGTGTTTAAATACACATAAAACCTTAGACTGCTTTGTTACATATAATCCTACCACTTCTGAGTTCCTTATATTTTTACATTTCTATTAATCTTATTCTACATCATAGTTCAAGAGACGGTTTGCCTCTGCATTTTAAGAAACAAACATTCTTTGATGGTATTTTTGTTAAATGACTGAAATTGATTTATCATTTTGAATAGTCTTGACAAGGTTTCCTATGGCTAAAAAACTGCCTCTCTGGGTCATGAATTCCATAATCCACAGCAATGAACGGTTATGTCAGAGCAGCTATTTGTGGTCACCCATAAGCTAAACACTGTTAAGCTGCTCTAATGGAGGTGTCGGATAGTGTGTGTTCTGTGTATTTGTCGCACCAATAAGTAACATTGTGTTTAAGGGTTGGATCAAACTTTAAGAGTTTTTTTGGTCGATTTGAATGCATCCAGGCTGGATCTGAAAGCTATATCAAGGAGCAATGATTGAAGAAAGTAGAGATATTTAACCTAGGGAAGCAGAAACTAATGAGAAATATGATCATGATCTTCAAATATTTAAACAACTATCAGACTTGGAAGGATATGGTTTTATTCTATATTGTCTCAAAGGTCAGAAGTAAGGCTGATGAATACAGTTACCCAAGCAGAGCATTCAGTTCATGCTAAGAAAAAAAACTGTTCCAACAAGGAAATGAGCAGCCTTATAAGAATTAGTTTCCTGAGCATTAAATATCCATCCAGAGATGCGGTGAACAGCTGTCAGGGACATTGCATTAAGTGGGAGGATAGATGAGATAAATCTAAACATCTCTTCCAACGCTGAGTTGATTCTAACAGCCACAGCACTCAGAAATTCAGAAAGAAAATGTCTTGAAACCTGAGATGGGAGCCATAAAAATCTTCCTTTGTTTTTAGTACACTTTAGGCTTTGAGGAGGTTAGAAAGATTACTGTTAAGATTTTTGTGTACTCTAGTGGTATAAATAAGTTTTCTTACAGAAGTACCCAGAGCCCTTTAAGAAGGGCTGCTCTGTTTTGATCACTTTTTGGTAAACACTCCTCTTTACCACATGATCCATGGATGTCAAGGTCACAGTTCCAAAGGTGTGTTTAAAGAACAAAGGATTTTTTACATCCACAGTTCCCTTTTCCATTCCCACTTTTCTGCTTGCTACACTATGCTCTGAAGGAGAAGGGCAGGGGGCACCTCACCTACCAGGGCTTCACATCTTATCCCTTGACTCATAGCTCCCTGCTACAGATGTATGGCATTCCCTTCTGATCTATAACTTGACCTACAATGGGCCAGGAAGGACTAGATGAAACAGAGACTAGAGGCTGTCAGCTCAGAACTCAGACTGTTGCCTCACTCTCCCTTCTCTTCTAGGCTCAAAATGTTTTTGCTGAAACAGAGAGGATACATATTCTCAGTAACATTAACTTAGAATGCCAAACATGACATGTATTATACATGCATTTGTTGGATGTGAGCATATGAAATCACTGCAATGTAAAAGGCATAAGTAACCTTGTCTCCTGCCACCAAAGAAGTGGAGAGTGAAAATCCTTTAGTGGTTTGAGCTAGATCAATACTGAACTCTTAGGCAGGAAATTGTGGTGCTCTCACACAGAAAGCTACTCAGACATTGCCCGCACCAGACTCAGAGCCAGACATCCTGACAGAGGCTAACATAATGGCTCATAAGTGGTGAACGGCTCCTTAAATTGCAGCCTAAATTCTCCCACAATATCCCCAATTCAGAAGCCCCTTTGCAAAGGAAGTCCAAGATGAAAGAGCACTAACTATCTCCAAACCAGTTTTTAGCCTTCTGATTTGGGCGAATTACATCCCAGGGAACTAAGAGAGCATGCAAATGAGATGACAGATCATTGTTCATTTCTTCGGGGAATTGGCACTATATAAAGTCACAAAAAACTGAGACAGCAAAATAGAATTTTCATTTTCGAAGGGTGAGAGAAGATAGCTTTCATGTAGTGTGGCTGGATGAGTTTAATATTGATTTCCAGAAACATTCTAGAACACATTAAAAGAATAATTTATGAGTACTTAGAAAACGATGTAAGAGTCCCTAGGATCTGCAGGAATTCATGAAGAATGAGTTGAGTGAGACTCATTTGTTTATTTAATCAGGTTATTACATTATTATGATAAAACAGGGAATGCAATAAGCAGTATTTTTTAAAGTCAACTTTATGGAGGTGTAATTTACATGAAATAAACTGCACCTATTTTAAATGTATAGTCTGATTAATTTTGACAAATGTGTACACTCATGAACCATCACCATGATCAAGACAGAACATTTCCATCAGCCCTGAATGTTCCCTTGTGCCCTTTTATAGTCAACCCTCCCCCCATTCCTGGCCTAGGCAAGCAGCAATCTGCTTTCTGTCACTCTAGATTAGTTTCAGTTTTCTAGAATTTCATATAAACAAGATGGTACAGTATGTAAATTTTTGTATCTGGCTTCTATCACTCACCATATTGTTTTTGAAATTCATCAATGCTGTTGGGTGTTACTTTTATTGTGAGTCAAATTTCACTGTGTGGCTACATATTTTGTTTATATATTCACCTGTTGATAGACACTGGAGGTTGTTTTCCATTTTGGAGGTATTATGAAAAAAGCTGCTGTGAACATTCATGTGCAAATTTTGTGTAGATGTATGTTTTAATTTCTCTTAGTTGGCAATGATGTGAATGCCAAAGGCATTTAGCAGGGTCTCATATGCAACTGTGAACAAGATAGAAATATGTGAACCAAGTGCAAGAATTTTATATATAAATGATATGTATATATGATATGTAATAACACACACACACTATATATATATAATATCATAATAAAGTAACTTTGTTTGTGGCTGTACTCAGAGGGTGCTAATTAATGGATCAATGCCAACCTGATAAGAGGTTTCTGGTGATATGTTACAGCCTCTGTCCTCAGTATTCGTCTTAATTTAAAATTTTTAAAAATTAACAGATAAGATTGTATATATTTCTTGGGTACAACAGGATGTTTTAAAATATATGCACATTGTGGCAATGGCTAAGTCCAGCTAATTAACATGTGCATTACCTCACATAGTTGTCATTTTTGTGGTGAGAACACTTAAAACTACTCTCAGCATTTTTCAAGAATACAATACACTGTTATTAACTATAGTCATCATGATGTACGATACATCTCATGAACTTATTCTTCTTATTTAACTGAAATTTTTTAAAACAGTGAGGAAGGCTTTATTCAGGACTTTTTTTAAAATTTTTTAATTTTTAATTTTTGGGGGTACATAGTAGGTGTATGTATTTACTCGGTACATGAAATGTTTTGATACAGACATGCAATGTGTAATAATAACATCATGGAGAATGGGGTATCCATTCCCTCAAGCATTTATGCTTTGAGTTACAAACAATCCAATTACACTCTTCAAGTTATTTTAAAATGCACAATGAAGTTATTGACTGTAGTCACCCATTGTGCTATCGAATAGTAGGTCTTATTCTTACTGTTTTTTGTACCCATTAATCATCCCACCTCCCCTCAGCCCACCCAGTACCCTTCCCAGCCACTGGTAACTGTCCTTCTACTTTCCATGTCCATGAGTTCAACTGATTTGATTTTTAGATCCCACAAATAAGTGAGAATATGCGATGTTTGTCTTTCTGTGCCTGGCTTATTTCACTTAACATAATGATCTCCATTAACTTAAATTTTGTAATTGTTGACCAACATCTCCCAAATCCTCTTCCCCATCACCTCCCCAGACCCTGGTAACCACTTTTCTACTTTCTGCTTCTGGGAGTTTCACTTTTTAGATTCCACATATGAGTGAGATTATGCGGTATTTGTCTTTCTGTGACTGGCTTATTTCATTTAACATACGGTCCTCCAGGTTCATCCATGTTGTTGAGAATGACAGGATTTCCTTCTTTTAAAAGGCTGAATGGTATTTCATTTTGTATATATACACTACATTTTCTTTATCCATTCATTCGTTGATGAATCCTTATTTGATTCCATATCTTGGCTATTGTGAATAGTGCTGCAATAAACACGGGAGTGCAGGCATTTCTTTGAAATACTGATTTCATTTCCTTGGCATTCATTTCCTTCAATTCCTGAGGTAGGACTGCTGGATCTCCAGGCAGGTCAAAAGAACTGGATCCAGTAGTTCCAGTAGCTGGAACTACTGCTGGTAGTTCTATTTTTAATTTTTTGAGGAATCTCTATACTGTTTTCCACAAAGATTGTACTAATTTACATTCCCATCAATAGTGTGCAAGGGTTTCCTTTTCTCCACATCCCCATCAAATCTTGTGGTCTTTCGTCTTTTTGATAATTTTGTCTTTTGATTCCACAACAGGTGTGAGGTGACATCTCTCACTGTGGTTTTAATTTGCATTTCTCTGATGATTAATGACATTGAGCATTTTTTATGTAACTGTTGGTTATTTGTATGTTTTCTTTTGAAAAATGTCTGTTCAGATCCTTTGCCCATTTTTTAATTGTGTTATTTGTTTTCTTGCTATTGAGTTGTTTGAGCTCCTTATATATCTTGGATATTAACCACGTATCAGATGTATGGCTGGCAAATGTTTTCTCCCATTCTGTAGGTTGTCTCTTCATTCTGTTGATAATTTCCTTTGCACAGAAGCTTGTTAGTTTGATGTAATCCCATTTGTCTATTTTTACTTTTGTTGTTTGTACTTTTGGGGTCATATCCAAAAAATCATTGCCAAGACCAATATAGAGCTTTTCCTCAACTTCTAATAGTTTTATAGTTACAGGTTTTACATATAAGACTTTAATCTATTCTGAGTTGATTTTTGTATATGGTGTGAGACAAGGGTCCAATTTTATTCTCCTGCATATGGATATCCAGTTTTCCCAAAGCCATTTATTGAAGAGACTGTCCTTTCCCCATCGTGTGTTCTTGGCATCTTTGTTGAAATTCACCTGGCTTTTTAGTGTTCTTGTATTTCATATGCTTATCATGTCAGTAGGACCAAGATAATAAAATTTGTATATTCTGTGAAGCTGGAAGTGTTAGCTAATCATTAGCAGATTCAGGATCCAGAAAAAGTTTAAATGATTAATGCTTTTAACTACTAAAATTAAATTCAACAAGGATAAATGGGAAGCATTGGGTGTAAGTATGAAGAAACAACTGACCAAGTTCAGGATGAAGGAAATATGACTTAGAACCATATGTGTAAAAAACTTGATATTTTTTCAGTGAGTAATAGCTTCAATGTTAGTTGACAGTCATACCACCAAAGAAACCATGCTTATTTGGGACTGCATTAATAAATGTTATATATATATATGAAAAAAGTAATATTTCTTCTCTACCCAGTTTTTGTTGAAGTGTATGTAGAGTACTGAGTGGAATTCTAAAACAACATAAACTGAACTACCTACAAATAAAAGAGGCCAAGATGGTGGTTATTCAGGACTGTGTTATATGAAGACAGGTTGAAAGAACTGAAGATATTTTTTTTGGTATAAAGAACTTATGGTGTTGGGGGGGTATGGTTATAACTGTCTTCAGAAATATGAAGAACTATCCCACATAAAAGAAATTAGACTTATTGTAGACTCTGAGGGCTAGAATCATGGTTTGAGAGAAGCTACCAGAAGACAGAAGAGATAACACTCCAACTACTAGAGTGGTCTAAAGGTAAATATGTTTTCCTCAGGAGACACTGAATTTTTGGTTATTAGAGGTGTGCAAATATGGATCCACTGACCTGGAACGTTACCTCACCAGTATAATGAGTGTAATGATACCAGTATACGTAGACTGAGGATAATGTGGGTGAACATACCTCTATTAAAGTAGTTGTACCATTTCACTAGGCTTATTGATTGACATGTCTATCTTAATTAGCTAAAGAATGCCTTAAAATCAAGGACTACATCAATTCATCTTTTTTTTCTGTAACATCAACCATGGTATCTGGCTCATGAAGGCATTTTTCATAAATGTTTTTGAATGACTAGAGATAACAGATATAAGAGTACTTTAGAAATAAATACAGCACAACCCTAATACAATATACTATTAATTGTTAATATTAATAATTTCTTCCTAAACGGCCTGTCAATTCAGGTTGCCTATATTCATAATTATAACAAAAATTTATACATGCCATATGGTTTTACTGGTGAGTTCTTTCTTTCTAGTAAGAAACATATAATTTTCATGCCATATGAACTGTTCAAGAACAGAATAAAACTTCCCATTCACTTTTATCGTCAAACTTATTTTATGAAGTTAGCATTAAAGTGATACTAAAACCTGACAAAAAACTCAAAAACAAAAATTATGGTCTAATCTCAGTATGAATATAATGCAATAAAATAATATAGTATCAAATCAAATTTAATAGAATATTAAAAGAATAACTCACCAAGTGGCATCATCCCAGGGATATAAGAATAATATAATATTAGCAAATATATTAATATAATGTATCATATCAGGATGACAAATAAGAAAAACCACATGATTACTGTAATAGATGCTGAAAGGAAGTTGATAATTCAATAGCCATCTCTATAAACCTATAAATAGCCATCTTTATAAAACTATAAGTAGTTTTATAAAAGGAAAGAAAAACTGGCATAGTAATAATAACAGTATTAATCTCAAAATGGTAGTAAATAGACAATTAATTGTGATACACCAAAATAATTATTATTTAACATTGTTTTAGAAGTTCTGGAAAACCAAAACTCAAACAAAACTCCCAAACAACAAAAACAGAAGGGCTGGAATAGAAACAGATATGAAAGAAAGGAAGAAAAGAATCAACAAAAATTGTTAAAATTAATGAGATTTCAGAGTAGTGGCTGCGTAAAAAAAAGTACAAAAATAAGTAGATTTACTCTATAACAGAAATAACCAGATAGAACAGATTACGGATCAAAAGAACCAATTTGAAATAGGAACAAGAACATAAATACTAACATAATCTTAATAAGAAAAGTTTAGAGATCTGCGTGAGATGGAAAACAAGAGACCAATAAATTGAGAGACCATGATATGTTCATTCTTCCCTAATATTTAAATTTTATGTAATTACAATATATACATTGGAATTATTTTTTGTAACTTGATACAATGATTCTAAAGTTCATATGGAATAGTAAATAGATGAAAATAGATAAGAAAATATTGGGATAAAAAAGAATTAGGGTACTGTTACTTCGACAGATGTTAACAAAGCTGCAATAATTAAAACATTGTGATCCATTAGAAAAGGAGATATATAACAATGGAGACAATAACTCACTAAATAAAAATTGGGGCCGGGCGCGGTGGCTCACGCCTGTAATCCCAGCACTTTGGGAGGCCGAGACGGGTGGATCATGAGGTCAGGAGATCGAGACCATCCTGGCTAACAAGGTGAAACCCCGTCTCTACTAAAAATACAAAAAATTAGCCGGGCGCGGTGGCGGGCGCCTGTAGTCCCAGCTACTCGGGAGGCTGAGGCAGGAGAATGGCGTGAACCCGGGAAGCGGAGCTTGCAGTGAGCCGAGATTGCGCCACTGCAGTCCGCAGTCCGGCCTGGGCGACAGAGCGAGACTCCGTCTCAAAAAAAAAAAAAAAAAAAAAAAAAAAAAAAAATTGGCCAACAGGGACTGCAATTGGGGGAGTGAGGAAATCAGTTTCATGTCATACTTTACTGGATTAAAAAGAATGTAATGCAGAAATACAAATCATAAGACACTAGAAGAAAAGATAGGTGAATATTTACCTGGTCTCAGGGTAGGAAAATACTTTCAAAGCTCAAATGTAACAGAAATAATCTCAATGAGAGAAAAGTTAGATTTGACTTCATAAGGCATTTAAACTGTTGTGTGTCAAAAATTATGAGAAATGGAAAGGACAAATGGCAAGATGGGAATTTTTTCCACAAATATAATAAAGACCTGCCAGTAATTTTTAAATACAATAGCAAGAAATACCACAAGAACCAGTAAGTTGTGTGAATAGTTGTTTACAAATAGGAAAGATAAATGCTCAACAAATAGGTGAAAAAAAATTTACTCTCACTGGAAATCAAGATAATGAAAATGGAACTGACAAGTGCAATTTCTCTTATAGATTTAACAAGTTTCTAAAAGGATGAAAATACTCATTGCTAGCAGGGGTGTGGTGGATGACAGTATTGCATTCTCTTGGTATGAGTGTGAATTGGTACAGCCTTTCTGGAAAGCAAGATACATTAAAACCTTAAAATGTTATTGTCCTTTCCAAAAGGGATTCCTCTTCTGTAAAGAATCTAAGAAGCAGATAAAGAGTTAGATATAGAGCTATTGACTTCAACATCTGTTATAGGAGTAAAGAAAGGAAGCAATACAAATGTTCGATAACAAGGGAAGGGTTAAAGCGAATTTTGGTAATCCACATGTCAGGACCATTATCTAGCTTTTAAAATGGATTTATAAAGTTTTTTAATGACATGGGGAAATGCTTATAATGTTAAAAGCAAGATGCAAAATTGTACACACTCATATATATGCATGTACATATGCATGCACATATACACACAGTATTTTCTCAAACATCTTAAAAATATGTTGACAATTAGGCAAAAGGAGATGCCCACAGTGTCAATTCTGCATGGTGGAATTATGGAGAATGTGACTGTAATCTTTATACTTTTCCATATTTTCCAAAATCCTTATGAGTTTCTCTTATTACCAGAAAAAATAATTTCCAAATAAAAATTATTCTTAAAGTGACGACCCAAAAAAGCTGTCAAAAAGGAAAAGAGATAATCATAATGTATCAAGGTTTCTTCAGACCTTCTGATAGGTTCATTTTGAACATGTTGCATCTAAGATGCCAGTAGAAAGCTTGGAAGGACACCCAGTTGGCAAATGGACAGACTGGTCTAGAACTTAGAGGTACAATATGGGTTGTAAGTGCAGAGACATCAGCATATATATGTTAGCTAAAGTCACTAGTGCTACAACTTCAGCTAGTTTAGCCCCTCTGATTCCCAGTTTCCTCCTCAATAAAATAGGAATGATAATGGTACCTTGAGGGCTGTTGTAGGGATTAAATGAGCTAATATCGGTAAAACACTTGACCTAGTACATAAATGTTAGCTATTGTCATTGTTAATTTTATTACCGTTGATGAGAGTAACCCAGGGATAATGATTAAGTTGAGGAGAGAACAGGGGTTGTTGTAACATTCTATGCACATCAGCCCAACTTCCAGTCATTGGTGTGTGACTCTTTGCCTGAGGGCAGGCTAGATGTATCAGGTAATTAATGTAGCTCTATTCCACTTCCAGGAGCAGCCTTTGACCAATGACTAATGGATTGGTGGATAAATACTTCAGCTCTCTTGATCCACAAGCAAGATAATTCTGAGGCTTGTGTTCTGCAGTGGGACTATGCTCCAGTTGCCCACAGTGGTAACTGGCATGATATCACACCTTTTATTGGCTGCCTTCCCTTCCCAATCTTACTTCCCCATCCTCCTACTGGGATCATCTTTCCAGCAAATAATTTGCATGTAAATCTTTGTCCCAGGGCCTGCTTCTGGGAGAACCAAAATTAAGACAGCCAAGGATGAAACCTGTTCTGTAATAACATTCAAGGGATGGTTGGCAAAAGAGAAGCCCATGACGGAACTAGAGAAGGAATAGAGAGAGGTAGCAAAAAGCTGTGGTCTAAAAACCCAAAGTAAAGGACAGTTTCCTGAATGAGGTAGGAGGAAACAACATCAAATGCTATGGAGATGAGATGCAAAAAGAACTGGAAAGTGTCCATCTGAGTTGGCATCTATGAGGTGCTAGGTGACCTCTGCCAGCAGATTTTTGGTTTAGTGGTAGAAGATGCCAGATGGTAGTGGGTTGAGGAAGTGAATGGGAGGTAAAATCGTGGAGGCAGCAAATACTCATTTAGGAAGTCTGGCTGTGAAGGGAATGAGAGAGAGAAAAAGAGACAGAGAGAGGGAGAAAGGAAGAGAGAGATGGTGGGGGGAGAGGGAGAGAGGGAGAAAGAGAGAGAGAGAGAAGGGAGAAAGAGACTTGGCTAGTTTGATGATGAGAGAAAAATAACCAGTTGAAACGTGATTGAAAAACCATATCCTTCTTGGTATAATGCTTCAACCACTACCATATTCCAAGAGTTTCCCAATATTCTCATCTTCATCAACGCCCTTTTATTGAACACCTGCTGTCTGCGAAGCACTGCTAAAGTATTGAGAAAACAAAGTATAAGACACTTCCTGATCTCAAGGAGCTTATACTCTAGTAGGGGAGGTGAGGCATGAAAAGGTTATTAGAAATATAAGATGGGATATAATGATGATAAAATGAGAGGTACCATTAATGAGTACTTTAGTGATTACAAGATTTAAAAAATTTATGTAGCCATCATTTCACTGTGTATATGTGTATCAAAACATCATGTTGTATATCTTAAATATATACAATAAAAATAAATAAAATAAGTACTTTAGCAGTTCAAAGGCAGGATGGGACAGGTCGGGAAAGCTCATGGGTTCGGAGTGTAGGAGTACTGAGACATAGGTGCAGACTATGTCCAGCTCAAAGACTTAGAGAGATAGAGGGGAAGTCATGAGCCCAGATGATTTGGCAGACAAACTCACTTGGGGAGAAGGGTTCAAAGGGAGGAATTTAAGAGAGAGGTAGAAGTTGGTAGCAAACAGGTCTGGAAGGGGTTTGAATGCTGAACTAAATTTAAAAGCTTGGATTTCATTTAGCAGGCAAAAAGGAGCCATTTGGAGTTTGTGAACAGAGTGCAAAGCAGTATCTTGGAGAAAGTAATTTGAAAAGGGTGTGCAGCATGGTTTGGAAAAGAAGAAAACAAAGGCAGGAGGGCTAGCTGAAGAGGGAGGAGAATGAAGCATGGACTAGGCTAGGGGAGGATGAAAAGAAAGGACAGAGGAAGGGACTTTTTGATATTATGTATATTAAGTTTGTCTCATTTCATCTTTCAGATTATAACCTACTTGTGCTATGCCTTGGTCATAACTGGAGCCTGTATCACGCCTCAAAAAAGTTCTACTACGTAACTGTTACTGAATGATTAAGTGAATGAAGTAACAGATGAATACATGAATGCACATCAAATGAATGGGCATTACCAAAGATGAGCCACCAAGTGGATCTTGGAGGAAAAAGAACTTTTAATCAAAGGATTAAAAGTTTCTAAGTGTGGTTGATTAGGGAAGATCATAGCATTGTTGATTGAACTGCCTGGCACCTAATAAGTACTCAGTGAGTGTAATCTTACATATGTATGCTAGTGAAAAGAGACAAATCTGGAAGGCACCAAAAGCCCACTTCACCCTTTTGGTAGTTTAGCAGAGAGCTAGCCCAGCAGGTCTGTGTTAACTCAACAGGTGCCAGTTACTAAGTTCCAGAAGCTCTTTCTTTCTAACTGGGCCACTTCCTCAAACATCAACCTTTTATTGTTACATAGTTCCTAAGAATCCCTTATTCCCCATTTTCTACAAATATGTCGGGTATAATGGGAGATAACATCTCTCTCTTGGAACCCTGTGTGTCTAGCCCAGCCATGCCTGGCTTAAGTACACCTCTCTTTGAGAGTGACGGATTGTGTGCACTCTCTACTTCTCTCGTGTAAGTTTTCCCCTCCAGAAAACCTTATTATGTATTTTACATCATGTGGTCTTAGTGTGTGAGGGACTGAAATATTCAACATATATCATAGTTAACACAACACACTTACAGTTGAGAATTTAGAGGGGGGATGTTATGAGGGAAATTTTAATTTTAGATGTGATCCAGAGAGCTATCATCTGTAAAAATGAACATCAATTTGATAGATATTATAAAATGCTATCTAAATAATTTGTAGACACTTAAATCTTTTTAATAGAAATTCCACAAAACTTTTTTAATGGAAAATACTCATTAAACATGAACTTCAGATCAAATCAACTGATACCTCTTTATTGAGTGCAAGCTCGTGATTGGCACTGTTTCGTAGCTAATAAATGCAGAAGGAATGACAGAACTAAAAAGTATCAATTTACACATTCTAATGAAATAGTAGACCTAAAAAAACCCAAAAATCAGTAGATATTAAAATCATTAGGTCTGAGGTTACCAATATTGGCTGCTCATTGGAATCAGCTGGGGGTTTTAAAAAATGCTAATGCCCATATCTTACCCCAGTGATTCTGATTTAAGTGATAAATGTGGCCATGGTGCTGTGATTTTTTAAAATCTGCACAGGTGATTCTAATGTGTAGTCAAGGTTAGTGAAAGGTCAGTGAAGTCCATAATGGAGGAATTAAGCTAAATTCAATCTTAGAATCTTCACAAGTGGGCAATCAGAAATTACACATCTCACAAAGGGATGAAATTGGATGCTCCAGCATCACCTAGGAAGTCTTCTTTCCTAAAAAACATTGAACCTACATCTAATCAAGTGTCTAAGTATAGCCAGTAATTTATATGAAGTAGCCTGATAGAAATAATAAATAACATAATGCAATACACAAACCACTGTTGTATAGAAATTATACAGGAGATAAAGGAACGATTTATATGACACTGAAAGGAAGCAATCAGCCAAATCTCAAATGTGAGACAAGGCCAAAAAACCTGGTTTCTCCGTTAATGACATATTAAATAAATGAAAGGAAGGTGGGGGCTGTTAAAGAATAAAAGAGCCTTAAGAAACACAATAACCAAATGCAATGTGTAGGTCTTGTTGGATCCTATGCCAGATATCTTCTTTTTTCTCCTCTAGGTTTTCTCTCTACACTTCTCCCTAGTCTGAGAAGCTGACCAGTATGGACTGTGCCTTCAGGCTTTCTTGCCCTCTGGCTTTTGGTTGAATTTGGCCAATGGGAAGCCCCAGCAGGAAATCAGAAAGAGAGGCGAGAGAGGATTCTCTGAGTATTGATTCCCCTGGCTTCCTCCCTGTGTGATCACTTTGGCTGGCTGGATACCTCAATGGAAAGACACTGTTCTTCTGGAGGAGGCCTTCTCTGTAGACTCTTTCCTTCCAGTTTCAGCAACCTTGATCTGCTCCTTCTGACTCCTTCACATCTAGGGGTGGTAACAGCTCTGTTGTCACTAGCCAAGTGTCACTGCACTATTCTCTGTGATTCCCCCACATCCCACCCATGCTTTTGTAAATAGTCTCTTTATACATAAACGCTCCTCGAATTATTCTGAGAATACTGTTTCCTGCTGAGTCATCGGACCAAATTATTTCTCCTTTGAGACAATGGAGAAATTTTGAACATGAAGTAAACATTATAAGCTATTAAGGAGTTATTGTTGATTTTATCGGGTGCGATAATGGTGTAATTGTTATATAAAAATAATCCTTACCAGTTAGAGATACACACTTAAGTATTTATTGGAATGACATGTCTAGGAATTATTTAAAAAAAATAGTGCATTTAAGAGCTGGGTGCCAGGTGAGAAATAACAGAAAAGTAGGGGAATAGATTATCAAATATTACCAAGATTATCAAATATTATCAAGATTATAGAAACGTTGATAGTTAAAGCAGAGTGATGGGTATAGGAGGGTTCATTACACTATTTTCTCAATTGTGTGCAAGATGGAAAATTTCTATAATAAAATGTTAGAACAACCAATCTCTTATTTTTTTTTCTTAGATGAGATTTAGTTTGCAATTTTTCATGAGAGAGATAGGTACACAAGATCTGAATTTACCGCAAATAAAAATTTTAAGGGTGTGTTTAAAGTGTGGCAATGTATATATCTTTCTACATGCTATTCTTTCTTGCAGAGAAAAATTGATGAGGAAAGTGCATAAGTAAACTGGATGTAACTTTTTTCTCTTTAGATATTCAGGTGGTCACTCAATTAACTCAATCAATCTGCCTGTGGGCACCTGCTGAGGGAGGGTGGAGACAGTCTGGGGCGAGGAAGAGAGGGGCCATGAAAGGTTAAATGTGCTAGGCCTAGAGTTTCTGTCGTCTGCATCTTTTGCGCTATTCAGAGTCAGTCTGCACCCTCAATGAGTGAACTGTTATTGCTTAGAGCTTTCTTTTTGTATTTTTTTTTTTAGTTTTTGGTAATAAATCCTAATAATGGAGCAAATTATGCATGAAATTGTCCATTATTTATAATTACTTCAGGAGATTTAGTTGCTCCTGGGGCAGTTTAGGAAGCAAACATTACAATTCCTTCTGCAATAAATTTTGCCTAACCAAAGGAAGTATGGTACTGGATTGGTTCTGCTTCAGTAGCATTTTTGCTTCTCAAACACCATAGATAAGAGAATTTTGTAGATATTCGAGAAGAATGAAAGAATACAAATTGAAAGACATACATATCTTGCCACCAAAATAGTCTTCCTTTTATTTGAAGCAAGTAGCTTACAAAAATAAGGAAAATCTGTGTGCAAAGAATTCAACTGCGTGCTCAAAAATAAAATCAAAATAAAAGTCAAAGTGTAATGCCTGTTGGATTAATAAAGTTTCTTTGTTTTCTTATAATAATACAAGTTGGCAGAGCTCCACCTACATTAAAGTATTTCCTGGCATAACATTCTTCATTTTGGTTCCCCTTCCCCCACCCCACTTTGGTAAGCTTGTCTTACTGACATTTCTGTTAATTGATGGCTGCTAGACATAACCACAAGGCAGACAGATTAGGAAAGAAAAGTTGAAGATTGTTTATAAAACGGGAAAATCCTGCCTTTTAAGTTGTAGTATTAGCCCAGGAATCTCAATTCACCAAGATAAAAATTGAAGGTACTGCAGTTATGATACAAGTCGTAGTAAATGGTGACAATAGGATCAATATTGGGGAAAACAATTAAGTTGATTCAAGGGTATTGTAAAGCATTCTTACTCTCCTAGAATGAATCTAAAAGAAAGCCTATCTTTAAGTTATTCCTGTACTAAATATCATTTTCAAATGTTGACTAGAAAGTGAGACTTGGTAATATGGACTTTTGCATTTGGTGAAGTTAGTAGCATAAAAGTTAAGAGCAGAGACTTTGGAGTTAGCTTGCTTGGATTAAAAATGTGACTTCCATGACTCAATAACTATATTATTGTTGGTGAGTTACTAGAGCTCTCTGAAATGCTGACTAAACTTCTTCATCTGAAAAACAGGGATGATAATAGGGTTTCTGGGAGAATTCAACAAAATAAATAACTTAGACCATCATTTGACACATGATGTGTTAAAAATATAAACTATGAGGTGATGATGACATGACTTCTGATCCTCATGAAGGTACACAATACAAAAAGAGTTCGAACAAATTGTTTTAAAGAAATGCCTACTTAGTTGTTTGTTGTTCAGAGGTTAAAACTATTGTTTTGTTTGTGGAACAAGTTGAGAAATAGGTTAAGTAGCCAACAAACCAACAGAACAAAAGAGACCAATCAGAACTGTCAATATGTTAAAACTAACAACAGTTCTGAAGGCTGATCTCATGAGAAGATCTGTTTCTCTCTCTAAAAGAAAATGGTCGATAGCACTGATTTTGAAGTTTTTTGGCATCAAGACTTGTGGAATCTCATCTGTTCAGTTAGTCATTAATTGGGACCAGCAGCTAATTTGAAATTGAGGTTTAATACCAAACATGATGGACATTCAGGCTGAATCTGAATCAGGAATGAAGTCATCAATCACAGTGACTTTGAATGTCCTGCTGTCATTATTAAACTCGAAAGAGGATTAACATTGAGTCAAATTACACTAAGATATAAATGTCAACACCAAATGCATCCTGATTCACATTAATTTTCCAGCTCTACATTCACTCTGCCTTTCCACATTGGGACCAAGCCATGATTCATAGGCAGCCCACTGATGAGTCATCTTCTGCTTATGTTTGGATGGGTCAGAATGCCCTGAGTGGGTTGATGAGGAGGAGGCAGAGAGGCCAAGGCTGTGACATAGCACAAGCCCAGGGGCTAGGATCTAAGTCCCAGGACCCAGGAGAGGGACCTGCCACACAATGTCTCTGGTTCTCAGAGGACTGAACTTCCAATGGACTCAACTCTCCCTGAATGAGGCTTCCATGATGACTACAGAATGTATCAGAGTCCTTGGGCAGAGAAAAATACAACTTCAGACCTAGAGGAATAGTCTTCTCCTCCCTAGATGGTCCTGGTTCTTGATATTGCAGACAGAGAATTACAGAACAAAGAGCACCCAAGACACCATAGCTGAAAGTCCCAACTAGGTGATAAACCCCACCTGGTGCTAAAAACCATCCAAACAAGCACTCAAACTAATATACAGGTCCTCTGATAATGATTCCAGTTGTTGCCTCAGATCCCAGCTTGAAATTCCACCTTTCATCTTCCTTTCCCCTTGATCTCCTCATTATCATACTCTAGTCCATCCTACCTCTGCCCAGTGGCCCTGTTCTCTACAGTGATCTCCCTTTCTGCCTATTTTAATGGTGAACACCCCCAAGTTCTACTGCTAGCTCATCATCTGACTCTATACCAGGCCAACCTCTCTCTAACATCTATTCATATTGAGAGGCTCTTGGCTGATGAGAATTTGCCATTCCTCCTTGGGTCATACACCTAGGTTAAACCAGTCACCTTCATAGAAAATTGAGACAAGAGGAACATCCTGAACCTCTACTGAATCAGGCAAGAGAGAGTGCTTGCTATACTGGATTCAGGATTCAAATAAAGATCAAGATATTACAATACCTGGCTTTAAGAAACTGAACTCTGAAAAGAGAAAGTTTTTACAGCCTCTAGTTTGAATGGTCTTTGCAGTCATGGTTCAAGTTTTTCAGTTTCTAAAGGCCATGTACAAATGTCTGGGACTTTCGGGACTTCTTCATATTCCATCCCCTGTACCAGCACCCAGTAGAGCATCCAGCCCACAACAGGTAGTTGGTAAATTATTTTTTTGATGCAACATAAATAATCTATCCTTGAGAAAATAGTTGTATAATATCTTTTCCGTTATAGAAACTAGACCAGCCATGAATTATATGTATTTACAGATCACTGGCCCAGAAAAGCTCAGGTCAATAACTTGTTGCAGTATTATGAGAGTTAACTACTGCTGCATCACAAACCACCTCAAATGTTGGTGGTTTAAAACAGCAATGACTTATTATTGCTCACAAGTCTATGGTTGGCTGGGATGGGCTGATCTAGGCTGGGCTCTGCTGGGGAGGCTCAGCTTCATGGGTTGCACCCCAGGCATGTTCCTAGAAGATGGCAGAGCCACAGGATGGCAAGAAGAAGCAGGCAAACTTCACACTGGCACCCTGACACTTTTGACCACATTCGTTTGACCAAAGGAAGTGACACAACTTAGCTCAAAGACAAGGAGTGGCAAAATACACTCTGCCTTTATGGAGGAAACTCCAAAGTCACATAACAAAGGGTGTAATACAGGGAGGGGTGAAAAATTCAAGCTGATCATGCACTTTATCACAAATACAATTTCTGAGAATGTGGGCAATTTGATTATAGAGGAGGGCTTTGTTGATGTTAAAATAATGAGCTCTGGATGACATTGGTTGCAAGGTACTCACTTCCTCCAAATGCTTACTCATTTGGTTCTTACTACTTCTAGGAGGGTCACAGTGGTTGAAACTAAAATTAGCTGTGTTCAAGTAAATGTGACTCATAAGAGAGCAATGAGGAAGCTGGTTTCATATGGCATTCCCTCCCTTCCCACCCTCACACACTAGGTAATACAAAAGAAAGTAGCTTACTTGTCCAGAGATGGGTTTATCTTGAAATCCCTAACTTCATGCAAGTTCCAACCAGTAAATTAACTGCAGTGGCTTTTCTATAGATAATTTGTTTAATCAGAAACCCAGGATAATAAAAATCTTTGAAGTATTTTTAATGATCTTTTCCTAGTTGAACTAAGTCAGTGTCCCTCATGGTCACCCAAATTAACAATACAAGTTTATGTTTCTTGGTATTGAATCTACAATTCTGATATACAAGAATCTTTACTGAAGCACGCAACAAAATGCAGAGAAAGCTCTCTCCACAGAGTTTTTGTGGTTGGTATTTTCAATTTCATAAGAAGATAAAATGTGAAGCAAACTCTAATTAAAGTATCTTCAGAAACATATTGTTTTGGCTTTGGCAATTATATAGCTACCTTGCTTCTGATGGCAATTAGAATTTTATATATACCAAAAAAAAAAAAAAACAATTTTCTCCCAGTGCTCTAATTTGAAAGCTCTGTGCTCCATGTGAAACAAGCAAAAGGTGGTCTATGTTGATTAATTAGGGGTTAGGATATTCAGAAATACTACAAAGAAAATTATCAGGGTGACTTTTCTGTAAGAAGCAAGTTTATAAACCTCTTGCCTAATTTGTACACACAACAGAAAAAGCACTTTAGCTCCACTGTACCCGTGTTCTTCCCTTGAGAAGGATGCTTCTGCAATAGCACGCAAATTTCAGGTAATAGTAAAAGATCATCAGAATCATCCTTTAGCAGAAAAACAAGCCAAAATACCCACCCACTCAGTTTCTCCCAGAGCGCTTTACTTCAGGAAGATAAACATGACTGCAATAAGAAATTGATGCAATAAAGAACGTACTTATGTTACATTTACAGCCATATCCAGGGAGACAGCTAATGGCACTCTAAAAATGGTCATTTTGTCAGAGCTTTAGTGTCGATTATTGATTACACACAGGAAACAGTGGCTTCAAATACCCAGTGACAGCACAAACAGCACCTGGTTAGGTCCTGTGCACGAACATGGTACACAGATGACATTTGGTACACAGATATACTTGGTTTATTTGATTAAAACTCCTGGTATCAGCAGGGAGAATTGTAACTAATCAGCTCTTTATTTTTTTAGTTCAATATCTAAAAATCGATTTCCATGAGTGTATCCATAAGGGATGAAGAAAACACTGATCAAAATTCACAAGAGGTCTTATACAGCCTGGTGGAGATACAGAAAGAATGCTGGGCTGAGTCAGAGCACAGCTGGTAACAATAGCTAGCATTTAATTAATACATCTCATGGTGCCTGGTACTGTGCCAGGTGTTCTGTGAGCATTAATCTATTTCATCCTTTGAACAGCCCTATAATGTGGATGCTGTTGTCATCCCCATCTTGCAGATGGGGCTGAGAGAGATGTTTAGAAATTGGTTCAGTCTCACAGCTAGCAGATGGCAATACCAGCATCCACCTTCAGACCCAACCCTTCTCCATTGCACCGCAGGGTCAAAATGTGCTGGACTCGAGTTTCCCTGTTTTGCTAACTTGAAGTGCATCCTCGAACAAATCCCTTTCCTTCTGTGGGCCTCTGTATTTTCATACAAAATTGAAGTAGTTGGACTAAATCAGTGGTTTGCAACCTTGGCTGAAAACTAAGATCACTTGGAGTGCTTTTATAAGGCAATTTGCTGAGTATTTACTCTATGCCAAGCATCTCATTCGATTCTCTCAATAGTACTGAGATCTCTTTGAGGAAATGAAGAACACCTGATCTCATGGAGGAAAAATTGAGGTTCGAGAAGTTTGGTAACTTGCCTAGCTTATATAGTTCATAGTCTTCAATTCAGACACACAGGCCAGTTACACAGTTCAGGTCTCCGGCATTTCTGAGAGCCATTCCTGGGCTTTGGGTCCTGGGATGAATTATTCTCATCCTTTAGTGACTTGAGACTGCTCTCCCTGTCTCCAGGCTCATCCCTTTCTAATCTGTCGTTCCCATTGTTTCCTCAACGCTTCTCCTAAACTTGCATCTTACTCCCACCCTGAAATCTGACATTGTGTCTTCAGGGCTTTCTGGATGTTTTGACCTCCTTGATGCAGTGCACGAGACACTTCATGATCTGGTTAGTTCTCCAGTCTCATTTTCTGCCAGTGCCTCCCCCACCACTCCTCCCCCGGCTGCACTTTGTTCAGGCAAAGTGTGTCATATAGTTTCTTACATCTGTGTCTTCACATATGTGGCCGTTTCTTCCCAGAATGCCCCCCCGCAACACCCCATTTAATTCTTGCTCCTCCTAAGCTCAGCTGAAACACCTACTCTTTCTTCAAACTGCTCTAGCCACGATGGGGACTCTCAGGCCCTCTTTGTTTCCCCAGTACCCAGGGCCCTTCTTTAAGATAGTCGGTTTGAAGCGCCACTTTCTTCTGAAGCATTTTCTAACCCTCTGATTTATAACTGACGGTTTTCTCTGAAGTGAACTGGAGAAGAGGGGATGGACTGGAGAGGGAGCAGGATGGGGCGATTTTCTCAGGGTTCACTCCACCTCTGCGTCCCTCCCTCTGGTCCGAGTTCTATTATCTCACCCCTAGAGTATTACAATAATTGCATCCTGACTGCTCCCTTCCCTTCTACCCAACAGACTCTTCCCGACACGCAGGGCACAGTGATCCTTTTATATATAAGGCAGATCATGTGACTCCTCTCCTCAAAACCCTGTGATTCACGTCTCAGGCCGAGTCAAAATCCAGGTGCTAACAAGGGCCTATAAGGCTCCCCATCAGTGCTTCTTAAACTTTCACGTGCATATGAATCACCTGGGGATCTGATTAAAACTCAGACTATGATCCAGTAGCTCTGGGGCAGGGCTGGAGAGTCTGCATTTCTAAGCAGCCAGCAGGTGAGGCTGAAGCTGCTGATCCTAGGACTCCACTCTGAGTAGTAACCTCTCCGTGATCTGGTTTCCCGTTATCTCTCTGATCTCCTTTCTATTCTTCTCCTTGCTCTCTCTACTTCAGCCCCACTGACTTCCCTGCTGCTGTTCAAAGAACACACCAGAAATGTTCCCTTGCCTTAGGGCCTGTACAACAGCTATTCCTTTTGCATGGAATGCCCTTACTCCGGATAGCCACTTGGCTAACTCTGTTGCTTTCTTCACATCTTTCCTCAAATCTCACCTTTCCAATGAGGTCCACCCTGAACACCTAATTTAATATTGCGATCTTCCCCCTGCTGTCCCCAACCCTTCGTCCTGCACTCCTGAAATTCTTTAGCTCCTGTTTTTTTTTTAATACCTCTAATCACCTTTTCACATATTATATAAACTTATATTCATTCTATTGTTATCTGGCTCCTCCTTAATTCCAGAAAGCCTGTTCCTCACGAAGCCCCTGTTTGTGTGTTATGTCCATTGTTGTTTCCCAAGAGTCTAGAACAGTTGCCAACAAATACCATTTGAATTTTGAATTTGAATGCAGTGGGTGAGTGAGAAGAAGAAATGAAGATAATGTGGTGCAACTCAGTGTTTCTATACCACTGAGTACATTTTCCCCGAGTGCATTTTGCGTGGTGCTTGGCATATTGATGTGAGGCATTGCTTTGTACATTCCAAAGGCTTTTTCTTGGTCAAGATGCAGCAAAGCGCCTCATGCTCGAGACATTTCATGTTTTCCTTACTTTATTTCCAGATGACTCAAATTAAAATGTTATTTTCTTCATTCAAACTTGCCATTATCTTCAGAGATAAATTTCAGGAAAGAAATAAATAGTATTTGTAATTACTGCCTTGTATCTTACCTATGACTCAGCTGGGTAAGTGCCTCTTCCGTACTTCATTGTCTTCAAATTTAGTAAAGCAATTAGCTATGTCTTTTATGATGGCAGAAGTTGATTCCCTTTTAATTCTATCAGTCATTTTATCCTCCTTCCCCCTTCATTTTTCTCAATCCTCCTACATTACGAAGCTTTAACTAGGCATTGTTTAACTGACATTATAGTCAGTATTTTTTATATAACTAAGAAGATTATATCATGGGATAATGACACAAACTAACTTCATTGATTTAGCTCTTGAATTGATCTCGGGTACCGTGCACACAGATCAATAAGTTGCCTTGACTTTTTTTGAATTGGATCTGATAATTATCCATCCTCCAAAAAAAAATCTCTTAAATATTACATTGAACCATAGGAAATTCCTATTTTTATGAGTCAAAATGGTTGAACATTGGCAATTTTCTATGATTCAACCTAAATATAATCAGGAGGCTTTCTACCCACCTCCCTTCAGAGAACAACCAATTCCTCAAAAAAGAAGCAAGCCTTGTAGGTTGCAGAACAAAAAGCTTGCTAGAAAATAGGGCACTTAGGCTTGATGAAGGGAGATCACTCTTGCTGTTCACATGAAGTCTCCATCCTGATAGCTGGGCTCTTTGAGCAAGCTCTGGGCTGGGAAGACTGGCTGACACACTGGATAGGTAAGGCCGTGGGGGCCTTCTGGTGACCATTCACACTGGATGGAAATACTCCCATTCTCTTAAGCCCCCTCAGAGAAATCCATGCATACATCCTTTCCCTGAACCTTGTCACCAATCTTCCAATTTTGTTTCCTTCAGACCACGTTTCCCACTTAGATCTTTAACTGCTGCTAAGGAATTTTTTTTTTTTTCTAAAAGCTTTTTATTTTATTTTATTTTTTTGACAGGGTCTCACTCTGTTGCCCAGGCTGGTGTTCAGTGGTGTGATCAGGGCTTACTGCAGCCTCAACTTCCTGGGCTCAAGTGACCCTCCTGCTTCAGCCCTCCAAGCAGCTGGGACCACAGGTGTGTGCCACCATGCCTGGCTAGCTTTTTTTGAATTTTAGTAGAAATGAGGCCTCACTATGTTGCTCACGCTGGTCTTGAACTTTTGAGCTCAAGTGATCCTCCTGCCTGGGTTTCCCGAAGTGCTGAGATTACTGGCATGAGTCACCACGCCCAGCCTGCCAAGGAATTTGTGTAGATGCTGACGTTGGGCAATCTCTTTTTCCAGACAAAGCAGATAAAGAGATGTGCTGCTTGACATTCTATTATGAGAGGATTTCCCTTCTTCACCATCCTTTTGGGCCAGGCTTGAGTGAGGCTATGTTCTGGTTCTCTACCACTGTGTAACAAACCACCCCCAAACACAGTGGTGTAAAACAACTATTTCATTATGCTAATGGATTCAGTGGGTCAGGAATTCAGGTGGGGGACAGAAGAGATGGTACCACGATGTCGGAGGCCTCAACTGAAACACTCAAAGCCTGGGTTTTGGCTCCATGGCCGGGGTCTGGAATCATTTGGGGGCATCTTCACTTACATGTCTGGTGGTTGCTGCTGGCTATCAGTGGGGCCTCGTCTGGGCTATTAGCTAGAATGTCAACACATAGTCTTTCTGTGCACCTGGGTTTCCTCACAGCATGGTGGCTGGGTTTTAAGAACAAGCAACTTAAGAGAATCAGGTGGAAGCATACCACCTTAATGACCTAGCCTCAGAAGTCACAGAGCATCATTTCTGCCATGGTAACAAGTCTGCCTATATTCAAGGGAAGGAAATATAGGTCCCCGCCTCTCGATGGGAGGAGTGTCAAAGGCATGCCAGGAAAGGAATATGTGCGATAGGCATTATTGTTGCAGCTTATGAATGTTAGCTGTTATTAGGCAGTTCCAGCCCATCTTGTTGAATGCAAATTAATTTTCACTTATTAAGCTTTTTAATAAGTACCATGGGGTGGTTTTTGCAACCTTTTATGTGCTATTAAGCAGTTTTGCTCATTTTTCAGAATTGAGGCAATGTTTGTCCTCTTATTTTTAAAATTTCTAATTCATTGAGGACATGTGTGTAGAGGTATCAGCTATTGGCTGGAAAAGTGGCCTTCCATGGAAGAAAACTGAGGTTTATTTTTCAGTGAATTCAAACTACAACTAGCTATATTGATTACTGATAGCCCAAAGCCCATGACAATCATAATATGAGTATTAATATTTAGATCCAGTTTTTCTGCCTGTCTTAATATCTGGAAAGAGATTTCTGTGTCCTGTCCAGCAGCAAGGCAGGCATCAGCTCAAGCTGTCTTCAGGCCGACAATGTAAGGCATCCTAAGCTTGTCCTTGCATTCACATTGTGGTTGCACGTGCTTTGTATTATAGCTTCAGTCCTGACGGCAAACACTGTATGAATGCTGGCCAAGTAATGCCAAATATGGCTAAGAGAATTTTAAATGTAAAATAAATGTTTATGCAAAGATAATAAAAACATGTTAACTAAATTAAATGAACAATGATGGTTGAAAATTTATTTTTAAAAGGACAAAAAGGAAAATGAGAAGGTAGGCAAAATTACTTTTATAAATGTGTTTAAAATTGTATGCAATTATCCTAGGTTGCAAAGAAATTATAAAAACATGGATTGGATATTGTAAATATTAATTCTTATGCTAATTTGCTTTAGACAATTCATTTAGAGCTAAAGACAAATGTAACAAGGCATTTGAAAACCAACATAGCAGGAATAAGTGGATAAGAATGAACTATAAATAAAAATGTAGTGTGTGTGTGAGGACTCAAACTTCTGGAGATAAAATTGATAAATATGTTTTAAAACACTTAAAGGATTGAAACTCACCCCATGCTGTAATCTCTGTAAAGAAAGACACCATGTTTGTCTCATTCAACATTCGATTTCCATTCTATTAATAGTTCTTTAATTATTTAATGGTATATCAAATTACCAGCCAAACTTGGAATATTCAGCTTAATTTTTACTCAATTTGTTGCTTTAACTAATTGTGTTCAACCCAAACATTTTCAACCAACTTATTTTCTGTTAATCTGAAGCCATGCTAGGCAAAGCACTATTATAAATAAAACAAACTGTGAGATACAATTCCTGGCTTCATTTTTTTGGGTAATTTATTTGAGGACAAAATGTGTAAGAAATTTCTTAAGATTTAAATAATAGGTCAACACAACAGAAGATCAGTTGCAAGGCTTTGTGTGAATAATTACTGAATTGACTGTAAATTTCCATTTCTTATAATGTGGTGTATTAGGTAATGTTAACCACTCTGTAAAAAATGAAGACCTAATGGATAAAACATGATGAATACCTTTTTAAAAATACAAACTGAGATAACGAGAAACTAAGGGAATTTCCTCCAAGAATGAAAAATGAAGGGGAAAACTGAAAAAGCAGAACTATAAGGGTGGAGTTAAAGCTCTTGTTGCTCAGGATTGGGGGGTGGGGGGTGGTGGGTTTGGCTGGTCTCTGTGACTAAGGGCGTTAGGTTTCAATTACCAAATGGGGACAAGCACCTGTACTTCAGGCAAGAACAAAGCCAGAAAGTTATGACTGCATACAGTCACTATGAAAAGGTGGAACAGAAGCAAAATCTATCCACTGCCAGGGAGATAACCCCTCTGTTCTCCAGGGCTTCAACCTGAAAAGTTGAGACCTTGGTTCTGCTCTCAGTCGAATTTGTGGTTCAAATATATACTCCTTTTATTGTCCAGTAAAATACAACCTGTGAGATGAACATAAAACGTGGTCCCCTTCCAGTGATTCCCCCGGTAGAAGTAAATTGCAGTCTTGTCTAGAAAGCCACATCCTCAACTCAGACCACAAGGGATTCATGTAGATAAAGCCCTACTAAAGATGAGTTCACCATTTTTTTAAAAAGCACGAGGATACATGCCACCACAAGTGAGAGGCAGCCAACACAACCAGCCCCTGGATGAGACCCTCATATCCTTTAGATGATGAGATTAAATATGTACTGTGAAATATGACTGAACATATTTTAAAAAGGAAAATGTGATAAAATATCAAGGTACTACCAAAAAAAGACCAGGCAGGCTTGAAAAAGAATCAATTGATTTGCCTTGAAATGAAAAAATGTAGTCATTTAAATACAAACTCAGTGGACAGATTAAACCACAGATCAGACAGAGCCAAAAAGTGAATTACTGAAATGGAAGATAGAGCTGAAGAATTTACCCAGAATGCAACACATTCTAGGAGTGTGGGAGCAATCACTTCAGATTGGCACAATTGGAGAAAGCATTGTGAAGGAGATGAAATCTTAGCAGAATTTTAAAAGATGTGTAAAATCGGGTAAAAGAAAGCATTTCAGAGGAGTAGCATGACATGGCATGAGCCAAATTTCAAAGGCTAAATTCAAGGCTTGTTTAGGTCACAGTGAGTTGACCACTTTGGCTGAAATGGAGAGTTTGTATAGCGAAGTAGAGAGATTAAGCCTGATTAAGAAGGTTAAGGCCTAAGCCTAAAGCCACATGAAATGTTGTAATAATCACATAAAATTACTTTGTTTAAAAATAAAGCAGACATACAATGTCTACTATGCTGACATTGTAGTCTTTTTCACACACACCACTCCAGCTTGGCTGGCCTTGCTCTACCAAGTATGTGCTGTGTATGCCTACTTACAATGAAGGGGTCATACCCCCTATTACTCTCTACACAGAGGTACATTTCAAAAGCTTTCAGGTTAAAGTTGATTAAAAAGAGAAACAAAGTTTGTGGAACCTGTAGTTCTGCCAAGTTGGGAATGATGCTAAAAGCAGTTTATAACTTTTAGTTGTTGAAAAAGCCTATATATTATCTTCTCTTAAACTAATTTCCAAAGGTGTAGGTTTGGTTATCTCTAATTCCTTTCAAAAGGGGGGTGGTAAAATGAATCCCAGCACTGGAAATTTAATAAGCCCTCAGAGGAGAAAACAGATTTCAGATTCCCCAGCAAGAGATTAACTCAATTCCAGGTGAATTATCTCGTTCACCTTCTTCATGTGGCTTCCACCTATATATATATATATATATATATATATATATATATATATATATATATATATAAAATGCAACACCCAACCCTCCAACAGGGAGAAGGACAGCCTTACCTTAGGTGATAAAGGTGTCAATGAAAATTTACTCACACAATTTCTGAGCAAACAGATTTGCATAAAGCTGCCCATATGCAGCATTAGCAGGATGAAATAAAATATCAGGAAATAATGTAACAATATTGCAGCTAAATTAAGTAGGTAGATATATAGATAAATCAATAATAGAAAGTAGGTAGGTGGAAACAAAGGAACACAGCAAAAATAAATAAATAATTAAATAGCAGAAGCCCCTCCAAATCTGGAAGAATAAGGAGATTCTTTATATGTACTACAAGTTATAAAAGACTCCACTAAGAATTCAAGAATACAAGTAGTAAATGACATGTGAGAGGTAAAGGGAGATTGTAGAGATAAAGGCCTACCTTTACATTAAAAAATTAATTAGGGATAGCAAGAAGCAGAATATTTAGAGCTGAAAATAGGCATGGAGAATATTTAAGCTATCTCAGTATGTGCAGAGGGGACAAAATAAATAGAAGACAAGATAATAGAAATAGAAGACAGAAAATATAATGCAGTACTAGGCAATTGTGTTCCTGAATGCAGAAGAATAGAATGCAGGAAATATTCTCTGAAATGAAGGTAAAAGGACATATTAAGATCAAAGTGGGGTATCATTTGTATCAGGGAAAGAAAGATACAGAACAACTGACATTCAATACTGAAATTCAGGTTGAAAGAACAAATTTCAATTATGCAGGTAATTTAAAAAATCAGGAAAAGTTTCAGAAAAACTCTTGGTCTAAATTGCTTTTATTGTGACTGTGTCATGAGCCCACCCCTGGATCAGTTATTGTCACCATGGAAATGGGCTATTACTCTTATTGGCTAGGCTGTGTCACCTGGAGCCAGGGGTGTATTTAGCCTCACATAAATCAGTGAGAGTAGAAGAGGGATGAAAAAATGCCAGATCTTGTGACCAAAAAGAGGGAATGGATTCTGTGAAGACCAGAAGAGCATCTGTTTTATACACTATATTATTTCCCCAATTAAAGTGTAAATTTCTTGAGAATAAGAACTCTGTATTACACTTCTTTCTACCTTATGCAATGACTACCTCAGTTCCTTTTTATTATGTAGGTATAGGTATTAAATTAATAAATAAAAATATTTAATTTGACTTGACACAAATTCCTTTATTTGTGAAATGAGGAAGTTGGAATACTTGAACTCCAAGATCCCTCCTCATTTAAGAAAGTTCTATGAAAGATTTCCTAAGAACATATTATATATGGGGCCTCACATTAAGCATTTTTTGTGTACTCTTGCAGTAAAACATTTGAACATTTGTTTATAGCTATAGCTCATGATAGATGTTTTTAACTTCAGAAACTTCAAAAGTTTTACAAAGTCATATTAGATGAGTGTATTCTCATATGTCTTCTTCAAGTTGATGATTCACAATATAAACAGTTGTCCTTATTGTGCATAGGCCTTTTCCTAAAATGCATACTTTTGATTGAGTATGTTTACCTCTTACTGCTTTTAAGCCTCTAAACAAGAAATGAGAGTTTTATCTTCATCTACTCTCCTCCCACTTTTGTCTACTTCAAAATTCGGTATCTTGATTAATTACCATCTCCCATTTTGCTTAGCCGGAAACTCTACCAACTTCCTTCCTTATCTTCTTCCTATCTAATTGCCCACCAAATCCTATTAATTCTACCGTCAGATGTATTTTAGGTCTCTCTTCACTTTAAATTTCTGCTCCCATCCTTACTGCCATGGTTGAATTCCTGTAGTTACTTACTACATATTCCTTCTATTGTATTTGCCATACAAATACGCCATGGTAAGAGAACAAGCTTGGGCTAGGTTGCCTGGTTCAAAGTCTGGCTCCAGCACTTAACTCCGTGTGACTCTGGAGGGAGTTATATAACCTCTCTGAGCCTCAGCTTCCTCTGTAAAACAAGGCTAAAAACCTCACAGGAGTACTGAAAACATCAGATGAACTAAAATGTATAATGCACTTGAATCAATGTCTGGCACCTAGTAGTATTACGTAAATATTAACTTATTAATAATGGTTTTGCTTATAGCATATTTTTGCTGTAAATATTTAAGTGGTTGATTCCTCCAGTAGACCTTATTATGGGAAGGGCTACGTTATTATTAGTATTTAAAAAATAGTAGCATGAGTATTTTAATCGCTAGCTCTTTGTATAGTGTAGGGGCATTTAAAGATTTAATCCAATGAATTTCACTTGTCAGAATAGGACAGTTCTACATAACAACCACTAGATGGAAGCAAAACCTTTTATAAAATCATTTATCACCAGAAACTGCTGCAGTGTACGGAACATCTACCTCTTTTGTCTCTTTTATTTCTACAACCTAATTATCACCAAGAACAAAGTAACACCACCACCATCATCAATAACAACAGCTACAACAAAGGCAGCTCATGAAAAGGCCCCAAACTTTGTGTATTGAACCCAATTCAGAATTAAGGTTTTGGAATGTATTTGCTATACAATTTAGAAATTATTAGTCAAAAAATGCTGACAATATTGTCACTGAACCGAAAGCCAGCTGGCACCCAGCCACACTTACATAAGAAGAGTCTCTGAAGGCTTGTCGCAGGAAAGATGTAGACCTCCTGCTCTATGCTGTCTGACTGCCACATAACGACCAATTGTCCCTGTGAATGACACATCTCTCATTATTAATAAAGAATTGCTGCTTTCCTATATTGTTTGGGATGGGGTGATTTATAGGTAATTGATGATTTAATTACTGGGTTTATTGTCTTCTTTGGGAGTTTCCGTATCTCATCTTCAAATATGTATTTGTTATCTTTCATTTGCAATGAAGGGATTCATTTCTTTCTCCCTTGTTTACTTTCAGGTCCTCAGCCTTTTCTTTCTCCACATGCTTCTTATGGCTGACAATCTCATATCAGTGACACCTCCCATTACAGTACTGTCAGCAAGGATTCCCAGTGGGGAAGGGGCTATGCATAGTTGGATTACCCCAACCCCAGATTCTGTTGAGCTGTTAGCTTTCTCTAATTAGTCCTCTCTATCATCAGAAATGAATTGACACTCACTTTTTCTCGCACAGTGGGACTTGCTTTCTCTAACACCCATAGGCATTCGTGGGCTCTTTCACTTTTCTCCCCCCTTCCTTTCTCCACCCCCTCTCTATCTCCCATTCTATCTCACCTCCCTCTTACACTCTCTCCCTCTTAACATTCTACTTATTTTCCTTCTACCGTGCAATGCTATATTAACCATATAACAACAAGAGAACATCCATATAATATAAATTTGATCTCAAAAGTGAGAAGAGTTTTCTTGCATATAAAATATGAGATATCTTGGGAGAAAAAAAGTTTCTACTTAAAATCAATGCTTCACCATTGCCCAAAGCTGAATGAGCATCAGTTGAATGCACAGCAGCGCCGAAGTGCAATGACCTACTTAGGATCACTCTAAATTACTTGGATGAAAAATGATTTCAATTCAAATCTTTTTTCTTATCACAATTTCTTTCCAGGTGGAAAGATGTTTTACTTGCCCACTCATTGCTCTAACCAAATCTCCATCTGAGATTTAGACTTCTTTAAATGCAGTTTGGAACATTAGCAAATAGGAGTCAGGTTATTAAAACTAAATTGAATTTCTCAGACGTCCTCTTTTCTTTCCACAGAGCAGTCAAGTGAGAAAGCTCATCCAAGGAGCAGGAAGGCTGATTTTTGGTTACCCTCCTGTGATCACGGCTGCTCTGTTCACCTTAGTCACTAAACACATGCTGCCTTGGTAGGAAAACAAATGAGCTAAAGCCATCCCCAGCACACTGCTGGCCATCATCAAGACTTGAAGGAATTTCAAAGAAGCAAAATATGTGTCTGTATTCCCCTGGGGCAACGTGAATCCCGCTAAGTATTTTGCTTTCTGGATACACAAATGTAGCAAGAGGTTCTATTCTATACCTGTGTGCTTGCTGGCTGGCACAAAATGTATGCACAACTACAGACGTCTGGATTTGTTTTCACGAGCAGCTGATGGAGGATTCTCCAAGCACGTGGGTAAAACTGTGGCCGTGTGATCTGCCTTCTTGGTCTCACAGCTGGCCTCACGGCTGCTTTATATAATGTGGTTTGTTTGCTGATGGGCTCGTGTTTGATTGGTTCCAGAGTGGGAACAGCAAAACCTGTGCATAGTCCCCGTGAGTGCTAGACTCAGCCAGCTGATTTGATTTTGTATTTCTTGTGCACCAAGAGGTCAAACTGAGCATCACCAAGGAAATAAACGTGGGTGCTTGTGCACAGCGAGGTTAGGAATGATCTGGATGAATAATGGAGGCAGTTGAGGTGGCCTGAATTAGAGATGTCTGTGGGTGGGGGGGAGAGTGAAAAAGGAGAAGCAGGGAAGGGAATGATGAGGGGAAATTCTTTCAGCCACTAGCAGCTAAGCATAGATCAGTGGAATGCATTCCTTATCAAATGTGAGCAGGAACCAGGGAATGGAATATTGCCGAGTGGAATGCCTAATAAAGTAACTGGCTTTCTCTTGCTGCCCTTTCCATCTAAATACTTAAGTAAAGATATTCAGCAGATTGCAGGGCTTTTACAAGGAGGCACAAAAGTAGAAAGAAAAGATTCATCAATGGGGGATTTGCCACTGAAGGCATAGCTTATTGTACTGTATTAAAGAAAAAAACTCCACCCCATTTGTTTTTAGTCAAAACACTTTAAAATTATCTCAATTTGCTTTGGAATTCATTTTGTCTGTCTTCCCAAATTGAGGGAACTGCACACCGCTTTTGACTATTTTAGTAAGAGTTTAACGTGAATAGCCCAAATCCTTACACCGCTGCCCCTTCGGAGTTGCTTTAACTTCTATAAATACACCCAGCAACAAGGTATTTTGAGAGCTCCCTAAGTAACAATGCTTTGAATTTCTCTTGTGCAAATCTCCACGAGAACTAAAGCAACTCTCAGTGGGTCCTCCATAACCGCCAACTTATGACTATAAAGTTGAACATTAATGAGTCCTCTGTAGCTCTTTCCCCCCCAATAAAATATTCTTTTTGGTATGATAATTTTGTTTACTTCTCCCGAGAGCCAGTCGTTACCAAAATTTACCATCAGAGGGCGCACATTCACAGAAAATGCAGCAGTTCCCTGCTCTGGCGGATTGCTTCCCCTCCTATTTGCAGGATGGAAGAAACAGGTTTTAGTCGGAGGTATTTTCAGTTCAAATTCAAGTTCTAGAACTTTGATTTATTATTAGCCTGTTCTCTTACTTGGGTGGAAGGGAAGAGAGAAAAACAGGTCTGTCTGCAACCATTGTGTTCTACCCCCATTCAGGGACAGCCTCAGAAACTGCAAGGTTTCAAAGATAATCAAAACAAGTCTGATCGCTAATGGATCTGAGGGCATAGGCTCCAGCCTCTCTAAAATGACAAATCGCTTCACGTTACCCAAGAAACCACAAAAGATTCACACCCACCCCCTCCTCCCCCGAGCCCTGTCCTTCTGCAAGTGATTTGCAATCCCAGACAAGTATTATATAACGATGAAACAGAAGCCTGGAGCTTTGGTTTGTTATTTCTTTCGGAGAAAAGACATTAAAAAACTGTTATTATATCACTATCCTAAATGCCTGTGAGAAAAACATTTCAGAGAATTGTTAGAAACGCGGGGCAGTGGAACTGAAATTTGCATTAGTGCTAAAGATTGTGAGCATCTGTAATTGCCCAAGGGGGCAGTTTGAATGAAAAGACACACACCGGTGGGGTGAATGGAAAAAGCTACAGACCTGAAGTGGGGGAAGCTGGGGGCCTAATCCTGGCTGACTGCTAACTAGCTGGCTGAGCATCCTTGAGTTAGTTACTTAACGTCTTTGGGCCTGAGTTCTGCAAGCTGGCAATTAGATGATGTCAGAATGCCTTCCATTCTACTAAGTTATCTTCTCAAGGACAAATGTAGATAATGTTATTAATTTGACTTCTGTGGAGAATACAGCAGCACCCAATAATAAATTAACCATTTTGCAGGTTATTTTAATACTGCATTTCAAACAGCTCTGAAGTACTTTATAAGTCATATTTATGAAAATAGCCCATTACTTAGCAATAATTTCTCTAGTGTTTTGATGGGAAGAGCTGCAGAGCAGTTCTCTCTGGGCAATGCTAGACAGACACTGTGGTATATGGTAAAACAGACGAACAAACAAACAAACAACAGACAGGTTTGGACCCTGGATCCATTTTAATTTGCTATGTGACCTCAGACAAGTTACTTAACCATCTGGGCTTTTGATTCTTAGACTGCAAGAATCTTTTAGGGTTATAGTGAGAAATAATGAGCTAATTAGATGGCTGGGCACATACCAAGCCATCATTATATGAGAACACTTCACTACTATTAATATTTATCGTTACCACTAAAACATCCAACCTATAAAACTGCTCAAAGAGTTATTTAACCCCAGATAACTATGCAATATTTAGCTCTCTTAGTCATATGTTTACTAACGTAGGAACTTCAGTGTTGCAAAATCTCGAATGAAGAAATTGAAGGAGGATTTTTCAGAGATATGATCCTTGGAAAATGACCTCATCTGGGTCTCCAAAAATTGGAATTTGGGGACTTTTAGATCATCTAGTCTCTGCAGCCTAAACGAACAATGGGAGAAATTTGTTATGGGCAGGGTACAGATTTCCATAGTGTAGTGTGGTGCTCGCAGGTGGAAAGTGCTGGTGTGCAAAGGTGGGAGGAGGAGTGGGGGCTCCACCGTTCTGGTGGTAGCAGCCCCACAGTCATTCCCATGTCTCCTTCAAAGTTTGTGTCGCCCAGCTGGACACAGAAAAGACAGAATTATTGGAAAAATATGGTGAAAGCCAATACCAATACCAGTTAAACTGAGTCTAGAGGATGGTGTGCGAAGCAACTTAATTGAACATGTGAGCCCAGGGGTGGGTGGTTCTCTCCTTTTTTAGTTCTCGGGCCATATGCATTTGTAGCAGATGCTCTTGGTGCCCTGCCTGCAGCCCCCAGAACTCACTTTACTTGCTGCAGGATGCTTTGTGGGAATGTCTGTGACTCTCTGTCTGAGGTTTTTTTTCTAACTGGGGAATATGGTCCGTCCATACTCAGCTGTCCCCAAAGCAGCTCTCAACCAATGACCGGCATGGGAGTGGGTGGAGAAATAGCTCAGTTTCCTCCCATCCTGGTTAGGTTAACTCTGGGTTATGTTCTATGCTATCTTCCGGAGTTCCTCAAAGGATGCTCACCCTTTACTGGCTGCCTTCCCTTCTTGGGACCACTTCCCTTTTCTAGTGCTGTGGACAGAGTGCTGCCACCATAAATCCTTGTTTCTGGGTCTGCTTCTGGGAGCACCTGACATAAGATACCAGGATTAGCTTCTATTTCAAAATTTACAAGTGATTTTCTGCATACAGAACATGAGTTATGGTGCCAAGCCAATCTAGGGCTGCAACTAGGCACTGCCATTTACCAGCTTGGCAACCTGGGGTCAAGTTCTTTAACCTCTCCAATTTTCAGTTGACTTATCTAAAATATGAAGAGTGTAATGATACCTAGTCATCAGATTGATGCGATAATTGAATGTGATTCTGCGTGTCAAGTCCCTGGCACAGCATCTGCCTCATAGTAAGTCTTAGCTTTCAAGTAAACATTGGCAACCACTGACTACTATTGTTCTTAATTGCCCTTCTAAATGTATGTAGGAGAGCTCTTATATTGGCCATATAAAATGTCTTCTGAGGCTACCGTGGAAATCAGGAGAGAAAAACAATGATCTGTAGCCTTTTAATTCCCATGGGAGAACATTATTGCCTCAGGAACCTAAGCTTCATTTAAAAAAATGCTATATGAGCAGGAAGGAATGGAGACACAAAAACCTAATGCCTGTGAAAGTGATCTGCCCCAGCTGGGCTCTGAACATGATAGGTGTGCAAGTGGGAGCTCAAACAGTGAACAAAGCCAGCATCTGAGGCATTATTTTTAGAGGCTGGAGAAATGCTGGGGAAGAAGTAAGAGGGGAAATATGCAGCATTTATGTAACACATTTCCAAGTAGCTCTGAAAGGAAGTTTTATATTTAATGGAGTTGTTAACAATTGGGATTGAAAGCCTAAAATAGAAGTAAGAACACTTAGCCAACTTGGGAGCATTTCGTTGGATCTGCTGTAGAATATTAGGTTTGGAGAAGTTATGCAGGGATAGGTAATATACATGGAAATGAACATAGCCCTGTTATTAAGTTCATGTCTGATTTTTGTCTTAAGACTCTTACTAATGTTTTTTCTCCATTCTGTTGATTGAACCATATCTCTCTGCATAACACCAGCTTTCCTTGCCCATTAGCTTTTCTCTTTTCTTCCTCTGAATCAAATAGTGTTTTCGACTTCAGTGCTTTTGCTCATATTGCTTCCCTAGTTGGGCATGCCTTTATGGTTACCCTCCTCCCACAGAAGTTCAATCCTTCTTCAAATTTCTTTGACAGCTGGGGGCCCCAGAGATTCTTTGACTTCTGGGGCTAGAAAGAAATTAGGTCCCTGTCGTGAAGGACTTTGGATGCTGTTGTCTTCAGCCTATAGAAATTGAAGTCACTGGAATCTTTTGGGAGGATAGTCACATTACTCACTGTGTGTCTCTGGAAGATATGAATAACTCTGGCAGCCATGTGAATGACAGCTTTGGAGAGGAAGAAACTGGTACCAGGTTGCAAGGCTGTTGCGACGGCTCAGGTGCCAAGAGGTCAGGATATAAGCTAGACAAAGAGTAGAGCCAAAGGGGCAGAAGGGATGACTTTGAGCGACCTCTTAAGGGCTAATTTGGAAAGCCTGATGACGAATTGCATGTGGGAAATGGAAGGAAGACAGGAAAACAGTAGCTGTGGAGGACCTGAGGCTTCCACAGATTTGTGGAGGACAGCAATAGAGGGCAGGGAATTGGATGGGAGAAGTAAGAATTTGATTTGGACGTGTGCTGCTTGGCCATTCATTTGTAGCTATCCCAATGTGCAACTGGGGATGTGGGTCTGAATCCCCAGACGAGGACGGAGGAAATGATATGGATTTGGAAGTCTTCTCAAAACACTTGGGAATGCAATTATTGGGAAAGAGAGTGAGTAAGAAAAGAAGATGTCTTTGGCAAAAGCTACAGGAAAATCCAATATTTAAAAGGCTGATGATGGAAGAGGAAACAGCAAATAAGAATGAGAAGTGATCTGAGAGGTAGAAGGAGACTCAGCATGTGTAGCCTCACATGTTGAGTGGGGTTTCAAAAGCGAGAAGCTGCCGAACAGCATGAAAACTGCAAAACCATCAAGTGAGATGAAGACTGAGGGAAGCCTATTTGTTTTGATGTGTTGGTGACCAACAACAGTTGCTAGACCGAGAAAACTCTCTAAATCACAGGAGGTGGAAGAGACTATGAAATGGGAAAAGGGGAGAGAATGTGACCAAAAAGCTTCTCAGAGGATTTTGATAGTGAAGGACTCTTCACAGCTGAACCAAAGCTAGAAAAGGTGAACCAGGATTGTTTCTCTCTCTAGAGCCAGCTTTTTTGTTGACCTCTGCTAAGTGCTGATTTGGCCCTATTGTCTAAATCTATCAGGATCAAGAGAGAGGTTGGTGGGCAAAACAGGATCAAGAACCCCCAGGGCAAAGAATCCTGCCAGGCACTGTTGCAAGAAATTGTTTAAAAAGTAGAGCAAGAGTATACAAAAGTGTCTCCTACTTGTATGAACCAAATTTCCTTTTGTTCCTCATCACAGAAGAAAAAATATAACCATGACTTAAATGCTCAATTCTGTAAGCAGGAACATAATTTGCATAAATAGCCCAGGTGATGTCATTGGGAGAGTTGTACCTGAAGACTTAATGAGAAAATTTAGACAGATGTGATGGAAGTAGTAAAACTAATGTTAGCCTTTACAGTCACTCAATTCCAGGTATAGCATTTTCTTCTTTTATAAATATGAAGAGAATTTGATAGCTAAATTAAAAGGAACAGGCAGTCCAGGTATTGGGGTAGTGGTGAAGTACTTGACATTGTAAGAGCTAATGATGAGAGAAGTATGCACTTATTTGGATAAATTAAATTTTACGGAAAATATCGGTTTTCCAATTTAATTTGACCAACATTCTCGGAGTGCTTGTGATATCAAAGGCACCATGCTTTCAGCACTGGGTAGGGAGTGAGTGTGGGCTAAAGAAGAATGAGTATGTATGAGAGTAAAGTATGATCTCTTTACTAAAGTGGTTAGATTCCCTACCCTAGATGTCTAATTCCCAATCAAGTCAAATCTCATTTCTGAAAAATATTGAGATAAGCCAGAGTAAAAGCTTGTCTTAAAAAATGATTATCTAGACAATGATTGTCAATAGCTACCATCTTAAAAAAAGAGGCAACCAGACCTGAGATGCCTTCTACTGGAGGTACAAAATACCACCTATGAAGTTAACGTGTCAACATATCAAACCAGAATCTGATCAAGCCTCTAGATTTAACTACCAATTTATAGGGTACAGAGGAATGTGTTAAATGATACCATAGGGATACAATTAGCAGAATCAGACTATCAAAACTCTAAGGACAAACAATATGCTTTCCTCAACAAAATTGCTTTGAAAAGTGTGTCTCTGTATGTGTGTGTGTGTGTGTGTGTGTGTGTGTGTGTGAGAGAGAGAGAGAGAGAGAGAAGGAATTAGAGGCTAGAGATGATTGCAAAATCTTAAAAGACATATCAACTAATTGTAAACTGTGGGCCTTATGTTGATTCTAACTAAAGAGAGAGAGAGAGAGAGAGATAAGGAGAGAGAGAATTAGAAGCTAGAGATTGCAAGAATCTTAAAAGACATATCAACTAATTCAAAGTTTGGACCTTATTTTGATTCTAACTCAAACTGTAAAAATATCAGATTAAGAGGAATTTAAATACTGATTGGATATTTAATTATGTTAAAAGGAATAATTATTTTTAGTGGAAATAATGACATTATGGTTATTATTTAGAAAAAGACTCATTATTTAGAGTCACATGCTGAACTACTTAAGGATAAAACGATATAATGTTTGGGATTTATTTCAAAATAATCTAAAAGTGGGAGGGAAGTGGGTAGGGGTATACAAGAAGCACACTTGGCCATGAGTTGATAACTTTTTTGTTTTAACAAAGTGATGGGCACATTGGGGTCCTTCTTTCTATTTTTGTTTAAAATTTTCCATAATAAAAAAATGTTTAAACGTTGGTAAAAAATAGGTTTAGCATCATTCAAGATGGTGAAGTATTAAACTGAAATGTTTTTCCCCAATCAGTGTACTAGTTATAGAACTACTATGTGGCAGGTATGAGGCACTTTTGTTCACACGGAATAGGAAGAATGACAAATTTATCTATGTTTCCCATGGCTTGAATTGAGACATCACTGGCATCCTTTTATCTGTTTTTCCTTTCATCTTGAAAATGTTACTTCAGATGTTGATGTGAATTTTGGCATCGAGTGGGCTGAGCACAGTGTTACTCTGTGGCAAAACAAATTCAGAAACGGAGTATGAGGAAAAGAGGGGGATGCTGTCTGTGCCCTCATATTGCTCCAGGCTTCTTTCCCCTTAATTTTTTCTGGGAGACCATCAGATTCTTTAACTACCATAAGAAGGGAACATTCCAGTCAGTTAGTCTTAGGCTGAAGATGCTTATAAAATAGAATAATAATAAAATAGTAATGATCATTTATTAAGTGATTCCAACATGCTAGAATGTGCTAAGATATTTTACAGGCATATTCTAGTTTATTTCCCACAGCAACTCTATGAATTAAAAATTATTACAGTTATTCTTTCCATGTTGCAGATTTGAAGAAGGCAAGTGTCCTGTGCAGAGCCAGGTTTTAACCTGGATCTTTCTAACTCCAAAGCCTGTGCTATTTACTACAACACCAAATGCTTCTTAGCCTTTCTTTTCTATGTCTTGGGAGTTCTGATGAGGACAACCCAACAGACTTAGAGGGTCGCCATTGCTCTATTTTTTCCTTTACATTATTTGTAAGTTCTCCAAGTGCTATTTCAATAAAGAAACCCTGGCTCTTTGAACAGAAGTCCCCAGAATCTCTGTGTGGTGCTCAGCCGTTATATGAACATGGCTTGTATATTGGATGTGAATTTTCCAAACTTATCTTTGGTCCAGCATGAGGCTCACTGCTCAGCAGGAACCTCTTAGTTTGTGGTATGCTCCTGGGGTCCAGGCCTTGGAAATCTAGATGCATCTAACTGGCTACAGAATTGCCAAGGCACTGAGGACTTCCCTTCTGGAAAAGTGCCCCCCATCATCTGCATTTGAATCTGTGATGTGTTTTGCATACTTATATTTATATAATGAATCTAATATGTTATCATTAGAATTATACAGTCTAAAAATGTGACAGTAGGCGATGATAGGGTTTAGAATACAGGCTTTGGAATCAGACAGGTTTGGTTAAGACATATAACTTAATAGCTCTATGGCCTTGGACAAATTATTTAACTTCTCTGAGCTTTATTCTTTTTATCTGTAAAATAGAGATAATAACCTACAATATAATTGTTGTGAATATTAAAGGGCATTCTCTGGTGCCTAACACATAGTAAGAACTCCATAAATGGCTGCCCTTGTTGATTTCAATATCACTCTTTGCTGTTTGTGATTTCCTTGGCTTCTGGCCAATTACTCTAAGACAGAACTTCCTCTGTGCAAAGAGCCAGACACCCAGGTGTGAAGTATGGGGATGGAGGATAGGGTTCGGGGAAATGTAGGCGAGAAGGACAAAGACAAATTTAAGAGAAAGGTTAAGAAGAAAAAATATGGCTCAGTAACATTGGGGATTCTGATTTAGCCAGGGAGAGCAAATTCAGGATAAACCAAGAGAGTATCCTGCATGACCCCATAGGAGGTGAAGTTCCCTTACTGCCTCTCTCCATGATTGTTCCTGTAAAGTACTATTTGGGGAAGAACATTAAGACAACTTAAATCAATATTAATTTGGGATGTTCATACAGGCCTCTTGGCAGATTGGGTAAAATTAAAGGAAATAAATATAAATACTGATTTAGTAATTATAACTCGGGTCATGACTCCATAGCAATCATTTGATATTATGGTAAACAAATTTTTAGCTATTGCTTTATAGAGCAAAATATTAAAATGCTCCATTGAAGAGGTGGTGATTATAGTATCCATAGGATAAATATTTTAGAAGGTGTGCAAAGAGGTACTTTTAACTTGAGATAAAATTCCCAATGATCTCATCACATATGAAATCAAAACATGCTATATGTCAATAGCTCAGAAGGAATTGAAGATAATATCATCAAACATAACTTTAGTGACAATGAAGACACTAATACATAGCTATATAAACCTGTCGAAGATGAATAAATTATTTTCTGACCTATGAATTTGGAAAAGGGCAATATTTTAATACCACATTATTTTTACTTAATTTGTGATATGCACATATGTGAAATTTAAACAGTAAAATATTATAAGTAAACGTCTGACTACTTAATCTATGGCTCTAAAAGTTTATATATTGAAATTGTCTCCAGTTTTAGGGGGAAGGAATTTTCTGTTTGGGAAACTAAGGGGTTGCTCTAGGTTTGGGCATATGAAGTAAACAGATGTCTTGGTGTATATCTAGGGGAAAATAAAAGCAAACACATTATATTGGTTGAGATGGGGAGTTATTTAGGGCCTGAGTATTCCCAGAAGAAGAAAGACAGTAGAAGGTAAGGTCCGGAGCATGGATTGTGGAGCCAGCTGGCCTGGACTGAAATCCCTGCTTTGTTATCTACCAGCTCTATGATGTTGGATAAATTAATTCTTCTGTGTGCCTCAGTGCCTCAGTTTCCTCACCTGTAAAATTAGAATTTTAAAAATGCTTATCTGTTATGCTGTTATAAGAATTAAGCTAGTTAAGAGGTTTTTTTTTTTTTTTTTGAGATGGAGTCTCACTCTGTCACTCAGGCTGGAGTTCAAGGGCGTGATCTTGGCTCACTGCAGCCTCTGCCTTCTGGGTTCAAGTGATTCTCCCACTTTAGCCTCCTGAGTAGCTTGGATTATAGCCATCATGCCTGGCTAATTTTTGTATTTTTGTAGAGATGGGGTTTCACCATGTTGGCCAGGCTGGTCTCGAACTCGACCTCAAGTGATCCACCTGCCTTGCTTGGCCTCCCAAAGTGCTGGGATTACAGGCGTGAGCCACCATGCCCAGCCAGTTAAGAGTTTTAAAGAGTTTAGAACAGTGCTTGGCACATAGTGAGAACCTATACATTTGTTACATAGATAGATAGATAGATAGATAGATAGATAGATAGATAGATAGATAGACAGACAGGCAGACCCTATATCTTCCCTTGATATAGTGGCTTTACCCAGAAAGAGGTCTTGCCTCTGCTGCCTGGTCTCTCTCTTTTAAAAAGTTTTAAATTTTTGTGGGTACATAGTGGGTGTATATATTTATGAGGTATATAAGATATTTTGGTACAGGCATATAATGCATAATAATCACATCAGGGTAAATGGAGTATCCATCACCTCAAGCATTTATCATTTCTTTGTGTTACAAGCATTCCAATAATACTCTCTTTTTTTGGTGTTTTTTTTTTATTGTACTTTAAGTTCTAGGGTACATGTGCACAACGTGCAGGTTTGATACATAGGTATACATGTGCCATGTTGGTGTGCTGCACCCATCAACTCATCATTTACATTAGGTATTTCTCCTAATGCTATCCCTCCCCCAGCCCCCCAGCCCCCAACAGGTCCCCGTGTGTGATGTTCCCCGCCCTGTGTGGTGATTCCTCAAGGATCTAGAACTAGAATTACCATTTGACCCAGCAATCCCATTACTGGGTATATACCCAAAGGATTATAAATCATGCTACTATAAAGACACATGCACACGTATGTTTATTGTGGCACTATTCACAATAGCAAAGACTTGGAACCAACCCAAATGTCCATTAATGATAGACTGGATTAAGAAACTGTGGCACATATACACCATGGAATACTATGCAGCCATAAAAAGGATGAGTTCATGTCCTTTGCAGGGACATGGATGAAGCTGGAAACCATCATTCTGAGCAAACTATTACAAGGACAGAAAACCAAACACCACATGTTCTCACTCATAGGTGGGAATTGAACAATACTCTTTTAGTTGTTTAAAAATATGCAATGAGTTATTGTTGAACTGTTGTCACCCTGTTGTGCTGTCAAATACCAGATCTTATTCATTCTATCTAACTATATTGTTGTACCCTTTAATCATCCCCAATCACCCTCCCACCCCTCCCACCCTTCTCAGCCTCTGGAAACCATCCTTTTACTCTATTTCCATGAGTTCAGTTGTTTTAATTTTTAGCTCCCACAAATGAGTGTGAACATGTGAAGTTTGTCTTTCTGTGCCTGGCTTATTTCACTTAACATAATGTCCTCCAATTCCACCCATTTTGTTGCAAATGACAGGATGTCATTCTTTTTTATGGCTAAATAGTACTCCATTGTGTATTTGTACCACATTTTCTTTATTCATTTGTCTGTTGATGGATACTGAGGTTGCTTCCAAATCTTGGCTATTGTGAATAGTGCTGCAATAAACATGGGAATGCAGATATCTCTTCAATATACTAATTTCCTTTCTTTTGGATATATGCCCAGCAGTAGGATTGCTGGATCATATGGTAGTTCTATTTTTCGTTTTGAGGAAACTCCACTATGTTCTCCATAGTGGCTGTACTAATTTACGTTACCACCAACAGCGTACGAGGGTTCCCTTTTCTCTACATCCTCACCAGCATTTGTTATTGCCTGTTGATATGGTTAGGCTTTGTGTCCCCACACAAATCTTGTCTTGAATTGTAATCCCCCTAATCCCATGTGTCAAGGGAAAGACCAGGTACAGGTAATTGGATCATGGGGGCAGTTTCCCTATGCTGTTCTCGTGATAGTGGGTGAGTTCTCATGAGATCTGATGATTTTATAAGGGGCTCTTCCCACTTTACTTGGCATTTCTTCCTGCCACCCTGTGAAGAAAGTGCCTTGCTTCCCCTTTGCCTTCTGCTATGATTGTAAATTTCCTGAGGCCTCCCCACCATGCTGAACTGTGGGTCAATTAAACCTCTTTTGTTTATAAATTACTCAGTCTCAAATATTTTTTATAGCAGCATGAAAATGGACTAATCCAGTAAATTGGTACCAGGAGGGGGGTGCTGCTATAAATATACCCAAAAATGTGGAAGTGACTTTGGAAATGCATAACAGGCAGAGGTTGGAACAGTTTGGAGGGCTCAGAAGAAGACAAGAACATGCTGTAAAGTTTGGAACTTCCTAAAGACTTGTTAAATCGCTTTGACCAAAATGCTGATAGTGATATGGTCAATGAAATCTAGGTTGAGGTGGTCTCAGATGGAGATGAGGAACTTTTTGGGGACTGGAATAAAGGTGACTCTTGCTATGCTTTAGCAAAGAGACTGATGACATTTTGCCCCTACCCTAGAGATCTGTGGAATTTTGAAACTGAGAGAGATGATTTAAAGTATCTGGTGGAAGGAATTTCTAATCAGCAAGTGTTCAAGAGGTGACTTAGGTGCTCTTAAAAGCATTCAGTTTTATGTATTCACAAAGAGTTTGTTTGGAATTTGAACTTATGTTAAAGGGAAGCAGAGCATAAAAGTTTAGAAAATTTACAGCCTGACAATGCAATAAAAAGAAAAACCTATTTTCTGAGGAGAAATTTAAGCCAGCTGCAGAAATTTGCATAAGTTAATGAGGAGCCAAATGTTAATTGTCAAGACAATGGAGAAAATGTCCCCAGGTCATGTCAAATGTCTTCACAGCAGCCCCTCCCATTACAGGCCTGGAGGCCTAGGAGGAAAAAATGGTTCTGTGGGCCAGGCCCAGGGCCTTGCTGCTTTGTGCAGTCTCAGGAATTGGCGACCTGCATCCCAGCCATGGCTAAAAGGGGCCAACTTACAACTCAGGCTGTTGCTTCAGAGGGTGCCAGCCCCAAGTCTTGGTGGCTCACACCTGGTGTTGGGCCTGTGGGTACACAGAAGTCAAGAATTGAGGTTTGGGAACCTCCATCTAGATTTCAGAGGATGTATGGAAACACCTTGGCATCCAAGCAGAAATTGCTGCAGGAGTAGAGCCCTCATGGAGGACCTCTGCTAGGGCAGTGTGGAAGGGAAATATGGAGTGGGAGCCCCTATACAGAGTCCCCACTGGGGCACTGCCTAGTGGAGCTGTGAGAAGAGGGCCATCGTCCTCCAGACCCCAGAATGGCAGATCCACCAATAGTTTCTACCATGCACCTGGAAAAGCCGCAGACACTTAATGCAAGCCCGTGAAAGCAGCCACGGGGGCTGTATCTTGCAGAGCCACAGAGGGGAGCTGCCCAAGGCTGTGGGAGCCCACCTCTTGCATCAGTGTGGCCTGGATGTGAGACACAGAATCAAAGGAGATCATTTTGCATCTTTAATATTGAGTGCCCTATTGGATTTTGGAATTGCATGGGGCCTATAGCCTCTTCCTTTTGGCCAGTTTCTCTCATTTGGAATGGGTGTATTTACCCAATGGCTGTACTTCCATTGTATCTAGGAAATAACTAACTTGCTTTTGATTTTACAGGCTCATGGGCAGAAGGGACTTGCCTTGTCTCAGATGAGACTTTGGACTTGGACTTTTGGGTCAATGCTGGGATGAATTAAGACTTTGGGGGACTGTTGGGAAGGCATGATTGGTTTTGAAAGGTGAAAGGGACATAGATTTGGGAGGGACCAGGGTGGAATGATATGGTTAGGCTTTGTGTCCCCACCCAAATCTCATCTTGAATTGTAATCCCTATAATCCCCACATGTCAAGGGAGAAAACAGGTGGAGGTAATTGGATCATGAAGTTTCCCCCATGCTGTTCTCATGATAGTGAGTGAGTTCTCATAAGATCTGATGGTTTTATAAGGGTCTCTTTCCCCTTTACTTGACATTTCTCCTTTCTGCTGCCTTGGGAAGAAAGTGCCTTGTTTCCCCTTCACCTTTCACCAAAATTATAAGTTTCCTGAGGTCTCCCCTGCTATGCTGAATTGTGAGTCAATTAAACTTCTTTTCTTTATAAATTACTCAGTCTTGGATATTTCTTTATAGCAGTGTGAAAATGGACTAATACACCTGTCTTTTGGATATAAGCCATTTTAACAGGAGTGAGATGATATCTTATTGTAGTCTTACTTTGCATTTCTCTGATGATCAGTGATGGTGAACACCTTTTTACATGCCTATTTGCCATTTGTATGTCTTCATTTGAGAAATATCTATTCAGATCTTTGGCCCATTTTTAATGGATTATTAGATTTTTTCCTATTGAGTTGTTTGAGCTCTTATACATTCTGGTTATTAATCCCTTATGAGATGGGTAGTTTGCAAATATTTTCTCCCATTCTGTGGGTTGTCTCTTCACTTTGTTGATTGTTTCCTTTGCTGTGAAGAAGCTTTTTAAGTTGATGTGATCCCATTTGTCCATTTTTGCTTTGGTTGCCCATGCTTGTGGGGTATTACTCAAGAAATCTTTGCCCAGAACAATGTCCTGGAGATTTTCCCCAATTTTTTACTGTAGTAGTTTCATGGGCTGAGATTTTAGATTTAAGTCTTTAATCCATTTTGACTTTTGTATATGGTGAGAGATAGAAGCCTAGTTTCATTCTCCTACAAATGGATATCCAGTTTTCCCAGCATCATTTATTGAAGAGACTTTTTCCTCAGTTTATATTCTTGACATCTTTGTCAAAAATGAGTTTGCTGTGGATGTATACATTTGTTTCTGGGTTCTCTATTATTTTCCATTGGTCTATATGTCTGCTTATATGTCAGTACCATGCTGTTTTGCTAACTATAGTTCTGTATTATAATTTAAAATCAGGTAATGTGATTCCTCCAGTTTTGATCTCTTTGTTCAGAATGGCTTTGGCTACTCCAGGTCTTTTGTGGTTCATGAATATGAATTTTAGGATTATTTTTTCTATTTCTGTGAAGAATGTCATTGATATTTTGATAGAGATTGCATTGAATCTGTAGATTGCTTTGTGTAGTATGGACATTTTTGCAATATTGATTCTTCCAATTCATGAACATGGTATTTCTTTTCTTTTTGGTGTCCAATTTCTTTCATCAATGTTTTATATATTACTATAGAGAACGTTTAGTTCTTTGTTGAAGTTTATTTGTAGGTATCTTATTTTATTTGTGGCTAATGTAAATAGGATTACTTTTTTGATTTCTTTTTCAGATTGCTCACTGTTGGCACATAGAAATGCTGCTGATTTTTGTATGTTGATTTCACATCCTGTAACTTTACTGAATTTGTTTACAAATTCTGAGAGTTTTTTGGTGGAGTCTTCAGTTTTTTCCAAATATAAGATCATGTCATTTGCAAACAAGGATAATTTGACTTCTTCCTTTCCTATTTGGATGCCCATTATTTCTTTCTCTTGTCTGATTTCTCTAGCTAGGACTTCTAGTACTATGTTGAGTAACAGTTTTGAAAGTGGACATCCTGGCCTCATTCCAGGTATTAAAGGAAAGGCTTTCAGTTTTTTCCCATTCAGTATGATATTAGCTGTGGTTCTGTTGTATATGGCTTTTATTGCATTGAAGTATGTTCCTTCTATACTTAGTTTTTTGAGGGCGTATATCATGAAGGGATGTCGAATTTCTTCAAATGCTTTTTCAGCATCAGTTGAAATTATAATATGGTTTTGCCCTTCATTCTGTGGATATGATGTATCATATCAATTGCTTTGCATATGCTGAGCCATCCTTGCATTTCTGGGATAAATCTCACTTGGCCATGATGAATAATTTTTTTTAAACGTTTTGTGAAATTTAGTTTGCTTGTATTTGTTGAGGATTTTTGTATCAATGTTCATCAGGGATATTGGTCTGCATTTTTTTGATGTGTATTTGTCTGGTTTTGGTATCAGGGTAAGACCGGCCTTGTAGAATCAGTTTGGAAGTATTTTCTACTATTCCATTTTTCAGAAGACTTTGAGTAGGATTGGTATTAGTTTTTCTTCAAATGTTTGGTAGAATTCAGCAGTGAGGCCATTGGATCCTGGGTTTTTCTTTACTGTGAGACTTTGTATTATTATGGCTTTGATCTCATTACTTGTTATTGGTCTGTTCAAGTTTTGGATTTCTTCATGTTTAAATCCTGGAGCTGCTAGCTATGTTGCCTGGGGTTGGGGGAGGAATGGTGCAAGCACTCCCTTGGTTGCCCCAGCTGGTGTCTCACTGGGCTGTGTGCACCACAAGTCCACTGGCTCTGAGCCCAGCACAGCATCAGAACTTTCCCAGGAATTGCAGTCCGTGTGGCCTACATGGCCTTTGAAGTTTATTTAGGACCACAGAGCGCTTTAGTCCATAGTAGTGGGGCTAGCCAGAACTCGGTTTTGACAGCTAGGATGGACAAATCCCCTCTAGCATGGGCTGGTCTAAATGCCCCCTCTGTGGAAGCCTGCTGAATTCTGCCATGTGTTGCTTTCCACTGTGTCAGGAAAGCACTGAGTTCCAATGCAAACTCCCACAATTGCTGTGCTGTCCCTCCCCCAAGCAGACAGATTCTCTCTCTGCACCTTGTGGCCAGTTCTGTCGGGGGTAAGGGAGTAGTGATGTAGACAATTCAAGACTGTCTCTCCTACCCTCTTCAGGGCCTCTTTCCTTAATATGATGTTCAAACCAGGTATTATAATTGCTCACCGGATTTTTGGTTCTTATGAAGGTGCTTTCTTGTGTGGATAGTTGTTCAATTTGGTGTTCCTGTGGGGGTGTGGTGATCTCTGGAGGGTTCTATTTGGCCATCTCACTCTGCCTCCTCTCTCCTGTTTTATTTATTTGCTTTAGGAGACCCAAAGTGACTTCTTTTGCATTGGAAAAGATTGCACATGTGCATGTGGCTGGTTTGATGACTTGCTGGGGATAAGGTTGGGAACTGTGCTTCTGGTGTCATGCTTGAGCCTCCACAGTCCTCAGGTGTTCTTTTTGAAGGAAGAGATCTGGCAGTCACCCAGAGACCGGGCCCTGAATCCCTGCTGGCCTCTGCTCGAAGCCGTGCTGTCCTCCATCAATGTGTTGTCCTGTAGAACATACTGAATGCTGGCATGGATGTAAGGTGGCAGGAAGGCTCATATGTTGCTGATGGCAGGGTCAAATGGCACCACCACTTTGGAAATCAGTTTGGCAGTATCCGTGGAAGCTGAGCATATGCCTACTGGATGACCCAGCCGTCCTGCCCCTGGTATGTTCCTAACATAAATATGTCCACACATTCACCAAAAGTCATGAACACTACTCATCATATGTAGATGTCCCCAAATCCTGAAATGGATAGACGCATTTTGTAATATTTATGAAATGGAATACTACACAGCAATGAGACTGAACTACAACTCTGAATGATGATATGGATGAATCTCTTAAACATAATGTTGAGCCAAAAAAGCCAGACACAGAAAGAATACATACTGCATGATTCCCCTTATATAAAGTACAAAAACAGGCAAAACAGAATCTCTGAGACAAGTTAGGACAAGGGTCACTCTCAGAGGAGACTAGTGACTGGAAAGGGGCAAAAGGGGAGGCTTTTGGGATGCTGGTGATGTTCTTTTACTTAATCTGAGTGTTGGTTACCTGGGCGTGTTCAGTTTCTGAAAATTCACTGAGCTGTAAAGTTATGATGTGTGCACTTTTCTGTATGCGTATCAGACTTCAAAAAGGTTTTGAAAAGAGAACGCAGGTAACTTTTTCACATTCTGCAAACTGGGCATTGAACATACGGAGTTATTAATCCAGACTTTGTATTCTAATTTTGTAAGTGGTTGTTTTTATATGTTTATGTCTTGTTTCTCTGATTAAATTTTAAGCTCTTTGACGGGGATGACTGTGTCTTATTTTTCTTTGTATTCCCACAGTAGAGGAACAGTGTGCGTGCCCCTTAAATATTTGTTCATTTATCAGGAGGAAAAGTAGTCTTGCCTAGTTACTTCATGGAAGGGTATGGTTTTCATGCCCAATTGTAGCAGAATCTTTTAATAATTATGTTCCTTAATTTAAGACAGTCTTGGAATAGGCTGGCTATTTTGAGCTCTTAACCTTGTGTTTTAGACAATCTGATATGCCAAATGCTTTGACTAAATTCTCCTGAGGTAAAGTGCCAGCTTTGGAATATATTTTCTGAGAAGCCAACTTTGAGTGCTGGCAGAATGGAGTGGCTGACTGCCAGCCGGGGGCGGGAAAACTTGCTCTGAACTTTGGTTGACTACCTCATTAACTTTACTATGCCATGGATGAACTCTCTCCGGCTCTCCAGGGCCTGGGGAGAGAGAGGGAGTGAGGGAGTGAGGGAGTTAGGAGTGAGGGAGTGAGGGAGTTAGGAGGGAGGGAGGGAGGGAGGGAGAGAGAAAGAGAGGGAGAAGCTTATTTGAGGAGCAACTCCAGGGCTTAAGCCACAGTGGAAAATGGTGCTGGCTTAAGACACTGTTGGTGAAATGAGTCAGCATGTCAGCTTAGCCATAGGACAAAGTCTCCACAAGTGAGCTATAATTGGAGAGAAAATTTACATGAAACTGAAAGTAAGCACTCATCCTCCCCCTTAAAGTAAAAACAGGCCTCAGTGGAAAAATTTTATACCATAAATAATGCACATGGAGTTATACTTGTAAAACCATGGGACCTATAGGTAGGAATTTTTAAAAATCTAGTTTTCTCCTTTTCTTTTTCTTTTGAGACTTTGCTCTGAAAATAAAAATGGTTGATTGTTTTTAAAGTGACATGTGAAAGAACTTTTTAGACCCTAGGTTACTAAATGTTTGTGCTGAAGAAAAATGTAAACAAATACATATTTTTCTGCAACCTGTAATTCTTTTAACTGATTTCAATTTGAGATGCTATTGAAAGTCTAGTATTATACTTTTCCACTTGGAAACTCAGAGCTAACTCTGTCTGCTTTTGTAATCAGCTTGTAGGAGCAGCAGAAAAAACAGAAGAATGTTGTTTAAAGTGATTCTGCAGAATGCTGCACTGATTTCTTAGTTTTATGGACATCACTTTTGGTGCACGCTTACCTCACAATTTAGTATTTCTTTTTCTTGAAAACACACAGACACACAGACACACAGACACACAGACACACAGACACACACACACACACACACACACACACACATACACACCCCTTCAAGGCAGAATCAGTGTCAGCAAAAATTCAGTTGAAATTGAACTTCTATTTTCTGGGATCTAGGGAAATTCGTAGAGTGCCCCAATCTTGAACAAACTTCTAGGAGTCCAGAATATTCTAGAAGGCATTACAGAAGGCAGAAGTGACCTGCAAGTGTAGCAAGAGTTAACCTGCAAGTGTGTGCGCTAATTGACACTGCCTTCCTAGTCTTCCACACCCAGAAAGTGCTTGACAGTTACTAGGCCAAGGCCTCACTACTAACTGAAGGTAACTGCTCCTGCATTTAAGAAAAGGGGAACATCAGCTAATTTGGAAACACTTATGAACTCACACTGACTTATTCTTTTTAGGTATAGGAGAGATTTTAATTGATTCTTGAACATCTCTTTCCTGAAACTTTCAAAGCTTACCAGACTTGTGCCCTGATGTGTAGTTTTGGGTCCTATTATTATTCAGAGCCATATATATAAGGAGCTGTAATTTTGAAAACCATCTTTCAAGAGAGCCTACTGTCACCTCTATAGTCTCAAATGCTAATGAATGGGGCAGTTGCGTGTGCTGAGGAATAGTTATTTACAAAGCTTCATACAAATAAAGCTAAGATGTGACAAAGTCATCAATTTAAACAGCTTAGGATTCCGAATGTTCAACAATTACTAATGAACTTCTGGGATTGTGGATTTCATAGCAGGTGAAAAACTGAGATGAAAGACTAAATTTCAGTGTGAGAGTAGTGGCAGGTTTTCCTTTATCTTTAGGAACTTTTGAGATAGGGTGTAGGGACAGAGCATTTCTGTACTTATCAGCGTAAAGAACTTGAAGGAACAAGATGCCTGGTGCACCTGGCACAGAGGCCTGTATGGAACAATGGAGAGTCTTTACTGGTGTCATGCCTGTCTTCAACTCCCTACCTCACACCTTCAGAAGGAAGGTACTGATCCTGGGTTCCTTTGTGCTTTCTCTCTGTTTTGGTTTCCTACCATCCCTCCCTTCTAAACCTCCACTCTTCTTGCTCCTCAGTCCTTACCTGTTTTCAAACTTACCTACTTCTCCTGCATTATTCCAACAGAGTATTCAAGCATGCAGCAGCTTCAGAGTTATTTAGAGAGCTTTGCCATCTAGTTTCCTTGATTATGCAATCTGAAGTCACAGAAATGTCTCCAAAAATAACTATCTTCAAAGCTGGATGGGTTTCCCATGCTACTTTTAAGATTTAGATGAGATTGACACCCATTCCATGCCATAAGGATACCCAGAGTAAGTAATCTTCAAGATCCTAGGGGCTTCAGGATTGCTATGAACCAGTGAATGCTATGTATTTTTTAGTCTTCCTTTTCCTGAATGGGAATGTCTATTATGGTCATCCTGTCTCATTTCACCCATGTATGGCATTAATTCTGAGGTATGCTAATTAGGGCAGGGATCAACACATTTTTTTTTTTCTGTAAAGGGCCACATAGTAAGTATTTTAGGCTTTGTGGCCCAAATGGTCTCTGTCATAACCACTCAATCTGCCATTGTAGAATGAAAGCAATCATAGGCAACAAATAATGGGTAATGCCGTGTTTCAATAAAACTCTCTTTACAAAACTAGGTGAGATGCTGGATTTGTCCTGCAGGCTGTAGTTTGCTGACACCCACACATTATTTTTTCTTTCTGACACTGCTATTTTCAGGATTTCGTCACTTTAATCCTCCATATTACTTAGTTTTTATTTTATATATTTTTTCTTATCTTTTCCTGTTGTCTTATGGAAACATACTTCAATCTGATCTCTAGCTTGGTAATTTGGTCATTAGCTATGTCCATCCTGCTATATATCCTAGCTGTTAAGACTTTTATTGCTATGATTTTTTTTATAATTAACATTTTCACTTGGCTCTTTTTAAAGTCTTTTTACTGCTTCATCATTCAAATAACTTTCCTTATCTATTTGAGGATATTTAATATGCCATCTATTCCAGTGACTGCTCCATGTGGTATACATTGTTTAATTTGCTGTTTTTCTTTTGTAGCTGTTGTATGAATCAGGGATAAAATTATTTTGTCCAGCATGGCCATATTCCTTGGGTACCAGCTACTCTCTCTAGTGATGGATATTAGGAGTGGATGAAACCTAGACTCTAGTTGTTTATAGCCCTCATGATAATTTTAAGGAGAGAAGAGTGGATGAACTCAAGTATGGAATGGCTCAGAAACCACAGAACCATTTGTTACCACTCCACAAGGCAATACTTCTAATCCTTCTAAATCCTTTCTTTAAATATTTAAAGAAGGACACATTAGGAGGTGGTACTCTCCTTAAACTGCAGTCTACCAGCTCTGGGAACTTAAAGAGGAAGAAAGGAGGAGTGATTATCTGGGTAGCTCTCACCAATCCATACCTGTGTTGTTGTTGTTTTTTAAATCAAATTCTTACTGCAAGGATACTTTTGTGCTACTTTAAGAGAGGCCCATTGATATTGGCATTCTAGGCTGTTGTCACCTTTTCTGTGTGTGGGAGCTGATTATATTGGGAGAATGTGGAGAAAGGGTAAGAGGAGAACCTCAAGGGTCTCCCCCAGCATATCGAATCCCTACTGTTTGCCTGCCTGCTACGCCACACTTCCGCCCTTTCTAGATGTACAAATTCATGACTGCCTATGGCCTCCCAAGGCAGTCTGTGGAAATTTTTGTTAGTTCCTTGGTTCTATCCTTTCTTCTCACTTGTTAAATTCCTCCCTGGTTGACTTTGGTAGAGGGGAGCTGGCAGCTTGTGTTAGTTCTTCACCTTGCCAAGAATGAAAAACTTTCTGAAGCTACGCATAGTTTTATATTCACCTCAAGACCTGTCTTGGCCAACTAATCAATTAAAAAATGTGTGACAGCTACAAATAATTAAACAAATAAAACAAATTAAACAAATAAAACATAAGGGTACAGAAAGGTTGAAAATGAAAAAGATGAAAGGATATACCAAGTAGATATCAACCAACAGAATCTGGGACAGTAGTCTTAATATCTGATAAAATAGAAGGTGTTTGTATACAAACGAAAGTTATAATACACAATCAGAAGGAAAAAACAATTGTGAATGTGTATGTATCTAACAATATAACCTCAAAATGTATAAAGCAACTACTCACAGTGTCATAGGTAAAAACAAAATTTTCAACAATTATTTATTTGGGCATTTAAACAGACTTTTTAAAATTAATAAGTTAAGCAATAAAAAACAAATAGACATGGGAAGTCTGAATATACGAATGAATTATCTTCAGCCATTAGATATTAACTAAGTTCAACACATCCCTTTTGAACATATTTTCAAAAATTGATGATGTAATAGGCCACAAAGGAACTTTCAATAAATTCCAAAGTATCAGTATTAAACACCTATGTTCTCCTACTATAATGTAATAAAATTAGAACATAAAATAAAAGAATTGCTAAAAAATCTGGTGAGGCTGGGAACTGAATAGTATAATACTAAAAACCGTTTTGGTTAATAAGTAAAGCATTAAAATGAAATTCAAGAAAATTATAATGAAAACACTACTTGTCAAATTTTGTGGGACACAGAACAACGTCCTCAATTAGGGAGAAATTTATAGCTATTAATGCATTTATCAAGAAACAAGAAATGTTGAAATGAAATGAACTACACTTTCAAGTCAAGAAGTTTTAAAACTACAGGTAAAATAGAGACTAAAAATAATAAAATATAAAAATAATAAAAGAGCAAGATGAATGTATTAGTTAGGGTTCTCTAGAAGGACAGGACTAATAGGATAGATATATATATATGAAAGGGAATTTATTAAGTAGTATTGACTCACATGATCACAAAATAAAGTCCCACAATAGGCTGTCAGCAAGCTGAGGAACAAGGAAGCCAGTCTGAATCCCAAAACCTCAAAAGTAGGGAAGCTGACAGTCGCCTTTGGTCTGTGGCCGAAGGCCTGAGAGCCCCTGGCAAACCATTGAAAAGTTATTCAGCTTTTGGACTCTTGGTGTAAGTCCAAGAGTCCAAAAGCTGAAGAACTTGGAGTCTGATGTTCGAGGGCAGAAAGCATTCAGCATGGGAGAAAGATGAAGGCTGGAAGACTCAGTCAGTCTAGTCCTTCCATGTTCCTCTGCCTGCTTTTGTTCTAGCCACGCTAGCACCTGACTAGATGGTGCCCACCTAGACTGAGGGTGGGTCTGCCTCTCCTAGTCCACTGACTCAAATGTTAATCTCCTTTGGCAACATCCTCACAGACACACCCAAGAACAATACTTTCCATCCTTCAATCCAATCAAGTTGACACTCAATATTAACCATCACAATGAATAACATTAAGCAATTACATTTGAAAATCAGATGAGTATTTTCTGGAAAAAATATTTTAAATGCTAAAATCCACTTAAGAAGTTGGTGAAAAGTTTGTACCCTTTAACCAACATTCTCCCCTTCCCCCACACCCAGCCCCTGGCAAACATTGTTCTATTCTCTATTTCTATGAGTTTAACTTTTCCAGATTCCACATATGAGTAAGATTATGCAGTATTTCTCTGTGTATGACTTATTTCACTTAACATAATGTCCTCCAGGTTCATCCATGTTGTCACAAATGGGACAAAGTTTCAGTTGTGCAGGATGAATTAGTTCTGGAGCTCTAATATACAGCACAGTGACAATAGTTAATAATGCTGTGTTATATACTTGAAATTTGCTAAGAGAGGAGATCTCAAATGTTCTCACCAAAAATAAAAACAATTCCTATTTTCCCACAAGCTTGATGTGATCCACCTTTCTAATGCTTGCTAACCTTAGATAGGTGCAAAATGATATGCCTTGCTTTAGTTTGCATTTCTCTAATTACTAATGACTAAGAGTACATCCTCATATACTGGATATAGTCTTTTTTTTCCTCTTCTGTGAATTGTTATTTCTTTTCCTTTTGCCTATTTTTCTACTGTAGTAGTTTTTTCTTATTTATTTGCAGGAGTTTTATTTTCTCCCAGTCTATCAGCTGACTGTTTACTTTGTCCATATTTTCCCCATTGAACAGAAATCCTCAGTTTTTATATAATCAAATTCATCTTTTTGTTTTGGAGTTTAATTTAAGATGTCCCATAAATAAGTGGGGTGATGGATAGGTTAATTAACTTGATTGAGGGAATCATTTCACAATGTAAAGGTCTATCAAATCATCACATTGCACACATGAAATATATACAATGTTTATTTGTCAATCACACCTCAATAAAAACAGAAGGTGAAAAAGAGCAGGAAGCATTAAAACAATTTTATACAATTAAAAACTCCCTTATCCTTTCTAGGATCATATGTTTTTATGCATACTTTCTATCAAACTTTAAAGGAATAATTTGTATCTTAGATAAATTATACTGAAAGATAGAAAATAGTCCACTTCACATTATGAGGCTAAACTCTGGTTTCCAAAACTGGACATAGACAACTCAGGAAAAGAAAAATGATTCACAGGCCTATCTCACTTATGAATGTAGATGCCAAAATCCTAAAAGAGGAAAAGAATATATTCTCTCAGTTGATGCAGAAAATGTATTTCATAATGCAAAATCTTTTTATGTTGTAAGTCTTCACAAACTAGGAGTAAAAAGGGATTTTCCTTATTGTGGGAAAGGTTATATACCGAATTCTTGCAGCAAACATTGCATTTGATTGAGAAACCTTGGAGAAACTTTTAAGATCAGGAATGAGGGAAAGATACCTCCATCACAGCTACTGTTGAATACAGTGCTGGGACTCCAAGACAAAGTTATGAGAAAGAAAAACAAAATTAGATTATAAAAATTGGAACATTAAGTGATAAAACTATCATTATATGTAGATTGTATAAATATCTACCTAGAAAAACCAATAGGATCAAGAAATGAGTTTGCCAAACATAAGATCAACTTACAAAATCAATAGTATTAATTTCTCTACACTAGCAACAACTGCCTATAAATAATTTTTGTAAAAGAGATACCAGTTATAATAGTAAAACAAAACCTAAAAATGAAAATTAAAACAACAACAACAACAACAACAACAAGACAGCACAATAAACCAACAAACAAACCAAAACCCCTGTAAAGCTGGGGTTGATAAACTATGGCCAATCAGCCAAATTCTGCCAACCACTTGTTTTTGTAAGTAAGGTTTTATTGGAGCCCAGACACACCTGTTACACATTGTCTGTGGCAGCTTTCATGCAACAGTAAGTGAATTGAGTAGTTTTAACAGAAACTGTATGGCCCACAAAGCCTCAAATATTTGTTATCTGGTCCTTTACAGAAAAAGTGTGCTGATCCTGCTCTGAGGTACCTAGGAATCAACATAACCAAAAATATGCAACACCTCCATGAAAAAATCTTAAAGCTCTATCTCTATTTAAGAAAAGGAAAGAAAATCCAAATAGTTGTGGAGACATTCTTTCCTCTTAGAAAATATTTTATGTGTTTTCTATGGCTGTTTTCAGGCAACCATGGAAGAGTTTAGTAGTTTTAACAGAAACTCTATGGTTTCTGTATGATAGAAAATAATTGTTTAATGAGAACACATGGACACAGGGAGGGGAACATCACATACCGGGGCCTGTTCAGGGGGTGGGGGGCAAGGGGAGGGAGAGCATTAGGACAAATACCTAATGCATGTGGGGCTTAAAACCTAGATGATGGGTTGATAGGTGCAGCGAACCACCATGGCACATGTGTACCTATGTAACAAACCTGCACATTCTGCACATATATCCCGGAACTTAAAGAAAAAAAAAAAGAAAAGAATTGTTTATATTCACTAATTACGAAATGTAACAAAAATCTAGAGTGCATCTAGATTTTTGAGACACTCAATAACTTTACTTTAAAATTAATATGAAATAAAATTCTGCAAATAGCTATATCACCTTTGGAAAAGAAGAACAAAGAGGGGAGTTATCCACTGAGATATTAAGACTTACTGCAAAGCCATAGCAAGAAAAATATGTCGTGGTACTGGCACAAGAAGAAATAGACCCATGGAATGGAACAGAGAACTCAGAGAGAGCACTTGTATATGTGGGAATTTAATATGATAAAAATAACACCAGAAATCAATGGGAAAAGGATGGGCTGTTTAGCAGATGGTATTAAGAACACTAACTCACTAAATGAAGAAAAATAAAATGGGGACCCTACTTAATACCATGTTCAAAGTGGACTCCAGACGCATGAAAGATGTGAATGTGAAAGATAAAGCTATAAAGTTAATAGAAGATAACGCTGGAGATTTCTGTGTGGCTAAAAGGAATGGGACATCTTAAATTCAACTCCAAAACAAACAAAAAGATGAATTTGATTATATAAAAACTAAGGATTTCTGTTCAATGGGGAAAATATGGACAAAGTAAACAGTCAGTTGATAGACTGGGAGAAAATAAAACTCCTGCAAATAAATAAGAAAAAACTACTACAGTAGAAAAACAGGCAAAAGAAAAAGAAATAACAATTCACAGAAGAGGAAAAAAAAGACTATATCCAGTATATGAGGATACACTCTTAGTCATTAGTAATCAGAGAAATGCAAACTAAAGCCAGGCATATCATTTTGCACCTATCTAAGGTTAGCAAGCATTAGAAAGGTGGATCACATCAAGCTTGTGGGAAAATAGGAATTATTATACGTTGCTGAAGGGAATGTGGAGTGTAGACTTGTGACCATTCTAGTGAACAATCTGGCAACATTTAGCTAGATTGTAAATTAATAATCTGTATACATTGTATCTCAGCAATTCCATTTCTAGTTAGGTATCCCAGAGACATTCTCATAGAGGTCTGTGGGGTAATAGTGGAAGATGCCCATCACAACATTATTTGTACTAGTAGGCGGAGGGGGCATCCAGATGTGCAGCACCAGGGACTGAGTAAGTAAAATGTCAGGGGTGCAACTCATGGAATACTGTGCAGTGATTGTAAGTGTCTGACTAGTTGTACACAGTCACACAGATATCTTGAAAATATAGTGTTGAGTGGGAAAAAATTAAGGAGGGAATATGAATGAGCATGGACACTAAGACTAAAGGAATAAAAAAATCACAAGAGCTGGGCTTTGCATGGACCAATGATGACAGCATGCCATGAACACAGGAATATAATTAACTCAATCCTCCCCCACCAATGTCCTTAGCTGAATGCCTACTGACAACTTCTCTCAGCCCCACTGCCTCTGACTTTTTTCCTCTGCTGAGCTTCTATGGGAAAATTCTCCTTGAAAGGTCTGTGCTTTTGCTGGGATTGGAAAGGGTTATAATTTCCTAGGCTTCTCAGCTCTTTTGGGTATCACCGTCAGTCTGATCCAATTGAATTTATAGCTACCAGATATTTCTTTCTTTTTGGATCTATTGCTGACACCCATCGCTGACTCCCAACAGACTGTGGAATGATTATTTTGATATTTCTTCTTCAGTGGTTTTTGTAAGGAGAGGTAAATGTCTGTGTTCACTCACTCAATTATCTTGAATCAGAAGTCTGAAAGATTTATTATTTACTTTTTAATTTTGTGCTTCAACACTCCTAATCTAAATTTCAAACCCAGGGTTGTTGAAATAGCTTTCTTAAATACTTTAAGCCTCACTTCTGAGAAAATTGCTTTAAACTCAGAACTCCAACAAGTTTAGACAGATCGACTATTTGTGAGTTTTCACTATGCCCTCATGGTTAACATCCTAGGTGCAAATTTGGGAACCTAAGCTATCTTTAAAATGTTTCAGTACTTGAAGTGAAGTTAAATTCATAAATCAATAAAGAAAAAATGCACAGTAACTGTGATTTATTTATGCATAGATGCTAATTTTGACACATCTTATACTTTTTTTAATTTCAAGAATTTTCTGCATTTGATTATTTTAATCTTATTGCTACTGTGCTTGTAAATTTAGTTTTTATAAACTAACTTTTAAATTAAAATATAACATTTTAAAAGGTGCACAAATTATAAGTACACAGCTCAATGAATTTTTAGAGTAAACAGACACGTACAATCACCAACTAGGTCAAGAAATAGAACTTTACTAACACCCTAGAAGAATGGAATCAAGTAATACATGTTCTTTTGTGTCTGGTTTCTTTCATTCAACATTATGTTTGTGAGATTCATCCATGTCACTGTGTGTAGGTGTAGCTAATTAGTTTTCTCTTGCTATATAGAATTTCACTATAAGCAATGTGCTGTAATTTGTCTATCCTTATAACATTAATGAATATTTGGGTTATTTCTAGTGTTTTGTTATTAAAAAATGTGCCATTATAAATATTATTCTGTACTTTTAAAATTAATATTATTTTTAATTGGCAAATTATAACTGTACACATTTATGGAGTAATATATACAATGTAGAATGATTAAATCAAGTTAATTAACATATCCATTACTTCACTAACTTATTTTTTGTGGTGAGACTTTTCAAACATACTCTTTTAGCTACTGTGAAATATATGGCTCATTATTATTGTCTATAGTCACCCCACTGTGCCATAGATCTAAAACTTATTCCTCCTGTCTAACTTAAACTTTGTACCCTTTGAGCAACAATTCCCCATTCCCTCTCTACCCCAACCCCTCTCACCCCCAGCCTCTGATAACCACCATTCTACTTTGTACTTCTATGAGTTAGACTTTTAAAATATTCTTGACATGTCTTCTGGTGCACATATGTACTCACTTCTGTTGGTTATGTACCCAAGAGTGGAATTTATGGGTTATAGAGAATGCATATGTTCAGTTTTAGTAGATGTAGTTTCCCAAAGGGATTGTATCAATTTACAGTCTCACTAGCAGTGTATGAGCAGTTCAGTTTCTCCATATCCATGCCAATACTTGATATTGTTAGTCATTTTATTGAGTGTTTTGTTGTATCCCATTGTGGTTTTAATTTGCATTTTCTGTTGACTAATACAATTGAGTACACTTTTACATTTTTATGTTAATTATTTGACTATATACTTTTTTGAAATGAGTATTCAAGTCATTTGGTCCATATTTTCCATTATATTTTTTTCTCTTATGAATTTGTAGAAATCTCTTTCTTTTCTTCTCTCACTTTCTTTCTTGTTTTTTTTTTTTTTTGTCTTCTAAAAATATGCTTTGGGTATTAATCCTTTGCCATTTGTATGTGTTGAAAAATATTTTCTCCTGGTGTGTGGATTTCTTTTCACTCTTTTAATGACGTAGAAATTCTTAATTTTAATGTAGTTCATTGTATGGGTAGTGGTTTTTTTGGTTATGTTTAAGAAATTTTTTTCTATTCCAATGTCATGAAGATATTTTTCTATGTTACTTTCTGGAAGGTTTATTGTTTTATCTTTCACATTTAAAATTACAATCCATTTGAAATTGTCTTGTTTTGTGTGAGGTAAGAGTCAAGTTTTTCCCTCCCTCTCTCTCTCCATCCTTTTTTCCCTTCCTTTCCCCCTTCCCTTCTCCTTCCCCTTCCCTTCTCCTTCCCCTTCCCTTCTCCTTTCCTTCCCTTCTCCTTCTCCTTCCCTTCTCCTTTCCTTCCCTTCTCCTTCTCCTTCCCTTGTCCTTCTCCTTCCCTTCCCTTTCCCTTCCTTCCCCTCCTTTCCTCTTCCCCTTTCTTCCCTTCTCCTTCCCTTCTATTTCTCTTCCTTCCCCTTCCCTTCCTCTTCCCCTTTCTTCCCTTCCGTTTCCCTCCCTTCCTTCCCTCCCTCACTTTTCCTCCTTTTTTCCTTCCCTTCCCCTTCCTTTTTCTCTTCCCTTCCCTTTCTCTTTTCCTCTCCTCCCTCCCTCCCTCCCTTCCTTCCTTCCTTCCTTCCTTCCTTCCCTTTTCTTCCTTCTTCCTCCCCTTTCTTAATTTGGATATTCTGTTGACCTGGAATCATTTATAAGAATACTATTCCATCCCCATTTCTTTGCATGTAGCTTTGTCATAAATGAAGATGTGTGAGTCTATTATGCCCATTAGCTTTTTTTGTCCATACTTGTATATAGCAAACTGTCATAATTGCTGTAACTTTATGATACATCTTGACATTCATTAGCATATATTTTTCCATTTTGTTCTTCTTTAACATTGTCTTGTCTATTGTTAGCCCTTTGTATTTCTATATAATTTTATAATTTTCTTGTCAATTTCTACAATAAGTCCTATTGGAATTTTGGATTGGAATTGCATTGAACTATAGTTTAATTTGTTAGGAGATTGATATTTTTATAATATTGACTCTTTCAATCCTTGAATATAATTTATCTTCCACTTATTTAGCTCTCCCTTAATTTCCCTGGGAAAAATGTTGTAGTTTTCTATGTAGAAGGCTTGCACATCTATTATATTTATTTCTAGTCATTTGATGCTATTGTGAATCATATCTTTTAATATTTCATTTTCTTATTGCTTATTGTTGGAAATAATATTAGCTATTGTACATGAATCTTGTATCCAGTGACTTGCTAAATTCAGTTATTAAATCTAATATTTTCATTTATAGATGTTTTTGTTTTTTTTCTAGATACAGGGTCATCTTCTCTTCAATTAAGTACAGTTTTGTCACTTCCTTTACAATTCTAATTTTATTTTTTCTTGCCTTCTTGCACTGGCTAAGATTTCTAGTACAAAGCTGAATTGAAACAGTAACAGCAAGAAACTTTATCTTGTTCCTAATCCTATGGGAAACTTTCAATATTTATTAAGAATGATATGTTTGGCAAGCTTTTGGTAGTTACATTAATAGGATTAATCAAGGTCTCTTATATTTCTTGTTTGCTCAGTTTTGTTTTGTCTTTTAATCATGTGGAAAGTTTGCATTTTTTCAAATGCTTTTTTAGTGTGCATCATTTGAGATGATTGTATGATTTTTTTTTCCTTTTTCTGCTAATGTGGTAAATTATATGGACTGATTTTTTAATATTAATACAACTTTGCATTCCTGGAATAAATACAACATTTCATCATATACAATCCTTTGTACATGCTGCTTGATTTATTTTGTTATAATTTTATTTAGAATTGTTGCATTTATCTATAGAAGATAGATTAAACTACCATTTTTCCCTTAAAGAAAGTCCTCATCAGGTGCTATGGTTTGAATGTGTGTTTCCCTCCAAATTCATACGTTGGAACCTAATACCCAATGTGCCTTTTGGGAAGTAATTAAATCATGTGTGCTCCACCCTCATGAATGGGATTAATACTCTTATAAAAGGGCTTGAAAGAGCAAGTTTGGTCCTTTTATTTCCACCATGTGAGGTTGAAGTAGGAGCCATTTTAGAAGGAGAGAACATCCTCTATCAGTCACTACATTTGCTGATGGCTTTCTTGGACTTCCCAGCTTCCAGAACCATGAAATAAATTTCTGTGCTTTACAAATTACCTAGTTAGTCTCAGGTATTTTGTTATAGCAGCACAAATGGATTAAGACAGAGATTGGTACTGAAAAGCTGGGTGTTGCTATAACAAATACCTAAAATGTGGAAGCAACTTCGGAACTGGATAATAGGTAAAGGCTGGAAGTGTTTGGAGGTGCATACTGGAAAAATCTTGATTTCTGTGAATGGAGCATTAAGGGTGATTCTGGTGAAGACTCAGAAGAAGAGAGCTGTAGGGAGAGCCAGAGCCTAAATCCTCTTAGAGATTATCTATGTAGTTGTGAACAGATTGTTGGTAGAAATATGGACAGTAAAGGCAATTCTGATAAGGTCTCAGATAGGAATAAGGAACAACGTACCATTGTTAGGTAATATAAACAGGAGGAAAGACCATCCTTGTTAGAAAATGGCAAAGAACTTGGCTAATTGTGTCCATGTCCTAGTGTTTCATAAAAAGCAGAATTGAAGAGCAATAAATTAGGATATTTGGCAAAAGAAATCGCTAAGCAAAGTGTTAAGGGTGCAGCATTGCTTCTCTTGAAGGCTTATAGTAAAATGTGTGAAGAAAGAAATGAATTAAAGACAGAATTTATAACCAAAAGGGAAGCAGAACTTACTGAGTTGGAAAATTCTCAGCCTGGGCATGTTGTAAAGAAAGAAAAGGCATGTCTTGGAAAGAAAACGAGAGGTGTGGCCAAGGGAATGTTTGATAAGGAGATTGATATGGATAGAAGGAAGCCAGATGCTATTCATTAATACAATGGAAGAACAATCCAGAAAGCATTTAGAGATCTTTGAGGCTGCCACTTCCATTATAGGCCCAGAGTGTCAGGGCCTTAAAGATAGAAGGATTTAAAGGAAAGGGCCCTGAGCGCTGGAGGGGCCCAGGGCACTTGTGGGACCTTGGAGCTCACTGCCTAGGTTCACTTCAAGTTTCCGTTCCACACATTCTGGCACAGTGCTCCCCAGCTGCCCTAGTTGTGACTCAAGCTGGCCCAGGTGCATCTCAGGCTGCCCTTCCAGAAGCCAGAAGGGGTAATCCTTGGTGGCGTCGACAAGATGCTAACTCTGCAAGTGCACAGAGTGTAAGAGCCGTGGGACCATGGCTACCTCTACCTAGATTTCAAAGGTTGCCCTGCAGAGCTTCAGAAGCCCAGGGAGAGAACTGCTACATCAGATATCAAGGTTATGCTGGCCCCTTAAAAATATATGGGTATAAAGTTGTTATATTTTCTTATTACAATTTTAAAGATTGTGAGATCTGTAGTGACATCCCACTTTTAATTCCTTATATTGGGTATTCATGCTCTTTGTTTTCTTTATCAGCCTTGGTAGAGGTTTATGCATTATTTTTAGTATCTTAAATGACAAACTTTTTGTTTTTGATCATGATATTGAATAGGTGCCTGTAGCCTCTGTTTCTCCTGCTGTTTCTGTTTCTCTGACTGCCACTGCAGTATTGTCTCAGGGCTGGAGGGTGTGACAATAGAGAAAACAAGAAAAATGGGGAATTTCTTCTTTCTTGTATAGTGCTATGAATAGCTTCCTCTCATTAAGCCAGAATCTAAGGGATTCTCCTAGAGCTCATTCTGTCCATTCTTGGGTGCCTACTTCCTGGTTTCAGGTTGACTTGAGACCTCAGGAAGGGATAGCAGAGGGCAAAAAAGGGAGAACTCACTGCTGGTTCAGTGGTACTTTAAACTCTGATCTTTTTCCCCCATCCATCTCCCAAAATTTACTTTTCAGAGTCCTCAAATAGCTGCTGAATGCATTCTGTCCAGATTATATAGCTTCATTGAGAGAAAAAGACAGGATGGAGTGTGCTGACTTTATCTCACCCAGAACCAGAAGTGCATAAGTCTCTTTTCTGTAGTTTCCAGTTCCCTGTCAAAATTCGCAACTCGTGGTTTAATTTTTGAACATATTATTATGACCATTTTAAAGTCTGTGTCTGTTAACTCCCTTCAGTGGATTTCTTATGGGTCCTTTTGCTATTGTCTTTTTTGTAAAATCTTGAGTTTCAGTTACATTTTATCTTCTCAAATGCCTGATTATTTTTGATTGAGTGCCAGATATTTGCATTAAATTTTTACAGTTGTTTTGATGCAACTCTAGAAAGTAATGCAAACTTTCTAGAGAGAGGATTAATTTTTGCATTTGTTAGACAGCTAGGCATGGGGATAATCACTTTTATCTGGTCAGGAATTGAGTTGACTTAAAGCTGGGTTTTAATCCTTTTGAGGGCTGTTATATTTCTAGTTAATCCTTCCTCCTAGAGTGCACCCCTTTGTGGTCCTGACTGAGGTATTTACCAGGGCTTCTTTTCTTTGGCAGTCTGAAGTCAATTTTTTGTCCTCTTGTGCATTGTTATGGTTAGCTTTTCAGCCTCTCCACTGCTGCTTTCACTTTTTAAATTGGCAATTGCCTCAATGGTAAAAGTATTCCCAAGTGCCTGTCTCAAATCTCTTGGTTTCCATTTCCTTCTGGATCTCGACTCTGCAAATTTTCAATGCCTTAGTAGTTCTGTAATTCATTCAAACTAGGGTTTTTTATGTTCCCACCTCCTCACCCTGCAGCCTTTCTAATTGTTCTCAGCAGGATTATTGGTCTGAAACAACCTAGTCAGCTATTGTCCCAGAGGGAATTTTTAGAGGTAAAAATCTGATCATGTCACTTCTCTCCTCAGAAACCTTTAATATGTCCTAGTTTCTACCCTACTCCTACTTTGATGTTGCATTTTTTTTCTGAATGATACAATTTTATGCTTCTATGACTTTGCCTATAGTTTGTCCTCTACGTAGGGTTCTCATCTCTTCTCTGCCTCAAACATTAAGTATCTTTCTTCATAACCCATGTTATATTTTATCCCCTTTGTTAGACTCTCTTTTGTGTTTGGCCTGTGTATTACACACATGCTATTCTAGTCGTAACTCTCATACAGCCTTGTAGTTACTTGTCTACATGTCTGTCTTCCTCACTAGAATGTGAGCTCTTTTGTGGCTCAGACCATATATTACTCGTCTTTTTATTTCTGAGTGCCAAATGTAGTATTTATCGCCATAGACATTTCGAATAAATGTGTTTGGACTGAAATGGAGTGAGCTACAAAAACATGTTCAACTGTAAGCATGGTTTGGCTCTGAGGTTACCTCCCAGTCTGTCTTATCTCAAGGACTGGTGAAGGCCTTACCTAGGAATGACCAATTGAAATGTCTCAGGCTTCTTCCTTGTCTAGTTGGTTACCTTCTTTTATAGTACTGGTTAATTACTGTCCCTCACTATCTATTGTATCTAATGATATCACAGACTGGGCAACACTGAATAGCAGGTCTGATTTTAACTCTAACAACCTCTCAGCCTCTATCTGCACTATTCAAAATTTAAACTTTAATTGTAGAGCTCTACTTTTATTTCTTTGTTTCAAGCCAATTTGTTCTTATTAGATTTCCCAAGTTCTTCACAAATATTCTTAGGCCATCCTGGTTATAAGCACAAAATGGACGTCTTCCAGATTGAGTGTTACCTGAAAAAGTCTTTCCTACTGTGTAGATGTAATTTTCTCTGTCCTTATCCCCAGGATCTTGTTATTAAATGTGGCCTCCTGCACCCTTTCAGCCTACAACCATCTGGGTGATTTGCTATTCCATTGTTTCATGGCATGTAAGCAATGCTGCTCTTGAAAATCTTGGATGTTCATCAAGACACTAATAAATATTGATGTTAAAATGTGGTTTAATATTATTCTTTATTGATTCATTTATATTCTCCTAACCTTCAAAAATGGTTTGAGGGAGGCTGCATAATGTTACAAAACAATGATCACAAAATAAAAATAATTTTCAAAATCAGAAAAGAAGAAAAACTCCAGCAAGAACTCCTTGCTGTAAGAAGCTATAGATTTCGCATACCAAATTTAGCTCTGTGCCTCCTGGTGGCTAGGGAAAAAAGAGAGAGAGAGAAAAACTCAAAAGGCTTTATAACTTGCATTTTTGCTGTTGTTGTTGTTGTTAGAGCCACTTCAGTTTCTCCAGAGAAACTAACAATATCTTTCTGGGCAGAACTGAGAGAAATTTATCACTGGATTCCTTATGCTAAGGGGATTTTTGGTAACAGTAGAAAAATTTGTTTAAACATTTTATTAAAAATGATAGGATTTCTTCTTTTTTAGCCCTCCATGAAAACCAATATTTAGTGTTAAAATAGGCTGGAAACCATCATTCTCAGGAAACTATCGCAAGGACAAAAAACCAAACACCGCATGTTCTCACTCATAGGTGGGAATTAAACAATGAGAACGAGAACACATGGACACAGGAAGGGGAACATCACACACTGGGGCCTGTTGTGGGGTGGGGGGAGGGGGGAGGGATAGCATTAGGAGATATACCTAATGTAAATGACGAGTTAATGGGTACAGCACACCAACATGGCACATGTATACATATGTAACAAACCTGCACGTTGTGCACATGTACCCTAAAACTTAAAGTATAATAATAATAAAAAAAATTGTTCTATATAGATAGCTCTAGATTTGGAGGAAGGTAGGCCAAGCATGTATGTTTCCAATGATTTAGCATAACCCAAGGATGGAACTCAAAGAATTTTGAGAAAGGCCTGTTGACATCTTTCAGTCCATTAGTTTCTAATCCCAGCTAAATCAGCTGAGTTTTTTAAAAAAGTTACAAATGTTACAAATATCCATTGTTGGAAAAAGTGATATAAATATTTACATAGGTGATCAATTTCCTTCTATTGGCATGAAAGTGAATGATGTTAGATATGGTTTGGATTGCTATTGTGCTTTCTGTAGGGTTTGAATTAACATTAACAACAACCATCAGCACGAACAACTAGGCAGATGGCACTGTGACAGATGCTGAAGATGGGGAAGTGAACAGGACATTTGGAGCCTACAGTCCTGTAGTTAAATACAAGAACATATATGGATATTAAAAAGAATGTATAGGGTACTAGTTTCCTATTGACACTGTAACAAATTGCTACAAACTTGGTGACTTCAAACAACACAAATTTATCATCTTACAGTTCTGGAGGTCAGAAGACCAAAATAGTTCTCAGTAGGCTAAAGTCAAGGAGATAGCAGGGCTGCATTCCTTCTGGAGGCTCTAGGGATAAATCTATCTCCTTGCCTTTTCCAGCTTCCAGAGGCTTCCCACATGTTTTTTACTTGTGGCCCCTTACAGTATTGTATTGCTCTGACTTCTGCTTCTGTCATCATGTCTCCTTCTCTGATGGACTCTATTTCCTCCCTCTCATAGAAGAATCCTTACATGAGAGGATTCTTATATGGGCTTACCTGGATAATCCAAGATAATCCTTAATTGGTCACACATCTCAAAGTCACTTTTACCATTAAGGTAACACATTCACAGTTTCCAGGGATTAAGACATGAACTTTTATCTTGGGGGTGGGTATTATTCTGCCTACTATGTATTATAAGCATACAAAAGTGGGCATGGCCTTTATAAATGTAGGTCAGGTTATTTAAACTCTAATTTTCAAAATTTTCATCTCTAAAATGGGACAACAATGGCCCCTTAAAAAGATAGTTAAGAAGCTTAAATAAAGTGTGAACACTTTTGTCACTATAGTGGGCACACAGTAGGTACTCAGTAAATACTAGTTAAATGAGAATTTAAATCTAATACCTAATACCTGTATACTGCAGAAAGTTTGAATCCAACTTGTCAAACTCTTTGGACAGAGAAAAAGTTTTTATTCTTCTTTTAGGTTGGTGTACATTTTCAAGATAAAATAGAAAATGTGGCTCCAGATAATACTAGCTTTGTGTCCCTTATTTGAGAACTAATCATATGGTGAAACATCACATGCTTTGGCATTATCTTCCATAAAGCATAAGGGAGAAAACTTAAAAATAGAAAAATAGAAAATCTCAACAATTATTCTGCTAGAAACGACTTGTAACTATTTAGCACCTTATTTTTATTTCTGGAACACTTTCCATTTGAAGAGATCAGATTGCTTGGGACATGTTAGCTAATTCTTATGGTACCAGCTGTATCTGGTGCAATGAGGGGGTAGGTACTAGCAACGAAGAGAAAAGGGGGAAATGGGGCAGGTGTGACAAGCTAGGGTTTGTGTTTGGAAGCAGTTCTTGGCAAAGGTGAACATATTTTTAGGTAATCTTTTCTTTTTCCTGTGAAAGTCTGTAATACTCTAAAATTTGCTCCATTCTTACAGCCTAGAAATAGAACCCTGGAAATAGAATGACTGCACTTTGGTGGTTATTGTGGGCTGGAAAGTGAAAGCCAAGAGTGGTGGTTCTGAAACTTTTACTTTGTAATTTCTATCCATCATTCTCTCTGGCTCTTCTGAGGCCCAGTGGCACATAGCAACAATTTTCTGCTTCTTTCCACTTTTTTTCTGATGTCCCTCCCCCATGTCAAAATAGCTCTCTTTAGACTAATTTGGACCCACCACTGCCTACAGCAGTTCAGAGTTTTATTGTGCTGCTTTCCTCTCTCATGAGATCTCAGCAGATTTCAAACCTTGGTCAGAAGACAGTACTGGTGGATGATTCAGGTGGCAAAGGAGGCCCATTTCCTCCATTCTTATTGTCTACAAATTGCTACTTTTGCTACTTTAAATCATTCATTTAAAAAATATGTATTAAGAATCATCTCAATAAGCTATTAGTGCTAGATGCTAAAGATATAGCAGTGAACAGCAGTCTCTGCTGTCATGAACCTTGTAGTCTAGTGAAAGAGACAACTAATAAATAAGGAAACCAAATGTAAATGGGATACTTATGGTAGCCATAAATACAAAGAATGAAATAAAGTAATGAGATGGAATGAGATGAGCAAGTTTAGAAGAAGTGGAGTCTCGGTCTAGCAGAAGAACAGAAAGAAGGCTAGTGTGGCCAGATACATGTTCAGTTGGGGTAGAATTTTATGAGATGAGTTTAGGGAGATAGATAATTTTCAGTGATGCTAAGGAGTTTGGATTTGTTTAAAAAAAAGGGAAGTCATGAGAGAGTTTTAAACAGGACAATAACATCTGATTTATAGTTTAAAAATTACTCTGACATTCTGAGTGAAAAATAGTGTGGAAAAGAGAAAGAGTGGAAAAGGGAAATCTGCTAGGAGGTACTGATGGCGAGAGAGGATAATGCTGCAGGTCCGATGGAATCAGTGTTGATGGAGATAAATGGATACTTTTCAGATATTTTTGAGATAGAGTTGGAAGGACTTGCTGCTGGATTGGTTTTAGGGGTTGATGGAGAGAAAGAAAACTTGAGCAATACTAGGGTTTGGCTTGACCAACTAGGTGACTGACGGTGTCATCTACAGAGATGATAAAGACAGGTGGATAAATGGGTTTTGTGGAGGGAGGGAAGTATGAGTTTTGTTTCTGTCCACAGTAGTAATTTAGAGGATCTTTTAGCCAGCAGCCTACCAAGAAGAGATGTCATGTCAGCAGAAGATATAGTTTGGGAGTCATTAGACTGTCAATGGTATTTAAAACTATAGCACTGCATGAGCCCATCAGGGTAAGACAGAGAAGTCGATTCCTGAGCTTACAAACACTTAGAGATCAGTTGGAAAAGGAGGAACTAGCTAGGGAAAGTGTGATGTCACTGAAAACATGAGACGAAATTATCTTAAGAAAGAGTGATCATCTGTATTGAGCGCAGCTGACAGGACATTAAGTTTGAAGACAGAGAGGTGGCCACTGGATCTGTCAAGATGGAGGTTATTGGTAAACTCGGTAAGAGTGATTTCAGTGGTTTTGTCAGGAGAGAAGCCACATTCTGGAAGAGTGAATGGGAGAGGAAGAAATGAAAAAATCAAATATAAACACCATTTTTGGCCTTCCCACCCTTAATGCTGTTACTCTGTTGAAGTTTACTAGAATATCTTGGGATAATCCTTGGGGGTGGATGATTATAGAGAAGGAAGGGTTTATATTCCCAATTTGAGCAATATTTGTCATAAAATATGAATTATCCTTATCAATCATATTTCTATTAGGGGCTCTCATTACCTTATCTTTAGGGTGATGACTGAATCTTGTCTTTAACCCTCTGTCTTCTCCCTTTACTTTCCTAACTTTCCCCAGTCATCCCTTGAATAAAGTATTTTTGTCATATTCACTCTTCTGTGCTCTGTACTTCTTATAACTACTCTTGATTTCTTTTAACTATTCCATTTTCTTCTCCTTTCATAAACCTAAATGAAATTTTCTTTCTTGTGGTTGAGTTTCTGTTACCTTTTGTCTGATATTTTTCTTCTTAGGTTTTGTGCAGGGTTTCCTTTGCTAGGTAATTTTTCTATGCCCATTGTATTGCTCAAATAAGTCACATTTTCCCAAACAAGAACACAATGCTGGAGTAAGTAGCCATTTGTGGAACAGACTGTAGGTGGTTGCTAAAACTAGGGCGACTATTATGTTTGATTACTACCCTTTCAGTCAACTCTTGCCATCATGGTCAGTGATAAATTACACCTTAAGACTAGAACAGAACTGTAAGAGGAGAATAAGAGCTTTCTATGGCATGTAGAAGAAGTTCTGGTTTGAATGCTGCACTTGAGACCTCCTCATCTTTTCCTCCCAGGCACACTGCTAGATTACATTTCCAAGCCTCCTTTGCAGTTGTATGTAGTAGCCATGGTGTTGAGTTCAGGCCAGCGGATTAAAGGTGGAAGTGAAGTGAGCAACTTCCAGACTTGACCTATATAAATGAGAATGCTGTTCTGTGCTCTCTCTTTCCTTGTCTCCTCGCAAGTTTCAGAGCATCCCGCAGTACACCTCAAGACTTTGGAGCTAATAAGCCACAAGACAGAAGGAGTCTGGGTCTTTGAAGGCAACCACATACCCAGGAACATAGTCTTCAGAAGTCTCTTTGTTACAGTTGCTGGTGTTGCTGACCCTAACTGGTAGATATTCCTTGTGTGAGTTTTCTCTGTGCATTTGGTCATTCCTCCTCACTGTCCTGGAGTGCCCTCTTCTCACTTTATGAAATCTGACAGCTACTTTGCTGACCTGTTTTCTATTTTTTTCTGGTATAAAATATTTTCTGACTAACCCAGCCTGGGGCAGTCTCTTCCTTTAAATTTCTAAAGTGACTATTAGCTTTGTGGTCTACTGAGTGAATATTGAAAAGATCATAAGCTCTTAATATCTGAGTTATTTTGGGTAAGGTAGCTAACCTGTTTACTTTTCCTTAAAAAAAGACATAATAACAATCCATACTTCATAAAGTTGTTATGTGGTTTAGATGAGGAAATATATGTAGAGGGCTTAGAACAGTACCTGGCATGTAGGAAGTGCTCTATTATTAGACTTTGTCTCCTACTAGTTTACTTTTTTCTATATACTGTGCCCCTATGTCAAGCACTGGCCTAGTGGAATGGATATCACAGTGAATGATATGCTGCTGTTCTTATAGTTTCTTCATCTGTAACACTTATTAATACATAATGCAACTTGCCTTCAATGGCATTTATTGAGCATCTACTATGTGCCAAAGATTGGACAATATATTTTTGGGATATGAATATCTCCAAGGAGGTAAACTAATTTTAATATCGCTATAAATCAGCAGATTAAATTAATTAATACTATTTGAAGCAGTGTTTAGGAATATTTTGTTTTCTTCTTCAAAGCTGGATCCCTGGAGTTTAATAAAACTTCTTACCTCATAGGGCTATTTTGCAGGTCAAATGTTAGAATCTTTGGAAGTACTCTGCAAACTTAAAGTATAGAGCAAATGTTTATGAAGATGTCAATTTCCAACTCTTCACAGTTCTTTAAAAGAAGTTTTCACCTTTGTGTGATTTTTATCTTCCCTCTAAATTGAATATAAGCTTGTTGAGGGTGAGGTATGCATTATTAATCTCTGTAAATCCCTAGTATCTACCTCCGTGCTAAGGGCAAGCACTAAAAACACTTTTATGGTTCAAAATTTTGCACAATGTTTACCGTGAAAACCCTTGACCCCTTACCTTACCTGGGTTTCTGCAAAGTTGTACTTATGTACTGGGTGAGATTTGGCTGTGTTGGTTTCAGAGAAGAAACCTGTTTGAGGCATGTTGCTAAGTGGAAAATATACTTTAAAAACGTATATTTAGTTCCCTGAGCAAAACTATCTTGAGTTTTAAGCACCAATTTTCAATGAAGCTGACAGGCAAGAAATGATTATTGAGCTGTTGGTCTGCTCTGTGCATCTGTACACACAGTGTTGAATAAGCTGTTAATCCTTCCATCTTTACAGGATATTTTAGGAATGCTCATGGTGAGGTCATGCATATCCATTTCTGTAGTGTTCTCCCACTCTACCCACTCACCATGTGTTCTGGTGCTGTGATATTTTTGTCCACTCTCATAGTACTCTCTTCTTCTTACCTTACTTCCCTCCCCCAAACCCAGGAAAAAGAAAGTTGATTCTTCAAATTTTTCCCAAATTGAAAATGTGACTGAGATTAGGAAGAAGGGCATTGCTATTTTTTTCTTCCCCACTTCAGGTTGGTGTTGAAATGACTGAGTAAACAGTTTGATATTCTGTAAAAACAATTCTTCAATCGAAGAAAAAATTATATCAGTGAAAAAAACAATGTTTTTTTGGAAGAGATTTCCTTGTGTTTCTAACTTTCACTTGTAAATTCTGCTGTTACTGCCTTTCATGCAATTTCAGGTCAGCAGCATGACTTTCTAAAGGAAAATATGATTAAGTCATACTTTTTACAATGGTCCAAGGTGTGATTTTAATTAGGATATACTTGTATTGAATTTAAAGAAAATCTTTGTTGTTGGTCCAGCACCATGGACAGAGAAATGGCTTCTAGTCCTCCTAGGTTAGCTAGCAATTCACCTATATAGTTTAGGTCCTCAATTCATCTAAATTAAATACAAATTTAATTTGCATTAAATGATTTCATGTCATGTCTTAACCCAGGACTACCGCCTTTTAACCTTTACTAATCTTTTCTTGAATATTCTAGGTACCATTTTTTTTCCTTAGCTACAGGTAGTTTGAGATGGTCTAGACTCCAGTTCCATGAGCCAACTACTTTGCAAACTCTACTCTCTCACTTTTAAAAAATACTATTTTTTAGCTGGGCATGGTGTGCATGCCTGTAGTCCCAGCTACTTGGGTGGCTGTGGCAGGAGAATCACTTCAGCCCAGGAGTTCAAGTGATCCTGGTGAGCTATGATCCTGCTGCTGCACTCCAGTCTGGGTGACAGAGACCCTATCTCTAAAACTAAAATTCTATTTTGAAATAATTATAGATTTATAGAAAGTTACAAAAATGGTACAGAGAAGTCCTGTGTATCCTTTACCCAGTTTCCCCCAACATAGGGTTGCCAAATAAGATACAGAACACTTCGTTAAATCGGAAATTCGGACAAACAATGTATACTTTTTAGTAAAAGTATTTTTAGTATAAATATGTCCTATCCAATGTTTGGGACATACTTATACTAAAAAGTGATTTTTGTTGTTTATCTGAAGTTCAAATGGGGCTTTTTTGTCATTAGGATATATCTCAGTAGGGATGAAGAGTCAAATTATATATATATACACATATATATATATATATATATATATATATATATATATATATTTTTTTTTTTTTTTTTTTTTTTTTTTTTTTTTTTTTTGAGACGGAGTCTCACCACCCAGGCTGGAGTGCAGTGGCCCAATCTCGGCTCACTGCAAGCTCCGCCTCCCAGGTTAACGCCATTCTCCTGCCTCAGCCTCCCAAGTAGCTGGGATTACAGGCGCCCACCACCACACCCAGCTAATTTTTTTGTATTTTTAGTAGGGACGGGGTTTCACCGTGTTAGCCAGGATGGTCTCCATCTCCTGACCTTGTGATCTGCCCGCCTTGGCCTCCCAAAGTGCTGGGATTACAGGCGTGAGCCACCTCACCCAGTCAAATTATAGTGTTTTAAAGTCACTTGGAATAGTTCATCTCTGTCTGGTTATGACACCTGGATACATAGTTATGTTCCTTTGTGTCATTTTACTTTTGAATATTTTAGAAATTGTTTTTAAATTTAATTTTGTTTTATAGAATATTTACATGGTTCTAAAGTCAAACTTACATGAATATAATTTTAATGAATTTTCTCTCTGAACTGAAATTAGTTTGCTTATTTTAATTTTTAAAAACAGATGCAATATTGTTTCCCTAGGTACCACTCTTTAATGATTATTTTATAAAACATCTTTCTGAAACAGAATAATCCCAGAAAGACAGTCTATATAACACTGGGTGATCCTCTTTTGGGTTGCTTTAAAGCTAAGTCACCTCATATTCAACCTAAAGTAGAGAGAAACTGGAATTTCATGCTAATTAGCCTCCTAGTTCCTTTCATTTTGTACATGGCTCAAAATATTTTCATGAAGTCTCTAAATGGAAAATCAACAAGGGAGTTTTGTAAATGTAACCCTAATTAAGATACTTGGCTTTTATTTTTAACAACTGTATATGTAGATTTTATATTTTGAAATTTTGAAAACAAGCAATGAATTAATAACATTTCTTTAAAAAGCTATTTTGGGGTGGGAATGCACTGTTATTCAATGTTAATTCAATTAAAGAAATTAAACATGAGTTGTTAGTACAAGTCCTTGGGATATTTATGAATATCTTAATTTTAACAAGAGAAAAATGACAGTTTAGGCCTAGCCAATGCTTGCTATTTTCATTTTGGTGTTAGTTTTGTGTCTGTCTATATTCTTGACTTCCATCTTTGCCTATTTTTTGTCTTCTTAGAAAGATAAATCTTAACTTTAACAATAAAACTATATTTGTAGTTTTCTGGTTATTAAAGTAATACATGCTTATTATAGAAAAATTGGAAAGTCATGAAAAAGGAAATCAAAATCTTACAATAGTTCCATTACCCAAAGAAAATCACAGTTACTGTAGATGTAATTCTAATATTTTTCTATGCTTATTTTACATAATTGGGATTACATTTTGCATATATTCAATTTTATTATCTTTTTTCTGTTTAACATTAAAACATAAGCATTTTGCATATTATTAAAAACTGTAAATAATTTATTGGTTATTTAAAGTTCTATCATGAAACTTGAATGAAGATTTTAAATCATTCATCTTTTGATCCAATTACTATAAACTATGTATAAAATATTTAAAGGCATTTTAAAATATGATTATGATCTTCCAAAGAGAAATTCTAGGGGAAATGTCTTTACTTATTATTTCCACCTGGGGTTTTTATAAGTTGTGAGAAATTTGTAGAAATTCTTGTGCCATTTTACATTATGTAATTAATCCATATGTCTTTACACTAGTGGTTCTTAGTGGGGTCCTTGGACCAGAATCATCAGCATCATCTAGGGGCTTGTTAGAAATGCAAAATTTTGGGCACTATTCCAGGCTTACTGAATCAGGAACTCTGAGGGTAAGCTTCAGCTATCTGTGATTTAACAAGTCCTTCTGGCAATTCTGACACAGGCTTTAGTTTGAGAACCACTGCTTTAGAGTAATTCTTAACAAGGGGGTTCTCTTTTATCATTTCTTTAAAAGGTATTAATTAACTAGTCAATTAATTAATTCACCAAACAATCATTTACTCTCTGTAATGACAAGCATTGTTCTAAGATACACAGGAGAAAACAGAACAGAAAGAGTCCCTACCCTCATAGATCTAATACTCTAGTGGTGGTGGTGGGGTCAGACAATAACCAGATAACTAAAATATATAGAATGTCAGTGGTAATAAGTGCAATAGAGAAAAATAAAACAGGAAAAGGGGACAGGGAGTGCTGGGATGGTTCACAATTTAAGTGGAATGGCCATGATAGGTTTTACTGAGAAGGTGATGTGAGGCTGTCAATCATGCCAAGATTTTTGGAAAAATATTCTAAGCAAAGGGAGCAGTAAGTGCAAAAGCTCAGCGGTGTGACAACACTAATCTGTTTCAGGAACAGCAAGATCAGTGTGGCCAGGAATAAGGAGGGTAATTGGAAATGGGATCAGAGGTGAGGGAGTGATGGGAGAAAATAATGCAGGTGGTTGTCGAGTAGCATACACAAAACTGTAATCATGGAGGGGCTGTAGAGTGGATGCCATGGGTGCCCCATCCAGATCTCCTTTGCCAGCTGATGCATCTATTCCCGAGCTTCTGGGAGTGTTGCTTGCTAACAGCTCACAGCAGCTACTTTTTGTAGTGAATTGACCTTGGCTGAGCAGGACCACCTAGGAAGCTTATTCTTCTCATCTCCAACTAGGGGTAGTCTACACAGCTAATGACTCACTGACACACAGGTACAAAAAGCTAGCCCCCTAGTTTCAAAGTGGGACTAACTGTATGGTACTATTTATGCTTCAGAGCACTCTGTCGGATCAGGCTGAAAGCAAGTTTTCAACTCAGAATGCATCCTTACATAGTGGTGTTTCCTCTGTTCCAGCATGTTTCCCTCACTTCCTTTCTCCTGAGAACACTTTAATAAATTCTGTGAACAACAATCATTGTCACAGCTTCCGATTCTAGAAATACCAACCTAAGTCAGTTGGTACTAAGAGTGGTCTTGAAAGCAGACTCTGTGAACGGGATTCTGGCATTGGATCATTCACTGGTTCAATGGTAATGGGGACTTCATCACTGGTGGAAGGTAGAGTATTGACAGTCCATGGCATGCTGGAGCAAAATGATTGCTACATCTTTAGCCTGAAGTGAGCTGGGCTAATATACAGGTAGAAGGGGATTCCCTTGCTTGTACAATGTCTCTGGCACTTGGGAAGTATGGGGAAATAGAAACTATAAGAACTGGAGTTGCTAAGCATCACTGATGCATTGGAGAGAGAACATGACAAGCTCAGATCCCATTAATCAGCAAGTAAAAGTAAAGTGTGAGAGTCACAGGTCTTCCTTGGCTGCATTTAAGAAGAGCCTCATACCTGAAGCTGAAGAGAAGATAGCCTTAAAAATCAGGCATAAGACATAATTTTAAGAGTGGCAGAACTTCAAAGGAGGCTGAATGTCAGCTTAGGCAAGTCTCTTATGCCAAAGTCAGGGCCTTGACTGGGAAGGGGCTCTGAGACTTGGCATGGAGATAAGAAACCCTGAACTCTCTGGGTCTACAGAAGTGGTGTACTGCGTCTTGCTGGAAGATAGAGTTACCCTTCTCTTGAAGAATATGCAGAGGCCTCAAATGAAGCAGATGCCTTACAAGTCAAAGCCTGTCCTCCTCATGATCTATGCCTACCAACCCTAATCACCACCAGACCAATAACTAGGGTCAAATCTCAGCATGACCTAAGAGGCAGTGCTGAGCATATTCAAGGAGGAGGGGGATTGTATATCAAAGGAGTTGCAAGATTAGCTAACGTGTACCAGCGGTTACTGAGAGTATGCTTGGAAGTGATCCTGGAGGTGCTGGTCCAGGGAGGCAGACTATAAAGCTGTTATGGAAAATTTGTTGATTATATTAGTTTTTTATTTTTTAAATTTTTAAATTTTTTAATTTTTTATTTTTATTTTATTGTTATTATACTTTAAGTTTTAGGGTACATGTGCCCAATGTGCAGGTTAGTTACATATGTATACATGTGCCATGCTGGTGTGCTGCACCCATTAACTCGTCATTTAGCATTAGGTATGTCTCCTAAAGCTATCCCTCCCCCCTCCGCCCTCCCCACAACAGTCCCCAGAGTGTGATGTTCCCCTTCCTGTGTCCATGTGTTCTCATTGTTCAATTCCCACCTATGAGTGAGAATATGCGGTGTTTGGTTTTTTGTTCTTGCGATAGTTTACTGAGAATGATGATTTCCAATTTCATCCATGTCCCTACAAAGGACATGAACTCATCATTTTTTATGGCTGCATAGTTTTTTATTGTTATGTAACAATTATCACAAACTTAGAAACTCAAAATAATACCCACTTACTACCTCTTAGGTCAGAAGTCCAAGCATGACTTGAATTCTCTGTTCGCAAATGGTTTCTCAAGACTGAAATCAAGGTGTCATCTGGGATTGCAGTCTCATTTGATAGTTGGGATCCTCTTCTAAGCTTATTGGTTGTTGGCAGAATTCAAGTTTTTGCAGCCATAGAACTGAGATTCTCAGCTCTTAGAGGCTGCCCACTGTTCCCTGATACTGTTCCTACTGTAACCCTCTCCACATTATAGCACTTTGCTTCTTCAAGGCCTACAAGAAAGTGTCTGCTGCTGCTTCTTATCTTATCTTCTTTAAAGGGCTTGCCTAATTTTGTCAGGTCCACCCAGGATGATCTCCCTTTTGGTCACTTCAGAGTCAACTGATTAAGGACCTTAATTTCATCTGTAATAGTCCTTCACCTTTGTCATGTAACATAACATAATCACAGGAGTTAGATCCCATTATATTCACAAGTCCTGCCCACACTCAACTGGAGGAATTATATAAGGCATGAACATTAGGGAGCAGGGATCTTAGAGGCCATCTTATAATTCTGCCTACATCATCAGTATGGGAGCACTTTCCTGTGACACAGCTTTTGACACCCTAGTGTAGTTCCAGGGGAACTTTTTTTTTTTTACATGTTCTTGGGATAGCACTTGGAGACTGTAAAAAAGTGATAGCCTATATTAAATGAAGTGGAAATGCCAGGATTGCCAAGCAAATGTGGGGAAAGGGGTCAAAAGGCTTCCAGAAGGGGACATTCTAGAATGGCTCTATTACATAAGACAAGAAGACCCAACCAATTGACTATGTTATTTGGGAGGGACTTATTTACTAAGGCAATAAGGAATGCACTGGCAAAAGGGGTACACACCTCATTGATAAGCTTAATATTGTCTGTTCTCTGTAGGCCAGAACTGATAGTAGAAAATGCTGTTTACAGAACTAGCTCCCTAGTAGCAATGGGGATGATGGGATCACAGAATAGCAAAGGACAGATGGCAGTGCTTAACCATCAGAAGTAAGGTGGGCATAATGATCATAATGGACAGCAAATTCAGAATGGTAGCTAGGGGATCCTGACTTTCAGGGATCTATGGGGATGGCTAATAGAACATGGTGTTTTCAGAGGTATCATAGATAGGCAGCCAATTTGGGTATTGCTTACCATATATGATTAAAAGAGATCAAGAATGGATGATCAGAAGGCTGAGGTCAGCAACTCAACGGAAAGTCACAATCCTATGACCAGTTTCAAGATCCAAGATAGCTTTTAGAATAAATTGAAGACTGGGTCCCCATGAGGAAGGAACTTACCACACCATAGCAATTACATACAATAGAAATTCCCCCCAGTTCTTTCTTATGGGGACTTAGGGACATTTCCTTGAGTAACCATGTGTGGGGGAAAGGGGAATCCTCAGATATTTCCAGGTTTGTTGGATACAGGGTCCTAGTTGACACTGATACCCCAGGACCCTAAATACCATCACGACTTCCTCATGTTAGCGTACAGGCCTAAGGGGCCAGGTAATAAATGGAGTTCTAGCTTGCTTGGGTATGACTCATAGTGGGCCCACTGGGTCCACAGACTCACCCAAAAGTATAATCAATATGGACCTACCTAGCACTGGCAATCTTCATATTGGGTCCCTGACCTGTAGAGAACCCCTGAAACTATCCCTCACCCCCACACCCCAGCCAAGACAATCACAGACATTACTGCAACCTTAGCAGAGTGGATCAAACTGTGGGGAAAGGAATAAGAGTCTTTTTTGATCTTTATTTGGCACATGAGACTGTTTTATTTTGTAGGAAAGCACTGATAGGGCATCAGTTGCCTTTTCTCTTCCTTTCCCATGATCCGTCTGCTTTGTACTTAGCTGCAACAGTAAGGTTCTGCCAATTTTAGTTTTCTATGGTGTGTGGGTATGTGTATGTGTATATATGTGTGTGTTCCTGTGTTTTCATAGATATTTTCATGGGAACCCGAAGGATGCTGTCTACAGACAGGATTGTTAGTCAGATACCATTTAAAAATAGGTAACTGAAATAACTTTTAAAATAATTTAAATTTGACAGGGCGTGGTGGCTCACGCCTGTAATCCCAGCACTTTGGGAGGGTGAGGCAGGCGGATCACTTGAGGTCAGGAGTTCGAGACCAGCCTGGCCAACATGGTGAAACCTCTTCTCTACTAAAAATATAAAAAATTAGGCAGGCATGGTGGTGCACGCCTGTAATCCCAGCTACTCTGGAGGCTGAGGCAGAAGAATCGCTTTAACCCAGGAGGCGGAGGTTGCCGTGAGCAGAGATCGCATCACTGCACTCCAGCCTAGGTGACAGAGTGAGACTCCGTCTCAAAAAAAAATTTTTTTAAATTTATTATTAAATCACATAAAAGAATGAATTCTGGCAGGCAGGTATAAATAGCTGTAAAATTATATTACTTTGACATGCCCCAACAAATCTTCAGGGGGCTTAATTCACCATGGGGTAGTTCCTGTTGAATTCCTTGGGCCCACATTTACCTAACATTTTTGTAGGACTGTAACAAAATGTCTTAGAAATATGGTCAGAAAGTCAGTGATTATGCAATAACACCAAATCTGGGGGAATATATGGACATTATTTTGCTGTGACTTTACTCAGAATTTTACTTGGAAGCAGCTTGGACCTTGAGTCATTCTCATATGACTTCCTACCCTGGGTTGGGGGTCTTCATTCTTTCAAAATTGCTGAGGGCATGGCTATGACAGGTAGCCTGTACTTAGAGGGTAGTTGATCCTGTGTGCAGATTGTGACCAAACAGGAAGTGTAAGCCTTTTTGAAGGTGATGATTTGCTGGAAATAGACCTTTATAATTTCTATGTGAACATGTGACAAAATGTTTCCAGGTTGGGTGCCTTCTGTGACTCTATTCTTGACATTTAGTCAGTCACACCATGAAGTTAATGTAACATGGTTGTGAGGCCACTTAAAATGATTATAAATCTTATTGGTTTGCTGGGGCTGTCATAAAGTATCACAAACTGAGTGGTTTCAACAACGGAAATTTATTTTCTCACAGTTCTGCAGGCTGTAAGTCTGAGATCAAAGTGTTGGCAGGATCATGCTCCCTCTGAAGGCTCTAGGGAAGGATATGTCCTAGGCTTCTCTCCTGGGTCCTGATGGTTCCTTGGCCAATCTGTACATGGTGTTCTCCTTATGTTTGTGTCTGTGTCCAAATTTCCCCCTTTTATACGAACACCAGTCATACCGGATTACGAGCCTACACTACTCCAGTATGACTTCATCTTAACTAATTGTATCCACAACAATCCTGTTTCTAATAAGGTCACATTCTGTCATACTAAGAAATAAGATGTCAATATATGAACTTTGGGAGGACACAATTCAGTCTGTAACAGATTCCCTTCTTTATATTTGGGCCAGTAGTTCTCAATCTTGATTGTACATTAGGACCTGCTTGGGAGATTAGGCAGGAGAAGGAAATAAAGGGTATTCAATTAGGAAAAGAGGAAGTCAAATTGTCCCTGTTTGCAGATGACATGATTGCATATCTAGAAAACCCCATCGTCTCAGCCCAAAATCTCCTTAAGCTGATAAGCAACTTTAGCAAAGTCTCAGGATACAAAATCAATGTACAAAAATCAAAAGCATTCTTATACACCAATAACAGACAAACAGAGAGCCAAATCATGAGTGAACTCCCATTCGCAATTGCTTCAAAGAGAATAAAATACCTAGGAATACAACTTACAAGGGATGTGAAGGACCTCTTCAAGGAGAACTACAAACCACTGCTCAATGAAATAAAAGAGGATACAAACAAATGGAAGAACATTCCATGCTCATGGGTAGGAAGAATCAATATCGTGAAAATGGCCATACTGCCCAATATAATTTATAGATTCAATGCCATCCCCATCAAGCTACCAATGCCTTTCTTCACAGAATTGGAAAAAACTACTTTAAAGTTCATATGGAACCAAAAAAGAGCCCGCATCACCAAGTCAATCCTAAACCAAAAGAACAAAGCTGGAGGCATCATGCTACCTAACTTCAAACTATACTACAAGGCTACAGTAACCAAAACAGCATGGTACTGGTACCAAAACAGAGATATAGATCAATGGAACAGAACAGAGCCCTCAGAAATAATGCTGCATATCTACGACCATCTGATCTTTGACAAACCTGACAAAAACAAGCAATGGGGGAAGGATTCCCTATTTAATAAATGGTGCTGGGAAAACTGGCTGGCCATATGTAGAAAGCTGAAACTGGATCCCTTCCTTACACCCTATACAAAAATTAATTCAAGATGGATTAAAGACTTACATGTTAGACCTAAAACCATAAAAACCCTAGAAGAAAACCTAGGCAATACCATTCGGGACATAGGCATGGGCAAGGACTTCAAGTCTAAAACACCAAAAGCAATGGCAACAAAAGACAAAATTGACAAATGGGATCTAATTAAACTAAAGAGCTTCTGCACAGCAAAAGAAACTACCATCAGAGTGAACAGGCAACCTACAAAATGGGAGAAAATTTTCGCAACCTACTCATCTGACAAAGGGCTAATATCCAGAATCTACAATGAACTCAAACAAATTTACAAGAAAAAAACAAACAACCCCATCAAAAAGTGGGCGAAGGATATGAACAGACACTTCTCAAAAGAAGACATTTATGCAGCCAAAAAACACATGAAAAAATGCTCATCATCAATGGCCATCACAGAAATGCAAATCAAAACCACAATGAGATACCATCTCACACCAGTTAGAATGGCGATCATTAAAAAGTCAGGAAACAACAGGTGCTGGAGAGGATGTGGAGAAATAGGAACACTTTTACACTGTTGGTGGGATTGTAAACTAGTTCAACCATTGTGGAAGTTAGTGTGGTGATTCCTCAGGGATCTAGAACTAGAAATACCATTTGACCCAGCCATCCCATTACTGGGTATATACCCAGAGGATTATAAATCATGCTGCTATAAAGACACATGCACACGTACGTTTATTGCGGCACTATTCACAATAGCAAAGACTTGGAACCAACCCAAATGTCCAACAACGATAGACTAGATTAAGAAAATGTGGCACATATACACCATGGAATACTATGCAGCCATAAAAATGAAGAGTTCATGTCCTTTGTAGGGACATGGATGAAACTGGAAACCATCATTCTCAGCAAACTATCACAAGGACAAAAAACCAAACACTGCACGTTCTCACTCATAGGTGGGAATTGAACAATGGGAACACATGGACACAGGAAGGGGAACATCACTCTCTGGGGACTGTTGTGGGGTGGGGGGAGGGGGGAGGGATAGCATTAGGTAATATACCTAATGCTAAATGACGAGTTAATGGGTGCAGCACACCAACATGGCACGTGTATACATATGTAACAAACCTGCACATTGTGCACATGTACCCTAAAACTTAAATAAAAAAAAAATCCTGATTCCCAGATTGCACCCAAGACCAAAGACATCTAGAATATCTGTGGGACCCAGGAATCAGCACTTTAAAAAACTCTCTAGGTGATTCCAATGTGTCGACAGGGTGAAGAACCACTCTATTTGGGCGTTCCTCATCAAGAATGAGGAAGAACAGAAATTCACCCAATTCTACAGACAAAATGTCAGAAAAATAAAAATCCAGTAACATTCAAAAATTTCTACTTGTTAGTAGTATGATTAATTTTAGAATCAGGACATTTTTTTGAAAACTGGAATTATAGCTGATTTTTTTTCTTTTCAATTTTTTCTTGTGCTATTTAGAAAATCTTCTACAATTAATGCGGAATTCTTGTACAAAAACCCAGCAATAAACTTTTTTAAAAATGGAAAACACATCCCTTTTTCTTATTCTTAACAACCATGGACTACTATACAGAAAAAAATAGGAAAGCATTCCCTCTGGATTTGGTGTCATAAAGGGGCTTGATAAACTCTTGGCCATCCTATCTAATTACTGTCAAGTCAAAGAACTATAGGTGGCTCCTTTTAAAACGAAATGGTCATTTATGGTAGCAATTCACCAATGTGTAACTGATTTATGAGTAACAAATGTGTCACAAATTAGCTCACTCAGATACCTTGACACACATTTCAAAACCAATTTATCTTAAAGGTTATGACAGAAAATGATGTTGCTCAATCTTAAACACTCTTAAGGGTGCTCCATCTTAAATGGTTTGGGATTTTTGTTAAATCCAAGGTAGGGTTTGATTACATACTTTAAATTTTTAAGGATTTATTGTGGTCTAGAATTTGGGACATTTTTGTCTTTTCTTTCTTAGTTAGTGGTGACCCAATATTATTTCTCAAGATAAATATTGGCCTTGCCTGTGGGTAGTCCTCTTGGCCTCCTATTCACACTCTCCAACTTTCATAAAAGGTTATGAATCCCTACTATCTGCTCAGTTGATTGTTAAAACACATTGCTCTAACACTCAAATGGCAACATAGGATGTACTAAAACCAAGATCTCATATGGAAAGAGGAACCTCAAACCTGCTGTCACTCAGAACTTATCTAAAGCTTGGTTGGCTTCTGGCAATTGATCCTTTAGATATAATTGCACACATGGAATGGCATATGTTCCAGGTTATGCACTGCAGCAATTTTTTAAAATATAAAAGATTGAAAACCAATTCATCATTTTTTTCTTTTGTGGATCATACTTTTTGTGTTGTATCTAAGAAATCTGCCTTACCCAAGGTCACAAAGATTTTCTTCTGTTTTTCTTTCTTTCATGAATTTTAGATTTTAGGTTGTATGTGTAGGTCTATGATCTACCTTGAATTAATTTTTATATATGGGGTATATTATGGATTGAAGTTCATTGATTTTGCGTATGGACATACAATTGTTTTAGGAAAAGAATAGTCTTTGTACCGTTGCCAAAATCAGTTGTTCATGTGAATCTATTTCTGGACTCTCTGTTTTGTTCTGTTGATCTATTTGTCTATCTTGATACCGGTACTACACTGTCTTGATTACTCTAGCTTTATCATAAGTCTTGGACTTCATTGAAATTAAAAATTTCTGCTTTTTGAAGGATACAATTGGAGAATGAAAAGACAAGTCACAGATGGGAAAAGACATTTGCAAATCATATAAGCAACTTGTGTTCAGAATATATAAGGAATCCTAAAATTCAAAAAGTAGGCAAATGATCCAGTAAAAATGGGCAAAAAATGTGAACAGATATTTACATCACCAAGAAGATATAAAGATGGCAAATAAGCACATGAAAAGATGCTCAACATCATTAGTCTTTAGGAAAATGCAAATTAACCACCATGAAACACCACCATTCTCCCTGTAGAATGGCTAAATTAAAATGACTGACCATACCAAGTGTTGGCAAGGATGCAAATGAACAAGAACTCTCCTACACTGCTGGTGGGAATGTAAAACAGAACTGCTTTAGAAAACAGTTTAATAGGCCAGGCGTGGTGACTCACGCCTGTAATCCCAGCACTTTGGGAGGGCGTGGCGGGTGGATCACCTGAGGTCAGGAGTTCGAGACCAGCCTGACCAATATGGTGAAACCCTGTCTCTACTTAAAATACAAAAATTAGACAGGCATGGTGGCATGTGCCTGTAATCCCAGCTACTCGGGAGGCTGAGACAGGAGAATTGCTTGAACCTGGGAGGCAGAGGTTTCAGTGAGCTGAGAACAGCCACTGCACTCCAGCCTGGGTGACAGAGCGAGACTCCATCTCAAAAACAAACAAACAAACAAACAAACAAACAAACAAAAAAACAGTTTAACAGTTCCTTAAAATGGTAAATATATATCTACTATATGATCCAGACATTCTACCTCTAGGTATTTACCCAAGAGAAATATCTTGTCCATAAATGTTCATGTTCATAAAACAGCCAGAAACAGGCAACAACTCAGATGTCTATCAACAGGCGAATGGATAAACAAACTGTGTTATACAATGGAATGCTAGTCAGTAATAAAAAGGAATAACTATTTGATATACATAATATGGATGAATCTTAAAATAATTAGTCTAAATAAAAGCAGCATTACAAAAAAAAGAGTACTCACTGTATGATTTCATCTATATAAAATATCTGGAAACTTCAAACTAATCTGTAGTGACAGAAGGCAGATCAATGATTACCTGGGGAGGCTGGGAAGAGACAGGCAGGGAAGAATGGGCAGGAGGAATTATGTAAGGGCTAAGAATGGTTTTTACATTTTTAAATGGTTGAAAAAAATCAAAAGAATAACACTTTGTTGATATGTGGAAATCATATGAAATTCAAATTTCAGTATTCATAAAGTTTTATTAGAACATAGCACATTAGTTTATGTGTTGTCTGTGGTTGCTTTTGCACTATATTCATGGAGTTGAGTAGTTGCCTCAGAGACCATATGGCCTGCAAACATGAAAATATTTACTACTTGGCCCTTACAGAAAACATCCATCAATCCCAGCTCTAGACAATGCATAGTTTTCCACTGAAGCACATTTTCCCTACAAAAGATATTAGTATTTCTAACTTTATCTTTCTTCCTTCCCTTGTCTTTCTTCCCTCCCTTCCTTTCTTCAACAAACATTTATGGAGTGCCTACTGTGCACCAGTATGGTGAGCCTTGGCAGTAGAAAAGGAAGAGAAAACATCATCTCTGTGTTAACGCAGTTTGCAGTCATGAGAAGAGAATCATTCATCAAATAGTCATGTATAGATGTATAACAATGGGCTGCAAAGTTCCCATAAGGGAAGGAATAGGGTGTTATAAAAATGTGCATGAGAGGCCCAGTCTTGGTGGAGTGGAATTGGGGCAGGGAGAACTTCCCCTCAAACAACTGAAGATGGAACTGACTGATTACTATGTAGGGTTTAAGTGAAGAAGGAGTGGTCGCCTATGGCAGGGGATGTATCTTTAGTTGGGGAGAAGAGATTTTCAGGCAGAGGGAATAGCATGTTTCAAAGGCTTGCTGGCAGATCAAGAGCAAGAAGTATGAATGGAATGTAAAGAAAGCCCTTGAGTCTGGCTGGGCCATGGTGAGTATTTGAGAGAGTAAGATAAGAGATGAGGCTGGGGAAGAATGTAGGAGATAGCTCACACAGGGATCGGTGGGCCTTGTTAAGGGTTTCAGTCTTCATCTTGAGGACAGCAGGTGGCCACTAAAGAGTTTTTAATGAGAGTGATGATGTGTCACTTGGACCTACAGAGCAGATAATAGATAAAGGGGCAGAAATAGATGTAGGAGATCAGTTGGGAGGCTACTGCAATAGTGCAAGTAAGGCCAGGATTTTTGTCTTACAAATCAAGGCATGGTTTGGTTTCTAGGATGCAATGCAAAACTATGCTTGTAACAGTGCCAGTGGCTCATGAGAATTCTTTGTAGATTTTGCTTGGAGAGATTTCCTTTATAGGTCTTTAGTGGAGATCCATAAGATGGCTCTTTCTTTGTAAAAATTATTCACCTAAAGACTTCTTCTTTTGAGTTGCAAGGTTCTTCTACCTCCTGTACACACACCACCACCACCACCACCACCACCACCCCTCCCCTCCTTGAGAGCTCAGGGAGTAAGCACAGCCTTTCAGATAATGATCTTATTCCAGCTTGAAGGCATGCTTGAAAATAACTGTGAAGCCTGTGACTTCTTTTTCTGCAAGACTAAAACATTTATATAGAGTTTTATTTGTTTTTAATTCTTTACAATTTCCTACTGATGGTGCTTCAGGCTACAGGGGATGCTTTTAATCATTAGCGTTCTTACCTGCCAGGACTTTTTTTAAAAATTTAATTTCTGTGGGTATATAGTAGGTGTGATGATGGTTAATACTGAGTCTCAACTTGATTGGATTGAAGGATACGAAGTATTGATGCTAGGTGTGTCTGTGAGGGCGTTGCCAAAGGAAACTAACTTTTGAGCCAGTGGGCTGGGAAAGGCAGACCCACCGTTAATCTGGGTGGGCACCATCTAATCAGCTGCCAGAATGGCTAGAATAGAAAGCCAGCAGAAAAATGTGAAAACAGAGACTGACCTAGCCTCCCAGCCTACATCTTTCTCCCATGCTGGATGCTTCCTGCCCTTGAACGTCAGACTCCAAGTTCTTCAGTTTTGGAACTCGGACTGGCTCTCCTTGTTCCTCAGCCTGCAGATGGCCTATTGTGGGATCTTGTGATCATGTGAGTTAATACTTAGTAAATTCCATTTTATATATATATATCTATTCCATCAGTTCTTTCCCTCTAGAGAACCCTCATACAGTAGGTGTATATATTTATGGGGTCCATGAGATGTTTTGATATAGACATGCAATGTGAAATAATCACAGGATGGAAAATGGGGTGTCTATCTTCTCAAGCATTTATCCTTTGTGTTACAAACAGTTCAATTATACTCTTTCAGTTATTTTTAAATGTACAATTAAATTATTATTGACTATAGTCACCCCATTGTGCTATCAAATACTAGGTCTTATTCATTCTATCTAACTATATTTTTGTAACCTTTAAACATCTCCACTTCCCCTACCCATCCTGCCCCAATTACCCTTCCCAGCCTCTGGTAACCATCCTTCTACTCTCTATCTCCATGAGTTTAATTGTTTTGACTTTTAGATCCCACAGATAAGTGAGAACATGCAATGACTGCCTTTTTATGCCTGGCTTATTTCAGTTAACACAATGACCTCCAGTTCCATCCTTGTTTATGCAAATGACTAAATCTCATTCTTTTTAAATGGTTGAATAGTACTCCATTGTGTATATGTACCACATTTTTTCATCCATTCATCTGTTGATGGACACTTAGTTGGCTTCCAAATCCTGGCTATTGTGAACAGAGCTGCAACAAACATGAGAGTGTAGATATTTCTTTGGTATACTGATTTCCTTTCTTTTGGGTATATACCCAGCAGTGGGATTGCTGGATCCTATGGCACCTCTATTTTTAGCTTTTTGAGGAACCTCCAAATTGTTTTCTATAGTGGTTGTACTAATTTACATTTTCGCCAACAGTGTACAAGTGTTCCCTTTTCTCCATATCCTTGCCAGCATTAATCATTGGCTTTCTTATGGATATAAGCCATTTTAAGTGGGGTGAGATGCTGTATTAGTCCATTTTCATGCTGCTATAAAGAACTTCCCAAGACTGGGTAATTTATAAAGGAAAGAGGTTTAATTAACTCACAGTTCGGCATGACTGGGGAGGCCTTAGGAAACTTACAGTCATGGCAGAAGGCAAAGGGGGAAGCAAGGCAACTTCTTCACAAGGTGGCAGGAAGAAGTGCCAGGCAGCATAAGGGGAAAGAGCCCCTTATAAAACCATCCTGAGAACTCACTCACTATCAAGAGAACAGCATGGGGGAAACTGCCCCCATGATCCAATTACCTCTACTTGGTCTCTCCCTTGAGACGTGGGGATTATGCGGATTACAATTCAAGATGAGATTTTGGGTGGGGATACAGCCAAATCACATCAGATGCTATCTCATTGTAGTTTTGCTTTGCATTTCTCTGATAATCAATGATGTTGAGCACCTTTTTATATAACTGTTTGCCTTTGGTATGTTATCTTTTGAAAAATGTCATTCAAATCCTTTTCCCATTTTTAAATTGGATTATTATATATTTTTTTCCTATAGACTTGTTTGAACTCCTTATACATTCTGGTTATTAATCCCTTGTCAGATGGATAGTTTGCAAATATTTTCTCCCATTCTGTAGGTTGTCTGTTTACTTTGTTGATTGTTTCCTTTGTTTTGCAGAAGCTTTTTAACTTGAAATTTCATTTGTCCATTTTTGCTTTGGTTGCCTGTGCTGGTGAGGTATTACTCAAAAAATCTTAGCCCAGACTGATGTCCTGGAGAGTTTCCCCAATATTTTCTTGTCATAGATTCATAGTTTGGAATCTTAGATTTACATTTTTATTCCATGTTGATTTGATTTTTATATATGGTGAGAGACAGGGGTCTAGTTTCATTCTTCTGCATATGGATATCCAGTTTTCCCAGCTCTATTTCTTGAAGAGACTGTCTTTTTCCCAGCGATCTTGGTGCCTTTGTCAAAAATGAGTTTACTGTAGGTGTGTGGATTTGTTTCTGGGTTCTTTATTGCATCGGTCTATGTGTCTGTTTTTATTCCAGTACCACACTGTTTTGGTTATTATAGCTCTGTAGTATAGTTTGATGGCAGGTAATGTGATTCCACCAGTTTTATTCTTTTTGCTTAGGATAGCCTTGGCTATTCTGGGTCTTCTGTGGTTCCATATAAATTTTAGGATAGCTTTTTTTTTTTTTATTTCTGTGAAGAATGTCATTGGTATTTTGATAGGGATTGCATTGAATCTATAGATTGCTTTGGGTAGTATGAACATTTTAACAATAGTGATTCTTCCAATCCATGAACATAGAATATCTTTCTATTATTTGGTGTCCTCTTCAATTTCTTTCATCAATGTTTCCTGGTATCCATTATAGACATATTTCAACTTCTTTGGTTAATTCCTAGCTTTGTAACTTTATCTGTGGTTGTTGTAAATGCAATTACTTTTTAAATTTCTTTTTCAGATTGTTCACTGTTGGGATATACAAATGCTACTGATTTTTGTGTGTTGATTTTGTATCCTGCAACTTGACTGAATTTGCTTATCAGTCTAATAGTTTTCTTGTGCAGTCTTGAGATTTTTCCAAATATAAGATGATATCATCTGAAAACAAGGATAATTTGACTTTTTTCTTTCCAATTTGGATGTTCTTTACATCTTTCTCTTTTCTGATTGCTCTAGCTGGGACTTCCAGTGCTATGTTGAGTAACAATAGTGACAGTGGGTATCCTTGTAGTGTTCCAAATCTCAGAGGAAAAGCTTTCAGTTTTTCCCCATTCAGTATGATACTAGCTGTGGGTCTATTGTATATGGTGCTTATTGTGTTGAGGTATTTTCCTTCTATACCCAGGATTTTGAGAGTTTTGATCATAAAGGTTGCTGAATTTCTTCAAATTCTTTGTCAGTATCAATTGAAATGACCATGTGGTTTTTGTCCCTTATTTTGTTGATAAGACGTATCCCATTGATTGATTTGCATATGTTGAACCATTTTTGCATTTCTGGGATAAATCCAACTTGGCTATGATGAATCATCTTTTTAATGTATTGTTTAATTTGGTTTGCTAGTATTTTGTTGAAGATTTTCGCATCAATATGCATCAGAAATATTGGCCCAGAATTTTCTTTTTTTGAGGTGTGTCTGGTTTTGATATCAGGGTAATACTGGCCTTGTAGAATGAGTTTTAAACTATTCCCTCCTCTTCTGTTTTTAAGAATAGTTTGAGTAGGCCGGGTACAGTGGCTCACACCTGTAATCCCAGCACTTTGGGAGGCTGAGGCAGGCAGATCATGAGGTCAGGAGATGGAGACCATCCTGGCTAACACGGTGAAACCCTGTCTCTACTAAAAATACAAAAAATTAGCTGGGCATGGTTGCGAATGCCTGTAGTCCCAGCTACTTGGGAGGCTGAGGCAGGAGAATGGCATGAACCCGCGAGGTGGAGCTTGCAGTGAGCCGAGATCGCACCACTGCACTCCAGCCTGGGAGATGGAGCGAGACTCCGTCTCACCAAAGAAAAGTAGTTTGAGTAGAATTGGTATTAGTTCTTCTTTAAATGTTTGGTAGAATTCAACAGTGAAGCCATTGGGTACTGGGCATTTTTTTTTACTGGAAGACTTTCGTGGCTTTGATCTCGTTACTTGCTGTTCAGGGTTTCTTCATGGTTTAATTTTGGTAGGTTCTATGTGTCTAGGAATTTATCCATTTATTCTAGATTTTCTAATTTATTGGCATATAGTTGCTCATAGTGGCATTAATTATCCTTTGAATTTCTGCAGCATCAGTTGCAATGTCTCCTTTTACACCTCTGATTTTGTTTATTTGGGTCTTCTTAGTCTGGCTAATGATTTGTCAATTTTGTTTATCTTTTCAAAAAACCAACTTTTTGTTTCATTGACCTTTTGTACTGTTTTCTTCATTTCAAATGAATCATTTCTGCTCTGATCTTTATTATTTCTTTTCTTCTACTAATTTTGGGTTTGGTTTGCTCTTGCTTTTCTAGTTTTTTAAGATGAATCATTAGATTGTTCATTTGAAGTTTTACCTCCTTGGTGGTCTTGGATAAGATCCGGAATTGTCTGGATTACCAGGCAGGGACTTTTGTTCTTTTCTCTTACTTTCTCCCAAACAATGGAGTCTCTCTATCTATGCTGATCCACCTCGAACTGGGGGTGTAGTGATGCAAGCACCCCTTTTGCCACCACCACTGGGACTTTGGTGGGTCAGATCCGAAGCCAGCACAGCACTGGGCCTTGCCCAAGGCCCTTCCCCCTTCAGGGTGGCAAGTTGCCCCCAGGCTCTAGGCATGTCCAGATATGCTGTCTGAGAGTCAGGGATTAGTGTCAGAAACCTTAGCAATTTACCTGATTTCTATTCTACTGTGGCTAAGCTGGCAGTCAAGCCACAGTACAAAGTCCTTCCTGCTCTTCCCTCCCCTTTCCACTGGCAGAGGAGCTTCTCTGTGTGGCCACCACCAGCACTGGTCCACTGAGGGTTCTGCCAGCTCCCTGCCGATCTTCACTTAAAGCCCAAGGGCTTGTGATGAATGCTGCCAGGTCTGGGACTCATCCTATTCAAGGAAGTGGGCTTCTCTTTGGCCCAGGGCAGGTCCAGAAATGCTCTCCAAGAGCCCAGGCCTGGATTTGGGGTCTTCAAGAGCCTACTTAGTGCTCTACCTCACTGTGGCTGAGCTGACACCTAAGGTAGAAGAAAAAGTCACCTTTACTTTTCCCTTCGCTTTTCTCGAACAGAAGGAGTCTTTCACTGTGACCATCACAGCTGGGAGTGTGCTGGGTCATCCATGAAGCCAGCACTTCTCAGAGCCCCAGGCCCATGGCGTACTCCCTGGGTATCACTGCTGGTTATTCAGGGCCTAAGGCCTCTTTAGTCAGCAGGTGATGAATCTTGCCAGGACTGTGCCATTCCCTTCAAGGCAGTGGGCTCCCTTTTGGCTCAGGGTGTGTCTAGAAATGTCATCCATGAGTGAAAGCCTGGAATGGAGGCCTCATGACTCTGCCCAATGCCCTATTCTACTATAGCTGAGCTGGTATCCAAGATGCAAGAAAAAGTTCTCTTTACTCTTCACTCTCCTTAAGTAGAAAGGAGTCACTTTTACTGCTGTGAGCTGTGCTGGCTGGAGTTGAGGGAGGGATAGCACAAGCACTTCCTTAGCTGCGCCAGCTGGTGTCTCCCCAGGTCGTATGCCACCCTAGTCCACTAGCTGGTCTAGCCTAGCACTAGGAGTTGTGTAGGAATTGCAGTCCTTGTGTCCTACACTGCTTTTCAAGTTTACCTAGGTGCCCAGAGCACTTCAGCCCACCATGGCGAAGCTTGCTGAGAAACTCAAGTTTTGACTGCTGGGATGGATGAGTCTCTTCTGGCTAGGGCTTCTCCACATGCTCCATCTGTGTATGAACACTGGCTGAGCCCAGCATGGCTTTATGCTCCACTGTGACAGGACAGCACTGAGTTCAATGTAAAGTCCTCCAGTCACTGTGCTCTTCCTCCCCAGCATGCACAGATTCTCTCTCTGTGCAGCAAGGCCACTGCCAGGGAATGGGGGAGGGGTGGTGTCAGTGATTGAAGACAGTCTCTCCTGTCTTCCTCAATGCCCCTTTTGGTGATATAAAGTTAAACCCAGGTACTGTGATTGCTCACTTGATTTTTTTTTTTTTTTTTTTTTGGTTCTTGTGACAGTGCTTTTCTGTGTACAGACAGTTGTTAAAATCTGGTGTTCCAGGCCGGGCATGGTGGCTCATGCCTGTAATCCAAGCACTTTGGGAGGCCGAGGCGGGTGGATCACGAGGTCAAGAGATCGAGACCATCTTGGCCAACGTAGTGAAACCCCGTCTCTACTAAAAATACAAAAATTAGCCAGGTGTGGTGGTGCACGCCTCTAATCCCAGCTACTCAGGAGGCTGAAGCAGGAGAGTCGCTTGAACCCAGGAGGCAGAGGTTGCAGTGAGCCGAGATTGTACCACTGCACTCCAGCCTGGAGACAGAGCGAAACTCTATCTCAAAAAAAAAAAAAAAAAAAAAAAAAATTGGTGTTCCAACAGGGGAACAAAGGGTACAGACTTCTATTCTACCATCTTGCTCCACCCTCCCCACCCACCCGCCAGGATTTTATGTCTTTTAAAACCTGGTATTTGCTTTCTAGGCTGGATCTGATTCTGCAAAACTAGCATGGCTAGTCAGATTTCTACAAGACTCCCAAACACAGTTTCCTTTTTTCAGAGGGAATCTCCAGGTTAAGAAGCAACTGATAGAGTCTCCACTTCATTATTTGGATTTCAGATTGGCTTGGCCACTTGGATCTTTTTTAGCAAGGCCTGCCTTGGGGGCATTACATTAGTAAAACCCTCTGGGTATGTCTTAGTGATTCACATTGGTTACTCCTAGGGTTACCAGCCAACCATCTTGTTTTGTCCATGACTGAGAGATGTTCAAGGATATGGGACTTTGAGGGCTAAAACTGGACAGTCAGTCACCTGTTGTGCTAAACCCCTATCAACTCCAATGGGGATGGCAGAAGGTTCAAAAGGCCAAAGAGACACAGAGCCAGCAAATAAGACACAGAATTTTATTTACTTACAGGGAGAAAGTCTAGCTGTGGCAGGCTGGACAGGAAAACCACATGGCCCAGTGGCAGTGGGCTGGGCAGGATAACTGCAACCTTCATTCAACCCAAAGCTCTGGACCTCAATCCCGTGTACAGTCTGTGTTCCATGGGGCAGGCCGGGGGCTCAGATGTTCCTCATAGACATGGAATGAATCTCCAGATTAGCCACTCCTGGGTTCCCTAGCTCAGAACATACATTCAGGTGCATCTGCCATACAGAGTCAGTCTCAGGGTATGCTTAAGTTATTGTTATCAGGTGTGTTTAACCTATACCACCTTTCTTCCTTTGATCATATAATCACCTTGAAAGATAAAAGGGATATATAAGATTATGTTTGAGAGAAGACAAAACCAAGGTTCAGAGAGGGTGACTTACGCAAGGTCACACAGAGCATTCTGGGTAGAGACAATAGGACATAGTTTTTGGCTCTATCTATTGAGGAGGCATGAAAAGAATGTTTAGGGATACACGTCCATGTCACACCCAGGTGGCTGCTTAAGGAAAAGCACTTTGATTTTTTTTTTTTTTTTTTGAAAGAGCCCTGCTGTGTTGCTCAGGCTGGAGTGCAGTGGTGCTCACTCACAGCAGATCTCGGCTCACTGCAACCTCTGTCTCCCGGGTTCAAGCGATTCTCCTGCCTCAGCCTCCCAAGTAGTTGGGATTACAGGCATGTGCCCCAAGGCCCAGCTAATTTTTGTATTTTTAGTAGAGATGGGGTTTTGCTATGTTGGCCAGGCTGGTCTCAAAGTTCTGGCCTCAAGTGATCTGCCCACTTCGGCCTCCCAAAGTGCTGGGATTACAGGCATGAGCCACCGCATCCAGCCTAGCACTTCGATTTTTAACTGTGAATTTAATTAACATACTTATGATCCCCATATTTCATGGAGAGAGAGAGAGAAAATGATAACCCGAGAAACAACCCTTCTACTTCTACATATCCTAGGTCACAGCTGCCAAAACTGACTCCATCAGAAACACCTGGGGAGGTTTGACCACACAGGGATAATTAAGTCCCACCCACAAATACTGATTTAATTACTTTGGGAGTGGGGCCTAAATACTCACAAGATTAAAAACCTCAACAAGTAACTCAGATGTGCAGCTAGGATTAATAATTACCGTTCTACGTCGGTGTTTTTAAAACTTCCATGAACATATGAATCACCTAGGAATTTTGTTAAAATGCAGATTCTGATTCAGCAGGTCTAGGGAAGGACCTAGAGTCTGTATTGCTAAGAAGTTGCCCAGAGATGCCGATGCCCATAATGATTGCATTATTGTCGTTCCTTAAATATAGTCTGAATTCATAGTAATTGCTGAGTTCCTGGGCATTGAGTCTAGTCAGAGGTAGTGCCTTGCCAGATATATTTAAATCGATGGGTTCAAACCCCCTCCTTTGTAGCCTTTAAATTGGATTTTTAAAGCATTCTGTCTTTAAGTTACTGGTAGTTCCAACGTCATATCTATTGTTCTTTGGATTCTTGTGTATGTAGAGTCAATTCTGCTTTTGCTACTAGTGGAAGGCATGTGGAATTGCACACATTGCTGAGATTCAGAACTCCTGCTTCTCATTTGACTAATTGTCTCAGGGTTGGCCTTTTCCCCTGGATACCACAGAGATGCTGAAGATCCTGGAATGAATTGTGTTAACTCTCCTGAGACTGAAATCTGGGACATGAAATTTGATCACTTGACCCAGATGCCTTCTCCCAAAGACAGAATTTGTTGGCATTCTCAGTTCTGTAGACGTCCTTTCCCTGTTCTTGGTTCCATAGGGAACTTCAGGGACCTCTCACTCCTCCTTGGGGTCTTTTAGAATAAAGCTATTGGGGGGTGATTCAGAGTGGTGCTTTTCATTTTCACACCTCACCAGTACATTTGCATAATGGGTGTAATTCTGAATATGTCTAAACAGAGGAGGAAAAAGTGAATGGCATTGCAATTATAATGGAGGTGCAGCTCAGGCATTTGGGAATCTTTCAATTCTGCTATGTATAAAATAAGAATTGAACTCAATAATGTTTACCTATTAGTAAACTAAGTAAGGTTAATCATTATTTTCTACTTAGGCTTTCATTTTAGTATCTTCTGGAATATTCAGTATGTTTGACATAGAAGCATTTGCTAGTTTACCCAGTGATATACATAACAATTTCTAATTTGGGTTAAATCTCTATAATGCTATTCCTTTGTGTCACCCTCCCCCACCTCCCATACTCTTTGCTTTCTATGTGGGACAGGGCTTATTTTGCTCAAATCTTGCTTTTTAAAAATAACACTGCTCCCAGGTATGCTTGATACCAGTTTCAGGGCTTGACCTCTGCCAGACATTTCCAGGAAGCACAAACACCAGCAACAACTCTCTGCAGTGTCTCTTTTCCTCTTGGCTGAATCATAGCCAGATGTATATCTTCAGCTGACATTTAACAACACCAGAATGTTCTTATGAGTAGGAGGAGTAGGTGACTGCTTCTGGGGACATGACTCAGAGGACTGGGAAAACCCTCCTTTTACCAAAATGCTTCCTACATTCTGTCTGATGCCTAAAATTCTCACAAGAGAACACTCTTATTGTGGTTAAGGTTCTAGTTCTTGTTAAATGCTCCGGTAGGGGGTGATGCTCCAAACCAGAGCTTTCCAAACTTAATGTGCATATGACTTACCTGGGGGATCTTGCGAAACTGCAGGTCTGGTTTCAGTGGGTCCAGGGCAGGGCCCCCTAGCCTGCAGTTCTGACAAGCTTGCAGGCGCGGCTGAAGTTGCTGGTGGGTGGAGTGCATTTTGGGTAGCAAGGCCAGATCAGCATTCTGAAACTTGGCTGCACGTCAGAATCTTCTGGGGAGTTTTACCAATCCTGAAATCCAGGCTGTACCCCGGACCAATTACATGAGACTCTGGGGGTGGGACCCAGACATAAGTAGTTTTTGAAGCTTCCCAGGTGATTCCACTTTGAGGCCACATTTGAGGATAAGTGCTCCAAAGCAGAGGCTCTCGACCCTAGCTGCTGATTAGAATAATCAAAGGAGACTTTAAACACACCAATGCCTGCCTCTACCCAAGATCAATGAAATCTGAATCTCAGGTGGTAAGGGTTAGGCGTTTGGATTTTTAAAAAAGCAGCCTGAATGTTTCTGGCATGCAGCCAGGTTTAAGAACTACTGCTCTGCTAATCAGTGTTTGTAACTTCATGTGGATGAAGTCTCCTCTGTGTGAGGTTTGGTGGGAGGAGAGGGAGAGGCAAGAAGTGGAAGGTTCAGAGAACTGGGAGCCCCAGGAAGAGCAGAGATGTGAAGAAAGCTGTGAAATGGAGAAAATGGGGAAGCTGACCATTTTGCACACTATGCAGCTTTGCCCAGGGCTGTCCTGGAGAGCGTCCACATCAGAGGATTTGGAAAGGTCTGATCATGACACTGTCTCAATGACTGGTTGGCCTGAGTAGCAGGCAGGGTGCAATGTGAAAGCCGAGCCTGCTAACTCTTTTCATTTTTCTCTGAATTAGATGCCTCAGTGAAGGTGACAAACTGCTCCAGTTTACCCAGGACTGTCTTGGTTTTAGCACTGGAAGTCTAGCATTCTGAGAAACTCCTCAGTCCTAGTTAAACTGAGATGGTTGTTCATCCTAGCCTTGCCTCTCCTCTGAAGTGGTGACCCAGATCTCAGTGTGTGGCTACCTCAGAGGAGCAGGTTTGTTCTTCTGGCTGGTCAGTTGGAAGAAAATGGGCCTTACTGAGTTCTTAAGTGTATTTCATTCATTGTTGGTGAATAGGGTCAGGTATTGTGAAGATGGCAGAGAATTTGGATAAACCTGATCCTGGATGCATGGTTTAAGGACAATTTGAATGGCTTCTCTTAAGTTTTTTTTAAGAACGTGTGGTCCCAATATATCCCCTCCCTCCACACACTCATGCATGCACACATATATGTATATCTCTGTTTGGTTGGCAGAGCACTGACCTACATAGGCGCAGAGGCCAAATAGATCCCAAGGAAATGAGAAAAATCATGGTCTGTGCCGAGCTCCCATCTGACAGATGGGTGTAACCTACTCAGAGAGTATTTTCAAAGCATGTGGCTTGAATGCAGATTAATGTCATGCAAAATGAATATGAAAATGTTAAGGCACCAAGTCACAGAGTAAAATGCCGCATCAGAGGAAGATGGGGTTAATCAGGAAAGACCCTTTTGAAGATGTGAATGTCATTTTATAAAATGAGGATAATGTCGCCTTTCTACAGGAGAAAAAAAAAAAAGGCGAGAAACACCAAAAACCAAAACCACTCAAAGTGCTCATTAAAGGGAGGAGTAAAAACTGGATGATTCAATGGTCCATGTTCTAGTACACAGACTTTAGAATATAATCTCTGAGGTAATCCACTCTCAGCACAATTGAAATCTGCTTTTGAAGCTATTTCAATTTGTGTTATCAGGCCGCTGGTAGCTGGTTTCTTTGACTTAGAAGCCATCAGGAGTTCTTTGCCTGAATCAAGACTTTGGATTAGACTCTTGAGCAGTGGTTCTCACATTTAAGCATGTGTCAGAATCATCTGGAAGACTTCTTAAGGAGAGGCTGATCCCCCACCCCCAAGTTTCTGATTGAGGTCTGGGGTAGAACCTGAGAATCTCCCCTTTTAGTAAATTCTCAGGTGATGCTGATGTTACTGGACCAGAGATCACACTCTGAGAAAGAATGGACTAGTGTTGTCCTTGAGCAGGTTTATAGACACAGTAGCATAGCTCTTCCTAGAACAGACCTTGCCATTTAGAACATCACGACCAAAACTGAAGATGTCAAAGGGATGAAAATTGGAAGCCAAGAAAGCTAGATGCCATCTGGGGAAACAAACAGAAAACATCCTAATTTTTGTTTGTGGCTAGCACTACAGCTATCCACTAAAAACATGGTGTTTCTGGATTTTATACATGTGCAATTAAAATGAATCCTCACTATTGTGACTTAAAGAGAATCCTAGTCTTTGGAATGAAAAGATACTGTTTTCTCATGAGTGATAACAGAGTCACCAAATTCTATTCTGAGCGTATATGTTAGAATATGTCACGAAGTCTATTTTCTTCCATGACAGGGTCATCTTATTGGGTAACCACTGGGACCAATGAATTTCTTAGCAGTTTAGCTATATCAATGGTGAAATTCAATCAGTGGCTTTAGGAAACACTGCCATATGTGTTTTAGTTAAAACTGTGTATTTTGAGTTAATGCAAGATAGATAGCTCTACTTACTTTCTAAGGTTAGCTGAACTACAATGCCTAAAGCAAATGCTTCAAACTTCTGCAGGAGAAGTACAAGTAAGTTGTAGTGGACTCTGTTTATGACTGATCCACCATCCATTTTCTCTTTTCTTTGTTTCCCAATAGCATCCCAATTTTGTCCAGGTATCTGCAAGTCATTTATTTACCAGGTAATCTTAGCAAAAAACTGTTAGGGAGTGGAGAGAAGAGGCAGGGAAGTGAAAGAAGCCAATGAAAGGTATGTTATGTGAGTTACCACTGTGGGCTACTGGAGCTCAGGCCTGTTGGGGAAGTGTAGTGATATTGGGTGTGCTGCCAGGAGACAATTCTTCATGTCTTTATACATCTTTTGGCAGCTATTGTCCTCATCTATGTTTTCAAGGATGTTAGCATAGCAAACGGCCTTGGAATATAGACATAGTGTCTCCATTCAAGGGCAAAGTGCTGATTTGTTTCCTGACCAAGACGATAAAGAGAATGTCTTTCTTGGGGACAAAGGTTGGGTAGGTTTGCTAGTAGCCCTTATAAGATTGAAGGTTTCTAAGCTTGGAGTCTTTCAGCTATGACACAGATCTACTGTGTGCATAACATCCACTGAGACTCCTCAACATCACCCTGTGAAAATTGGGTGTCAAGGGGGAACAAATAAGGACATGAAGCTCATGCCGCCTGCTATGCCATGAGTAATAATGTCCTTTGTCTCTGACCCTGGGGTCTACTGTCTTCTGCCAGCATGCATGAAACTGTGGCAGTCTAACCTCCTGGCTTTTGGGCAGTGTAAAATCTCAGAACCTTCACAGTCCTTGACAGATGTCTCAGCCTTATTCCTTTTGAGGGATGATAAAGCTGGGGTATTTAATAACCACTGGTCATTGGTCGAAGGCTACTCCCACGAGGCCTTAAATCTTCAACATTTCCACCTTTCTGCATGAACAGGCTGGGTGACTTTCCACAATTTTGTTGAAAGCCTCCAGACAAAGAGATGTAGATGCTGCCATTTAGAATTGACAAGTGCATACTTTGAAATGGTAAAGCCTGAAGAATATAGGCAGGGCACAAAAAAGGTCTGCTATTTCTTCCCTGGTGTCCATGTGCCTCATTTTGGAGACTACTAGTGAAGAGCATGAGAGGGACATGTTACAAGATGAAGCCATCAGAAGTAAGGGGCACCAGATCACTGAAGATCTTTAGAGCCATATTAATTAATTTGAGCACGGTGGGGAACCACAGGGTTTTTAAAGCAAGGTAGCTACTATTTATTGAGCATCTACTATGTATTAGGCATCATGCCAGGAACTTTAAATGTATTAATGTACATCTTAACCTTCATAGCATTATTTTTATGATTTTATGTATAAGAAAAAAAATTAAAGAAAATTTAAGAAACAAACTCAACATTAAACGCTAATATTAATTTATCCCTTTATTTAAAAAGTAAATGTGGCAGCCCTCAAGCCAGCTGTCTTTGCTCTGAGGCCAATGGTGTTTTCATTATGCCATAGCTACTGCTTTTCTTCAAACATTTTCTACATATGAAGAAAATGCAATTCCCAGTGTGAAATGATTTATCTTAGGTATTGGATTGGTTTTTGACCTCTCATTTTATTATTGAATAAGAGAAAGTTTATATCTTCATTAAGCTAATATATATAACGACTATGCAATAACAATTTATTATTTATTTAACATAAAAATTATTATGCTAAAGCCAAAACCAGTTTGAAGTTGATCAATAAGTTTCCTTAATTAAAGTGCTTAATATTTTCCATAATTCAACTGTTACATTTTTGAGAATCATTCCAATCCAAGTTACCTTCTAATATTTAAAAAGTCTATAAATTAATATAATACATATTCAGGTAGAAAAACTCCAAATATACTGAAGTTTTCATGTTTACGTAAGCAAATCCTGTGTTTTTATTGCCATGTAACCATATCCTATTATTTAAAGTGGATGATTATGTCCGAAGAGCCATTTGCATTTATGTTACTCATGGTTCATAAATAAATCTCTTCTCCACTCCTAAATCACAAAAGAATCTTTTGAGATTAAATCTTCCATGATTTATCTTAGCTCCCATGTAAGACTATTGAGAAATGTTGGCAAAAATAATCTAGTTATTTTTGAGCTTAGAGATGAAAGTAAAGAATGTCTACTTTTTGAAAGCTAGCTAGGTGTTGACTTTTTTTCCTGTAAACATTTATCCTAGATGTTTAAAAACAATGTGGAAATTTAAATGGAAAATGTTTCTGTATAAATATGCTTAGTACAGAGATTTTGGACTTTTAAACGAAAGGCTTTCTCAATTACAAAGTACTTCTTAGAGCATTTTTTCCTCTATGCTTTCCCTAGACTGACTAAATGTCAGTGCTACATTGAAAAGGAACATGAAGAATAAAATTCAGGCCTAAAATTAGGCTATTGAAAGAGTTATCTGATCCCCTACATATTTTTGTAAACTCACATTTTAAAATTATGTCTAACAAATGATAATATGCCTGGACTCTATTTAGGAATATTTATCTATTTCATACTTAAATATAACAACACACATTTATGGCAGGTTCCAGCGTTCCTTTGGTGACCATATTTACGGTAGGCAGGCATTAAGACCTGCCTTAAAAATTCATTCTTGTAATGTCGGTGTTTGGCTCATCATTTCTAACTCTGTCAAGATAGGGGCCTGGAAGTGATAGAGCTGTAAGAATTCAGCTTTCAAGGAAGACAACATATCTATTGTCTCACTTTAGTTAAAATTTATTTAGAAATGCCTATAGAATTTGGTTGAAAACTACATCTTCAAACAAAAGTTAATAATCTATGTTGTAAAATGAAAGGTTAGAGCTTCTTCAGGAAACTAGGGGGTCATTATCAGCCTCCAAGAATACCATCTTCCTCAGATTCCCTAGGTCCTAGGAAGGAAATAAGATGGGTACTTGGGGACCTGAGATCAATTCTCCAGACACTGGGATTATCACTCCCTCATTTACGGAAGGAAAGCTAAGGCTGCTTTTCACCTGTTGGGCCAGCTGTTCTGGAAAGGTTGGAAGTCACCTGAGGGAGGGAAGAGTTGAAGGATAAATTCTGACTTTCTAGCCCAACATCGTGTTTGGGGAAGGAGGGCCATTAACTAAGAATACAAGGTGTGGCCATCTGAAGAGCATTCTAGGTGATATCCTGGGACCCCTGGCTTAAATGCCTGAGAGAGAAAACTACATATATCCAGAAGAGGGAATTACCTAGGGTCCAGGCCTGCCAAGGCTGGCCAGAGCAGCCCTGCCTTCAGAGGAAGTGTCCTTCTACTAAAGAGTTATGAGTGCAGGTGGAAACTGACAGAATAGCAGTAGAGACTTCCACACAGAAGAGGAGTGAATGAGTTTGATCAGCAGTGCCTGGCTAGGACTCATCCTGTTTCTTCTCTTAAGTGAGTGGAGCTATGGAGATTCCTATGCTTATATGCAACTGCCCAGTCCCTAAGAATTCTGAAATTCAACATTCTCAGAAGTAAACTTGTCACCTCAATTAACTTTTCTCTTCTGTATTCTCGAGCTTTCTTGGTTGCTGGCCCAGCCATCTACCCAATCAACTTGTCCATCATTCCTCATAAACAAATTTGTCAATCTTTCCATCCTTCATACCCCATGTCTGATACCACTTTCTTGGTTTAGGCCCTTATCTTTCTCCACATAACATAGCTATCAAGTTTTTGGACATAAAATACAAATCTGGCTGTATCACTCCACTGTCACTGCCAAAAATAGTCAATGCCCACCCCTCTTGCTGCCTATGGGATTAAAAAGAAACTTCTCTGCATGGCAAAGTGGTCTGCTGATAAACCAGTTCTATCAAAACAAGAAGGCCCTGATTTTGACTGGTTGCAAATTTCCATGGTGTAAATACCCCCACCATGGCCAATTCCAAAGCACAGTTTATCGACCAAATCACACAATTTCCAAATAATTAACAATTAGCTGCTAGCTGGCTCTAGCACACCAAATGCATCAAACTCTTGAAGATACGGTGCCTGACTACTTCTGTCATCACTAGCCAATCCTTTCTCAAAGCTATGCTCTGGGATGTGCTTGTAGCTCCCTTTGTATTCCAGGCTGCTTATTGCCGGCATGCTTTTGTTCATGCTGTCTGTAATGTCTGTCCACAGCACCCCTTTTCACCACCCCCTTGGGGCAAAACTCTTATCTTCATCTTGCTAAATTCTTCCATCCTGGCTTAGGTAAACTTTCAAGGAAGACTTTTTTCCTTCACTTTGTCTTCATTTGCATAGCCCAGAAGTAGGCCCTGAGTTGAAGATTCACATGTAAGTGATTTATTAGTAGGTGTTCCCAGGAAAAAACCAATAGGAGAGTGGGGAAGAGAGACGGACAAAGAAAGGAGGCCAAGCAAAGATGTGGTGGTGTTCCCATGGAGAGTAACTTTGGTGCCTTCTTATAAGGGACTTTTGCAGAAAGTGTAAGTTACACATTAAAGTTGCCTTGATCAAGGGCAAAGGAGCTGGCATATTTATATTGCTATACTTGTCGGTCACGAGAGCTGCCCCCGGGAAAACAAATTCCCAGGCACTTCCAGCTCTCTGTGCATGCGCACAGACAAAATGGGCTCTTGCAGCCTGAGAGCTGTCCTCCAACAAAGAGACACAGTGCTGGCAGCTGGGAATGAAAGTGACCTGAAGCTGATGTGCATGAAAATGCAAAGGGATTCCACAGGATATGGGCAGGGTACTGGCAGTGCATGAAATATACCCTACTCTCCAAAACACACATGCATGTGTGTGGGCACATGCACAAACACACACATATCCCTCAGGCTGGTTTGGGTTCCTGATATGGTTTGGGTCTGTGTCCCCACCCAAATATCATCTTGAATTGTGCTCCCATAATTCCCATGTGTTTTGGGAGAAACCTGGTGGGAGAGAATTGAATCATGGGGGTGGCCTCTCCCATACTGTTCTCGTGGTAGTGAGTAAGTCTCACGAGATCTGATGGCTTGATAAGGGGAAACCTGTTTCACTTGGTGCTCATTCTCTCTCTGGCCACCTCCATGTAAGAAGTGTTTTTCACCTTCTTCCATGATTGTGAGGCCTCCCTAGCCACATGGAACTTTAAGTCCATTAAACCTATTTATAAATTGCCCAATCTGGGGTCTGTCTTTATCAGCAGCATGAAAATGGACTAATACAGTTCTCCTCCACAGTACTTCTATCTCACCACTATTGCAGTTACCTCATGGTTTAGAGTAATTTCTTCATGTATCAGTGTCCTTCATTTTACATGACCACCTTGAGAATAGGGGTCATTCATCTTTGTACAGTGCCAGGCATAAAATACGTGTTCAATAAATTGTGTATAGATTAAATGCATGAGGGAGGAGACCATAGTGACAACTAATGGGAGCAACTGGGATGAGGGAAGGGGCATAGGTGGAGTAGAGTCTCAGAAAGACTGGATAGGAAGTTGAGGCACATGAATTTTTGAGTATAGCCCAGGTCTTAAGCTTTCTTGTTTGCTGTGGTCTGCAAAGATAGCATTAGCACAACATAATCTTGCTAAAACTGGGAAATGGTTCTTCAGGCCCCCTGGGGATTAGCTTTTTGCTATTTTTCCTGTCAAGAAGCATTCTAAATTATCGGAGACACTTAGAAATTATGGGTAAAATGTTGGCATTACAAAAGAACCTATGCCAGGCCTCCAAGCCAGAGGTTAGAGGAGGCTTGAATGCATTGTTCGCAGGGATTTCCCTGAAGTCTAATTAGCATCTAAGAACACTTCAAACTGCAGCTCCATTACTTGCAACATGTAATTATGGATATTACTAGCATGTCTAATTTGACACGTAACGTAGAGGGCGAACATTAAGTGGGAGCTGTAACATTTGGCAACATATGCTGCAGAGTTCAGTTTTTCACTGACACTAGAATCATCTGTGTGTGCCAAACAAGCCTTTTGAAAATGACAGATATTAGGAAAGCAGCGAGAGAGTAGTATTTCTTCCTCCTTCTCCTCTCTCAAGTTAATAGTTCAATGCAATTAAACTATATGATCTATGAGGAAAATGGAATTCTAATTAGCATTGATAACAAACCATTCACCCGCTGCTCTTGAATATTAGAACATTTGTTTCTGGCCAATTCTGTTCCCTTAGAATTCAGGGCATTTGAACCAATTGGGGTAATCAGTGGGCAATCAGTTTGTTTCTGGCCAATTCTATTCCCTCAGAATTCAGGGCATTTGAACCAATTGGGGTAATCAGTGGGCATTTGAGTCCAAGAGGAACAAAAGGAGGTATGATACTTATCTGGAAAACCTTCAACATATCTAAACAAGAAAAGACTAAAAACTATAAAAGAGAAATCTGAGATAAGGCGTAAGAAAAATTACAGTATTATTAAAGTGTTTTGTTAAAATAACAACCCTGCCTTTAGTAAAGATCCATCTCCTTTGCCTCAGTCTTTATGATTTTCTCAAGAACTCAGGGTTGAATATTTGAGGTCATCCACCTCTTTTAGTCCCTCTATCTGGTTATGGAAGTTCTCTTTTCTTATACCTTCGGAGTCATGTACACGAACCTGTCTTTGGGATAGATGGAGCAGGTGTCTGTTGACATGGGTTTGAGGAATTTCAGGGGGCACCATTGATTTGGGTCTGGAAGATGGTTCAATCTTTAAAGAGTAGACAATCACATTCAATTTCCTAAAAGAGGGCAACAAGTCAATTGGTTGCCACCTATAGGCTTAAAGGAATTGATTGACAGATATCACACCAGGGGTTTGAATGTGGGTTGGAGGAGGCAGCAGGAAGAGAGAAAGAAAGGTAGAATGCAGAGATAGGATGCTGGTAACAAAATATCAGTTTCAAGTTTTGATGAAGTCTGATTCTATGCATAGCATCCTCCATCCTCAATGATGCTCTGTAAGACTGCATCCCTCTTTAGCTTTTCAGACCCATCAACCTATGTGGAGATGTTGGGCTAATTTATCTCCATACTTCTCTCAACACCTTTCATAATTTCACTCCCATGTTGAATGAACCAGTCTTCCCCTGGTTCTTTAGCTGGGCCTCTGTACCAGGCACTGGCCACTAAAAAGAAAAATGATGGCTTCAATCTAGAGGAGCTACCTACCCTACCTCAAGACAACTCTTTAGTCCCACCCTTAGTTCCTTATTAAAACCATACCCCTGGAAATGTAAGTTAGTACAGCTACATGGAAAACAGTATGGAGGATCCTCAAAACATTAAAAATAGAAATACCATACAATCCAGTAATCCCACTGCTCAGTATAGATACAAAGGAAATGAAATCGGTATGTCAAAGAGATATCTGCACCCCCTCTCATGTTTGTTGCAGCACTATTCACAACAGTCAAGATATGGAATCAACCTAAATGTCTATCAACAGATGAGCTGATAAAGAAAATGTGGTATATATACACAATGGAATACTACTCAGCCTTAAAAAGAGAAGAAGTTCTGTCATTTGTGACAACATGCGTGAACCTGGAGGACATTTGCTAAGTGAAATAAGCCAAAAACAGAAAGGCAAATCCCACATGATCTCACTCATATACATGGAAGCTAAAAAAGTGTAACACATGGAAGCAGACAGCGGAATGCTGGTTGCCTGGGCACTGGGAGAGGGGTGGTCAAAGGATACAAAATTTCACTTAGACAGGGTGAATAAATTCAAGAGATCTATTGTACAACACAGTGACTATAATTAATAACAATGTATTATGTTCTTGAAAATCGCTAAGAGTAGATTTTAAGTGTTCTCAGCACAAAAAAATAAAAATGTGAGGCAATGCATATGTTAATTAGCTGGATTTAGCCATTGCACAGTGTCTACCTATTCCAAAACATCATGTTAGATACCATAAATATAAGTTTTATTTGTTAATTAAAAATACATTCTAAGAAATAAAATTTTAAAAAGACCCTACCACTTGGTGCGTCTCTGGTCCCAGGCACCTGGCAATGTGTCACCCTCCTTCCCCCTCTTGCAGTTTTGTGCCCTTATGTTCCCTCTGGCATTCATATCTTGGCACCCCTTCTCTGGTTTTAGTTTTGCTTACTCCTGGCCTCAGAAGTGCTCCCTGCTGCCTGCTCTAGCCCCCATCCCTGCATCTCAAAGGAAAGGAAGGAGAAAATGTTCTTGTCTAATTCCCACTGCAAATCTGGGAGCTAATTCTGCCAAAAGAACCATGTGGCATTTATGGGAAAGACTAAAAGCACGAAGGGGAAGCGTGTAGTGTTCAGTGGCTGGTCGTGTTGAAATAGCCAACTTCATAATTAGAGCTATGGTCCTTGTAACACCTGCCTTTTGATCTCAGTACAGAATATATTAGGTTTAATAAACAGCCATTTTGCTGCCTTGTTTTCAACATTCACTAAAAACTTCACATTTTCTGGGTTCGTATTTGTAGCCCTGTTGAGGTTTTTATTTCTCAACCTGTTTCCTATTAAGAATAGAACCTGACGTAAATGACCTCCTCAAGAGAGAGGATCTAGAGCAGTGCTTCTCAAATGTGGAAGGAAAATTTCAATCCCCTGTGGGTCTTGTTAAAATGAGATTTTTTTTTTTTTTTTGGTTCAGTAGGTCTGCCTGAGATTCTGCATCTCCAACAAGCTCTCAGATGCTGCTGATGCTGTTGATCCAGGGATTACACTTTGAGTAGCTAGGATCTCGGTGATTCTTGATGCCAGATTTTTCAGCCATGATTAATGAGCAATAATCGTGTTAATAGAGGTTGGGTTTAAGACCCAGCATTTTCCCCAAGCATGTACACTATATATACTTCATTGTAAAAAGAATCTGGTAAAACTTTAGACCCTCAGGCAATAATGGTCCACTTGCAAATTTTTTTGTGCATCTTCTTAGACACCTCTTCTGATGAGTCTGAAAAAGTGGAAAGAAGATCAGAATTTTGATCCAGAACGATTTCTGTCTGTAGTAATATTTTAGGTTGATGTTGACTGCAGAGCTAGCACTGAACTTGAGGCTTCCTCAGGGGAGGTGTTCAGGTGTTGTAGATCTGAGACCCTAAGATACAAAAATAATCAGTATCAGTTAAAGCTCCCTAAATGCAGCATTCTTTCAAACTGTAAAACCATTCATGTGTAATTAACATTGGTGGCAAATAAGTCAGTGACTGTTTCTCATCTCCTATTTCTGATTTCTCATCTCCTCCCTTGAGATGCTTCTTTTGATTTCAGTTACTGATGCTTTATCACACATATTTTCAAAGTCACTGCAGAGAACCTAGTAAATCCTACCTTTTGTTAGTAGTAAAATTAGCCTTAGGCATGGTAACTGCCCTGGCAATGTGCTAGCTGCTGAATCACCAGGTGAAAGCAATGGAAATTCCAGGAAACAGAATATGACCCCAAGCTGGCCACAGGGCCCACTGGTCATGACATTGTATTATAACGTTTTTCTCCACCTAGCCTCCCCTTTTCTATTCTCTCTTTTCCCATCCCATTCCCCTTTCCAAGTTACCTTTCTCTTTTTATCTTCTTGATCCCCAGCAGACAGCACAGATAGCACATTGAAAACCGACTCAATGAAAGTGTGATGGTGAAGTCAGGGTTTTCCTCCAAGTCCTTGCCCAAGGCGCCTGAGATTGCCCAAGGCAAAGGTGTATTGTGCAGCCCTCAAGTAGAAACTCCTCCCTTGTTTCTGCCTTTATCCATCACTGTCAAGAAGGGGCCTCATAACAGTTTAAGCGTTTGTGTTTTGGTATTTAGGTTCGTATTTGTCATTTAATGAACTGGTGTTCACTGCCAGAGCTTGAGCTAATAGAAAGTGATAGATACAGGAAATATGAAAACTAGCAATCTCTAGGTTGTGGGCAGCATAAGTGAAAGTTCAGAAGCTTAGAATTTAAGGTAGATTTGCTGACCCAGCTTTCAAAATCCTAGCAGTGATTTACAATTGTAAATCCCCCACCTCCCTCCAGGTTGCTTTATCTGTTTTTCTTTTTTTCTCCCAAGCTTTAAGCAGGAGACTGAGACAATATGAACTCACAAATATTTAGCTTATTATTTTCCATGACCACGACTAAAGTCAATGGAAGAAGATACCATAGGTGTGCAATACTCAAGGAATTCCCAAGTAAGCAGATCCTGTTTAATTCAGATTTTTCCTTTCCTGAGCTCATCTTTTATCGAATGTACAAAGCCCTCCAAAACTTCTACAAAGATCGTTGTTCCATGCCTAGTTATGATTTAATTCATTTGCATGTGACAATTCTATCATCTCAGTACCATAAGGAGCAAGTCCCAGGGCAACAAGAAGTGGTTCCATTTTTAAGGAGGTCTCAGGTTTACTTGCTGAATTTCCAGCCAAGCTATTGACTCATCTCATTGTTATAATTGCAAGATTACTATCTTTCTGTAGCATTACACCTGCTGTTTCTAGATCCCTCAGACCCATACATTTATCTCCAAATGAACTTTATTTATACAAATTAATCTTGACAAGTTCCCCTCCTTTAATAAACTAAACTCCTCTTCAGATCTGCACTCAATAGCATTCATTTGGAATCCATCTTGGACTTTTGGACCAAATGCCACTCCCTGTGGGCAACCCAGCCCAGACATCTGTCATGGGGCCACATAGCTACATGTCCCTGCAACTCAGGAAACATCCATGATTCTGACTACCGAGTGTGTGAGTTTTTTGAATAAAGGGGCTGTATCCTTCCTTAATCTGTCCTTGTAGTATTTTAGCACTGTGACTTCTTGTTTTCTTCTAAATGAAAAATGGCTTTATTACTTACTTCTGATTATAAAAATAATCCATGCTTGGGGTAAAACTTTCAAATAGCACAGATTAGTATAATGCAATAAGAAAAACATTAAATTCCACCAATTAGGGATTAATATGATTCACAGCCTTCTGGACCCTTATCTGCACATAGACACAATTTAATGCAATTGGAAGGCACTCTTCTGGCTGAATAATATATTATTATTGTTTCAGTGAGTACAGATATCAAAATAGGTATTTATTTATTTCCACTGGACTGAATTGCAATATAAACAGAAGCCTATGGCTGTTTGTAATTCTTATGCCTTTCCTTATTTTTTTCCCCAACTCCACAATTTCTCTGAGCTCCTCTCCCTCTTCTTTAACCACAGCTCCCAGCACCCCTGAGGGGCAGCCTTGGCTGCGGCAGTTGCCAGGGAGAGGAAGAGAAGGAAGGATGTGCAGGTGGTCAGGCAGCAGGAGGGATGTTCCATGCTGTCACTTCCAAGAGAATTGGCCTTCTCTACTCCTGCCAGGTGGGAGTTGAAGTGATGTCAATCTCCCATTTTATACAGTCTCCTTATTTTTTGTACTCCATCCACCTCTTCGCCTCCTTCCCAAGCAGCAGAAGGAAGGTATCTGCACGGTCATCAAGCTCCTTTGGCAATTCTGAGTTAGAAGGTGCACAGCTACTCTTTGAGACATGCTGCTCTGCTCATTGCAGACCAGGTGCATCTTATGGCTAAATAGGAATTACCTGGGGAGGTGGTTAATAAAACAAACTCCTGCACCTCATCCCCCGAGATTCTGACCTGTAGAGCTGGGATGTGGCCCAAGACTCACTCTCTCTCTCTGTCTCTCTCTCTCTCTCTGTGTATGTGTGTGTGTGTGTGTTTTCTTCTTTTTAAAAATGATCCTGATGAGCATCCCGGTTGGCACCTGCTCTACTTTCTGGCAACTCAAAGTGTGGTTCATGGACTAGCTTTATCATCACCTGGGAGCTTATTAGAACTGCAGGATTTCAGGTATCACCCTAGACCTGCTAAATCAGAGCCTATACTTTAATAAGATCCCCAGCTAATTCATATTGCAATTAATGTTTCAGAAGCACTGCTCTACCCCAGTGCTGTGAAATGGGCAAATCCTTCTTTGTGGCATTTAAGTAAAACATTGTGACTTACTTGATTCCCACGTACTTAACTGGTAGTGAGAGTTCACAAAATATACCCACAACCTATGAGAATATTTTTATGAAAGAGATGGGGTAAACAATACCAATAATTTTAACCTAAAGGAAACTCTCCATCATTTTGAATCTTGGCCTATCCCTGATTTTATGCAAGGAACCAATGTTTACATGAATATTTTAGATTAAAGGTTGGAACTCAGCCGCATTTTAGCTCTTAAATCTACTCTTCCATCCTTAGTGTTGAGTTCTTGTCCTTGGGATTGCAAGATGGCTCCTGTGCCTTCATGAAGTATGTACACCTTCCATGAAGGAAGAATGGAAAATGGAAAGGGCCATTGTGTTTAGAAGTCTGCCTCTTTTAACAAGCTTTCTAAGCAGTTCCTCCCAATGATTTCCACTTATATGTCATAAGCCAGAGCTGGATCACATGACCACCCCAGCTGAAAAGGAAACTGGGCATCTTGCTACCTTACCCCCCAACTGGGGTTCTGTAACCAGATAAAAGGGGAACATGGATATTAGGTAGGTAGTTGGCAAGACCTGTCTCTATCACTAAGTTGTAAATAACTCACAAGATCTTTGCATTGTAAAGGGGAACAAAGCCTTAAGCCAAAGGAATAAACCTGGAATAGTAGAATTTCAAGCATTAGTTACTGTGTACTTAGTCTTTGTGTTTAGCGTTGAGAAATTCCTATTTACTCTCTGCTCTTAGTATGCAGAATATTTGCCTACTCTGTCTGGGTTTAAGTTGGACCTTACTTAGATAAGAAACCACAGACTCCGCAATGTGAGACTTACCTCTGCCCCATCTGGGCTCTGATCTGCTTTGGGACATGACGTTCCTAATCAGAGTCCCTAAAACAGAAACATCGTTCCAAATGCCTGCTTTTATTTAAAAAGTTGTTAGCATAGTTATCTTGAATTGTATTTTTTATAATCAGTTAATTGTTTTTATTTGATTGAGATTCTAATACAATCCATACATGTTTCCTTTTTAAAGTGATGACATATTTAAGGTAAGGGCTTAAAAAATCAAATTATTATAAAACCTCATGTTTCAATTGAGGATGCTCTGCTTTTCTTGTCTGGACAGGCCCTTGATCTAGCACTTATGCCGTCTCTGGTGGAGAGGAAAGATAGATGCCCTCCTGATCTCATGTTTAACGTTGAGAGACTATGAGGCAGGTCCTTAGGGCAGGTAAGCTTAGATATCTGTGAAAAATAGTGACTTCAACTAAAATAGAGTAGGTGATCAGGTCTGGAGATTGAGAGCAAGAGAAACTAGAGATCTATTTTTTTTTTTTTTTCTGCAGGCCAGAGGGAGGAATGTGAAGAATGAGACTGCTAAATCCTAACCACTAGACCACCAGGAAACTTAGAACTGAGAAGAATGAACACAGAAATCTCAATGGTTCCAGGAAGGGTCAGATGGACTGAGGATGCTTTGTGTGATTTAGACAAGGTACCAGGTAGAAATAGATACTGAAAAGTCCTAATAGAAAAAAGTGAAAAATTATTGAGGCCAGAGTGTTTGAAACAAAACCCAGATCAGAGTTGGCCAGAGTCCCAGCTTTCTGCTCCCCTGTAACTTCAAGGGATCTAGTTGGCACTCATGTGGTCTCCATGAGCCTGGGGAACTTTGTGGGATTGTATGTCATCACATGTATACAGAATGTTTAAAGTTTAGGGAAAGTTCCTTGTTCCAATTAGTATTGTTACACAATATACCATCCCAAATTAGTGGTATAAATAACAACAACCATTTTATTAAGCTCACAAATTCTGGGAGTCAGGAATTCAGGCAAGGTACAGTGATGACCCATGATGTGTAAGTTCTCAGCTGGGAGGACTCAGATGGTTGGGGGTGACTTGAATGGCTGGGGGCTGAAACCATTTGGAGGCTTCTTTTCTCACATGTCTGGGGTATGAGCTGGAACAACTCAATGACTGTTGACCTGAGGATCTATGTGTGGCCTCTCCATGTGGCTGGGTGAGGGGCCAAGGAGTCTCTGGAAGATGCGAGTGCTCCAAGAGAGTCCAGGCAAGTTGCTGAGCCCTTGTGAACAAGCCTTCGGGATCTCATAGCATGACCTTCACTTTTCCCTTGTGGTCAAAGTATCTAGAAGCCTTCCTGGATTCAAGGAGCAGAGTCATAAAGCAGCCCCCTCTTGATGGGAGGAATGGTAAAAAAATTTTAGGCCAACAGGCCAGCCAGCAAGCAAACAGATTCCTAGTCCCTAAACTTGGAACCTTGACTGTACATTTTCTAGCTGTGTGACCTTGAGCAAAAGACTCAGCTTCTCTGTTGTCTACTTTTCTCATCTACCAAATAGTAGGTGCCCATTTCATGGGGTTTGGATGATAACTAAATGAGATAAGCTTACACTGAAGCATCTAGCACATTGCCTGGACCATAACTGTTCAATACCACTTGAGCCTAAATCTGAAGAATGTTTGGCAGAATACCAAGCCTAAAGTTAGGCTTATTTTCTCAGGTACAGAAGCAAGGATTAAGTTGAAAGAGGTATTGTGCTTTTGACAAATGTAAAGACCTACTACCTGCCAGGCATGTCCTCCTAGTCAGGTAGAAATAGATACTGACAGTTCTAAGCCAGGAACAGTTCTAATTCGAGTTAGACTTGCATCCAAAACTACCAGACAGGACATTTCAGATGATTATGGACGCAAGTATTATCTAAGCATCTTATCCTTTCCTTGACCATAAATTCTTTCCAGAACTGAGCTTTAGAAAATCTCTTTGTACATGCTCAAGCTCTTCTCTGTGCAGGTTTTGCATATATTTTATTTGTCTATTCTTACGTCTATTAAACTTCTTGTATCCTTAAATATTGAATTGATTTAGTTGGATTTCCTGGAAAAAGAATGAATGCTCTGTCCTTAGATGAAGTCCTCATTAGGAGATGTTCTTTTCTGAGAAAATCATTGTGGTTCCTGGGTACTGTGCCATTTAGTTGACTTGGTGCAACAGTTTTAATTAATTAGTGAGAGGAATGCGATGAGCCTTCTGAGGAGGCTTTCAGGAGAGTCTAATAAGACAGACAGCAGTTCTTGCTGAAATATTACACACATCTTGCCGTGTGAGGAGCAGTGATCATGGGTACACAGTGAAAATTACTGGCAGCAAGAGCTACAGTGGATAACAGAATTCTCACAATCCAACAAGTGATCTTGCTCGTGAAAATAAAGGTAGATTAAGAGCTGCAGACTGGCTTTCTGTTCATGGAGCAGTTGGGTTCTTCTCATTTTATGGGTTCATCATGCCATGTTGTGGATAATATCTTTCTAGCAAAGTTCATTTAAATATGTGAAAAAGGAAAGCTTAGTAATAGAATATGAAATTATTGTGATCATTAGATTTGAAAGTAGTTCTTAAAATGTAATTTATTGTAACCAAATGTAGCTGATTCTTTTTGTGTCCCAAACCACATTCCCTCTACCTTTATGCGACTTCAGCCATAGCTGTGGTGGCCATTTCCTGTGTATGCTGAGGGGTTCTCCCCAGTGCCTGCTGCATCTTGCTCAGCCCTCACATAGAACATCCTGGGATATGGCAAGGAGTGGGGCATGGGGGTCAAAACCTCTGGATGCAACTCTGAAACAAAGGAGGACAGGAAAGGGCCCATAATGGCTTCCTCTCCTATGGAGGAATCATTCTGAGGCACATTCTACATCATTTCCAGTGTGCTCCCAGCAGGATTAGTCTCCAGCTGCCCACAGGATTAATCATTTCAAGAACATACCCTTCCTTAACTTTCTTCCTTGTCTGCCTTACTCTCCCTGCTCCTTCACTCCTGATCCCTGAGCTCACCTCCCCAGTGAGCTACCTGGAACCCCCCAATTAATATACCAAATATCCTTGCTTAGTTGGACCTGAAATTCAGATATGCCCAGAGGAAGGGGATCTCTCATTCCAACTTTAATATCTATTGCCTTGCACTGATTGTCATAGGAGCCAAGGCCGTATGTGAACAAGGGACTCAAATAGTGTCCTCAAAGTGGAATGGAATGGGGTAGGGAATAGGGCTTCTGAGAGAGACAGAGAGACTTCACCTAAAAGGAAGAAGAGGCCTGCTGTGATTCATTCATTTATTCAACGGATATTTATTGAGAATCTTCTATGTTTCAAGTACAGTTCTATATGCTGGAAATGCATCAGTGAATGAAAGCAACAGAAATCCTTGCACTCATAGAGTTTGTATTCTAGTGGAGGAAGACTGGCAATTAAAATAATAAAAAGTAAATTTTAATAAACATGGGAGTAAAGATATCTCTTTGATATGTTGACTTCCTTTCTTTTGGGTATTTACCCAGCAGTAAGATTGCTGGACCATATGGTAGCTCTATTTTTAGTTTTTTGAGGAACTTCCCAAATTGCTCTCCATAGTTGCTGTACTAATTTACATTCCCATCAACAGTGTATAAGGGTTCCCTTTTCTCCACATTCTTGCCATCATTCACAGTAGCCAAGATTTGGAAGCAACCTAAGTGCTCATTGACAGAGGGATGGATAAAGAAAATATGGTACATATATACAATGGAGTACCATTCAGCCATAAAAAAGAATGATATCCAGCCATTTGCAACAACATGGATGGAACTGGAGGCCATTATGTTAAATGAAATTAGCCAGAAACAGAAAGACAAACATAGCATATTCTCACTTATTTGTGGATGCTAAAAATGAAAACAATTGAACTCATGATGATAGAGCACAGAAGGATGCTTACTAGAGGCTTGGAAGTGTTGGAGGGGCAGGGAGGAAGTGAGGATAGTTAATGGTTGCAAAGCATAGTTAGAATAAATATATAATATTTGATAGCACAACTAGGTGACTAAAGTCAACAATAATTTATTGTATATTTAAAAAATAATTAAAAGAGTATAATTGGATTGTTTGTAACACAAAGGATAAATACTTGACGGCATGGATACCCCAATTACTCTGGTGTGATTATTACGCATTGCATGCCTATATCAAAACATCTCATGTAACTCAGAAATATAGACACATACTATATACCCACAAAATTTAAAAATAAAAAATTAAAGTAAATTTTAGATTATTTTAGAAGAAGATGTTAAGGGCTAGCATAGAATAATATAAGGGGGATTAGCAGTACAGGCGAAGAGGGGGATGGTGTTAACTTATGAATGAGGTGGCATGTTAGTTTGCTCAGGCTGCCATAACAAAATGGCACAGAGTTGGTGCCTTGAACAACAGACTTTTATATTCTCACAGGTCTGTAGGCTAGAAATCTATGATCAAGTGCCAGCAAACTCAGTTTCTGATAAGGGCTCTCTTCCTGGCTTGCAGATGGCTGCCTTCTCGCAGTGTCCCTGTGAAAAAGCTCTGGTGTCTCCTCCTCTTCTTATAAGAGCACTAGCCCTATTGGATTTAGGTACCACCCTTATTACTTCACTTAATTATTATTACCTCCTTAGAGGCCCTATCTCCACATACAGTCACATTGGGGATTAGGGCTTCAACATCTGAATTTTGAGGGGACACGATTTAGTATATAACAGATGGTTTGAGTAGATATCCTTTACAAGGTGACACTTCAGCAAAAACATGAAGTAAGCAAGTTATCCATGTAGATATCTGAAGGAAGAGAATTCCAGGAAGAGGGAATGGCCAGTACAACTGTCCTGGAGGGAAACTGGTCTATCCTGGCCAAAGTGTTCAAGAAATAGTAAAGACATCAGTGTGGCTGAAGTGAAGGCAGCCAAGGGAGTTGCAGGAGATGAGATTGGACAGGTAAAGGTGGCCCACGTCCTGTACAGCCTTCTAGGACATTGTGAGAATTTTTTGCCTTCTGGAGTGGGAGACATGGAAAGCCAAACTCAGCAACAATATCTAATGGGTGGATGAGGAGCAGTGATTTTAGGAATAGGTGGCATGGTGACCTACTTGACAGTGTCCTGATCCAAGCACCCTTGTGGCCTGATGTTGAATGAATGACTGAAGTATATGCTAGGAAGAATAAAACATTATGATTACTGGTCAAAACAAAAATGAAAACAAAAACAGTCATTAAACTATGTAATTAGTTGGGGTCCAAGCAACCTGTTTGTGGGTGTCATGTAATAAGGACTGGAAGTGCCAGCAGAAAACTGCAGCCATCACTGAGACTGCTCAGTATGGATGGAGCCCAGTGTTGACAGATGATCAGCACAGTAAAGGAGAAAGTCTTGTTGCAGATAGGATCAATCAGATAGACCAGGGGAGAGAGAGAGGGAGTTGAGAAATACAACCCCATGAGGCCAGATGTGGTGGCTCATAGCTCTAATCTCAGTACTTTGGGAAGCCAAGGTGGGAGGATAGCTTGAGCCCATGAATTCAAGACCAGCAACATAGCAAGACCCTGTCTCTCAAAAAAAAAAAAAAAAAAAAATTTACCGGGCTTGGTGGCATGCACCTGTAGTCTTAGCTACTCCAGAGGCTGAAGAAGAAGGATCGTTTGAGTCCAGGATATCAAGGCTGCAGTGAGCCATGATCACAGCAGTGCACTCCAGCCTGGGTGACAGGGCCAGATGCTGTCTCAAAAAGGGAAAGGAAAAAGAAAAAGAAACACACCCCCACGTATATAGGAATTAGAATATGTGAGAGAAGTCACATTTCAAATTAGTGATTATGCTGACACTTGGTTAATAATGTGGCAAAAAATTAATTTGGAGCTCTATTTAAATCCTCATAGATTGAATATTTGAAATCAAAAAAGTTGTTGGAGACTCAATATTTGTCTTAGGTTGGGAAGGGCTTTTTAACCATTACCTCACTGGCAGAAATCAGAAGGAAAAGACTGGCCAGGCATGGTGGCTCACGCCTGTAATCCCAGCACTTTGGGAGACTGAGGTGGGAGGATGGCTTGAGCCCATGAGTTTGAGACAAGCCTAGGTAACATAGTGAGACCCCATCTCTACAAAAATAAAAAACTTAAGCCAGGCATGGTGGTGCACGCCTATAGTCCCAGTTACTTGGGAGGCTGAGACAGGAGGATCGCTTGAGCCCAGGAGTTCAAGGCTGCAGTGAACCATGATCATGTCACTGCACTCCAGCCTGGGTGACAGATTGTCTCAAATAAATAAATAAATACATACATAAAATTTAAAAAATATTGAAATATTTGACCACAAAGATGTTCAGAAGTTCTATATGGTAAAAAACACTATATCTGTAAAACTGAAAAAATATATTTGCAACATTTATGACAGAGAAAAGATTAATAGCCTTAGCATTTAAAGAGCTATTATAAACTGATACAAAAAGAAAAACTAATAAAAAATGAATTAAGGCTGTGAATAGTAAACTTACTAAGCCTATGAACATTAAAATATGAAACAAATAAATGCAAATTAAAATAATGAGATATATTTTCTCAGAATAGTAAGGATTAAAAAGATTGCAGACACAAAGTCTTGGCTAAGATTTGGAAAAATAGGCACTCTTTCTTATAATACTGGTTGTTTCTGATGAATTATTCTGCTGAGAAATTTTGTAATATATATCATATCCAAGTATATATTATTTAGCTCAAAAATTCCACTTCTAGTCATTTATCCTAATTCAGTGATTCAATATATATGTAAAGATGGGTATCAAGAAGGTTTAATTTTTGTCATTTATGCAAAATAAAAAGAGGGAATAGTATAAATGTCTCACGATAGAGATGTCATAAATAAATTATGGTGTGTCTAAAATAAATATGATACAGCAGTTAAGATTAATGATAAAGCTGTATATTTATTAATATGAAAGTTTTCTTTCTTCTTATCATGGTGACTAGTAGACACCACTCACAAATCTCTGAGTAAGTACTCTGTAATCTCATATGCTTGCATGTATATACCAGCATAATTAAGTAAAAAAATGATAAGTTACCTCTGGGTAGTGTTATTATGTGTGATTTTTAAAAAGTTCTCTTTTTGCTTATCTGCATTAGTTATTTAATTGATAATGAAGTTGTACAAATTGAATAATAAATATTTTTTAAAATTATAATTTAGGTTATATATTTAAATTGCTAAGTTCTTGAATATCTGATATTGAAAGGTGTCTGGTGTTTTTCAAGTTAAAATTTTCTCAAGCATGGATGATTTAATTTTTAAAACAATATTTATGTCAAGGAAATGTTGTATTTTACATAAATTTAGTAATTCATTTGGCCTTCAATTTCACCTCTAGCTCATTATTATGACAAATATATATTCTTATTTCTGATATTTGACATGTTAATAATACTGAAAGGACCAAGAGAAACAATTAGAACAGAGGCCAGGATTATACTTCTACAGAGCTGATTGAGATAGAGTCATCTGTGGGACCATAGGCTTTTTTTTTTTTTTTGGTAACAGCTTTATTGAGATATAATTCACATGCTGTACTACTCAGCTATTGCAAGTATACAATTCAATGGTTTTTAGTATATCCACAGAATTGTAAAATTATTACCATACACAATTTTAGAACATTTTAATTGCTCCAAATGCAATCCCCAAACCCTTAGCAGCCAACCCTCATTACCCTTCATGTTTTCCAGCTTAGGCAACTGCTCTATAGATTTGTCTATTCTGGACATTTCATGTAAATGAAACCATAAAATATTTGGTCTTTTTGTGACTAGCTTCTTTCATTTAGCATAATGTTTTCAAAGTTCATCCGTGTTGTAGCATGTATCAATATTGCATTCCTTTTTATTGCTAAGTAATATTGTATAATATGAACATTTTACATTTTATCAGTTCATGAACCTTTGGTTTGTTTGCACTTTTTGGCAATTATAATAATTCTGCCATGAAAATTTGTGTACAAGTTTTTGTGTTGAATGTCGGTTGCTTTGATCACTAATTCAATCTCTTTATTGTTTATATTTATTTAGATTCTCTATTTCTTTTTGAGTCATTTTTGGAAGTTGGTGTTTTCTAGGATTTTGTCTATTTTATGTAAGTTATCTAACTTATTGGAAACCATGGTCTTTTGAAAAATATTTGGAGTGTAAAGGGAAGAATGGGAGAATAGTGGAAGATCGTGTAGTAGCCCTGAGATCCTTCTTGTGATCTCTTAAATCTTTAATGAAGTGACTGAACTCACAAAATCTTTAGTGTGACTTGATTTTTTTTGGTGAATAGCAATAATAACAACCAAAAGAAGAAACAGTAGCAACAACAACAAAAACAGGGCAACAGGGCTCAAAGTAATTTTAGATTGGGCTGAATTAATTAACGAGACTGCCCTTGCCATATATTCTGAATTCAAGCAGCCAGTTCTATTTGTTTCGTTTGACTAAAACTTGTACTTAATGATGGCCTATGTGAAATAAAGTAGTGATGCCAGAAATATCTATGATGTAAAAGAAGGAATTCAAAGGCTTATGATGATAAAAATATTGGAGTGTATTTATCATGTTCAACTGGCTTACTTAACCTACAGCTATGTCTTCTGAGAGAACCTAGAAGATATTTTCCTCACCGTGGCAATAAAGAATAAATTGGTGAAGGTGGAAGCAGCATCCTGGAAAAGCATAGTATTGATGTTTTCTGTAGGCAAGGGACAAAGATGGGAAATGCAACTATTGAAACAGGGTGGCTGAGGCAGAGGCTGAGTAATAGCACTTAGTCACTAGAAGCCAGTGGGTGTGGTTATCATAATAGGCAACAAACCTAAATGCTTGTCATACTGGCTTGACCCACAGGGATCTTTGGCAGTAGCTAATTGATTATGGTTTCTCTAGAGCTGAAATAAATGACTAAATGTGTGATCTAACATCTTCTTTGTCTGGTGAACAGAGACTGAGTAATAATGTTAGAGAATATGGGATCCTCTTCCAATTCCCGGCTTGAGTCAATAACAGATCTAGAGCCCCTTCAATAAAAAAGATGCTGGGCACTCTTGTGGGACTGTAAACTTGACCCCTGACCTTTTTCCAAGGGGTCTGGAGCTATTTAATTAGGTAGCTTCACTAGGAAAAAGTAAAATGCATTGAGTTCATAATAATTCTTGGAAACCCAGAATACCAATGTGGTCTGCCTATCAGTGTCACGGGCTAACAATCATTAGATGATAAATGAAGTTTTGGCCTAAGTTCATCTCACTGTGGCTCTGGGAGTTTTGTAAGTCCATCTGTCTGCTAGGCCTGCCAACAAAATATCACAGTTTGGGTGGTTTAAACAACAGAAATTTATTTTCACACAGTTTTGGAGGCTGGAAGTCCAAGATCAAGGTGCCAGCAGGGTTGGTTTCTCTTGAGGTCTCTCTCCTTGGCTTGTGAATGGCTGTTTTCTCTATGTGTTCTCACACATACCTTTTCTCTCTCTGCATGTGCCCCTGGTATCTCTCCCTCTTCTTATAAGGACACCATTCCTATTAAATTAGGGCCCCAGAATAATGACCCTGTTTAATTTTAAATATCTCCTTAAAGTCCCTATCTCCAAATACAGTCACATTGGGGGTTAAAGCTTTGTTATCTGAATTTTAGGAGACACAGTTTGCTCCATAATACCATCCTATTATTTCACAGTTCCTGAGCAGATAGGTGCAAGTGAAATACTGAGCAACTTTCAAAATTCTTCCTTAACCTATGAAATGAGGACACACCCTAACTTTAACAAACTATTTAATCAAAATCAAACCCCTGGGGTAACTAGAGATGAGTGCTGTCAATAAAGACTTGATAGATTCAGGGGTGGTCAATCTACTCCTCTTGAGGACATAGTTGTGGTTGGGTAAGCCAGTTACACATGATAAATCCACTCCAACTTTCCCATCTCACTGAGCCTTTAAATTCCTGTTATTATACTTTCTCCAATTAATTTACCTATATAAAGGCCTAAGGTTGGGTTGGTGTGGTCCCAGGTCTCTCTTGAAATATGTGTTATTATGAGATCACAGAGAAAAGAAATGGATGACATGACACTCTCCATTTATTAGTCTTGCTAACGTGGGTAGAAACTGTTGGTATTTCTAGGGACTTTCATTCCATACAGAGTATTAAGCCCAGTGATTATGTATAGCCCCAAGGCCTTAAGAACTATGCTTGGCAGGTTGCTATGAGCTGTCTATGATCCATGTCTTAATAACCCTGAGTTAGCCATTGGCCCACATGTTTTTTTTCTGCCTAGTCCTGTGCTGGAGTTTCCAGCATTGATTTAAGAGGGTATTTTTTTTTTTTAAACATATCTTTATCCACCAACCAGAGCTCAAACTGAATTCATATGGGCCAAAGAGCCAATCAACCTCTGAGATGTTGAATCTGTTCAGATGAGTGAAACTTGTCTCTGAGATACCTCTTGATTAGATGGCAGTTGCTTGGTATATCTGCAGTTTTCTCTTGTTTTTTTTTTAATTTTTTTTAAATTTTTTTATTTTTTATCAATGTACCACACTCTGTAAACAACTGGTAGGGACCATTTTAAGTTGGTCACTTTTTGGAGCCTTATCTGTTATGGGCTCATGGTTTCAAGAGCCTTTCAATAA